>NC_000016.10:29116900-29432107 GCF_000001405.40 Homo sapiens
CTGAAGCTCAGGCTCTGGTGTTGCTAACCTTCCCCACACCTGGCCAGAAAGAAGTCCTGCTTAAGGCAGTGGACACGGCACAGCTTTGTGCTTGACAAGGGGCCTTTTGACTGAGCGCTGCTCACTTCAGGTTCCCTGGCCTGGCTGTAGCCTTCTGCCCGGTGTGTCTGGGAGGAGAGAGAATGGTGGGACGGCAGTGGGGGGGCCGGGGAGGACATGTGGATGCCGAGGAATGGGAGCCGCAACAAGCCTGGAGGGACTGTTGTGACCTTGCTGCCCGTGTGTGCTGCAGGTGCCACCCTGCCCATGTGTGCTGGTGGCTGGTGCTGGGTTAGGTGCTTTGTGGACCTCGCCAGGGAGTGTGGGAAGTCTGGGGGCAGCTCCACATGATGGCTGCTGTGCTGGCTGAAGCAGTGGTGCCTCTTTGAGCTCTCGGGCATGCCGGAAGTTTTGGAAACGCTACCCGGCCGTCTTCCGAGCTCCGCTGCTGGTGGTGGAGTTGGCATCTCATTTCGCAGGCGGGAGCTGGGGATCGTTCACGTGTTACTCTGAGATGAGGCCTTCGCCCTGCACAAATGCTGTCACTCACATGTTTCCCCCCAGCAGGAGTTTGTTTACCATGTCCTCTGTGCAGGGACGCTGTTGGGCTCCCAGGTCAGGTGTGCAAAGCTGTTGGACCCAATGCCTTTTTTTTAGGATAGTTTTTTGGGGTAATGTCCTCTTACCCTAAAATGCAGTTCTTAGAAAATATAATTTATGTTTCCAAAAAAAAAGAAAATGTAATTTATAACTTATAGTTATTAGACTGCCCTAGCTGTAGAGAATGAATGTGATAGTATTGTGTAATAAGACAACACATTTCAACATGGTGATGGTTAGCCGTGAAAAAGCCGGACGTCCCACCTGGTGTGTTGCGTCCTGGTGACCGGGGGGCGGTCCCTGCAGATGGACCCAGGTGTGACACTGGGAGTTCAGCCCCCAGCTGGTGATGGAATATTACAGAATGGTGAGCAGTTCCTAATGAACTTTCACATAAAGCAAAGTATAATTTTTTCTAGACTTATGTAATAGTTGAATTCATGGAAAATTCAAGTCATAGTAAGACCGTGCAAAAATGTTTTGTGTGTAAACGTTGAATAGAGTAAGATTCTGAGTTCAGAGAGTTAGAAGCATGTTTTCCACTCATGAAGTTCTGGTTCATTGTAAGTTTTGTATGTGGAGAGTTTTTGTTGGGTGAGACTGTCTCGCTCATTGAAGGACGTCTCAACCTCCCTTGCCTCTGCCTGCCAAATTCCAGTACTCTCTGAATCTTGACCACCAAAGATGTCCCACGGGATCTCAAAGCACCCCTGGGCACCTGCATTGAGAACCACTGTTCTAAGGAATTAAACACAAGGATGAACGAACCTCTCCTGCCCCCGGAACCTTGTGTGCTGGTGGACGGCTGCCCATCACGTGTCACTTGTCACTTGTCACGTTGTGCCAGTGCTGGGCAGGTCATTGTCACCACTTGGGAAAAGTGTTGACAAAATTGGTCGTTAGATTCCACCACTGACAATGTGCGATGGGGAGAGAAGTTCCTCTGTGAAGAACTCCAAAGGCTGAGTGTGGTTTCTGTCGTGGGTTGGCCTTGAGGGTGCCTTGCTTGGATTCCATCTGCACAGGGCGGAGCTTGGGCCTCTGGCTGTCACAGTTGCCCTGACAGACACTGAGGTGACCTTGGCCAAGTCACGCATTCATTTCCATCTGAGTTTCTAGTTTAAGATAAGAGGAAGAGGACCTGGAGCTCCTCTGGGGCTGCTTCGGCCCAGGGTCCTCCTGCTTTCTGAGGGTAACAGTGTCTGTGCCCATGAAAACGTGATGTTAGTCACAGACCTGCCGTGGCAGAAATCCCCCATGCTTCCCTCTGCTGGGGGCAGGTGTTATCATTCACAGCCCTGCGGTGGTTGTCTGTCTGCTTGTCAACAAGCAGTGAAATAAGAGTAAAGTTGCCTAATACTGACTCAGATGCACAATCCAGTTAACCCAGATGTGTGAGATCTTCCGGTTTGAAAGAACTGTATTGGCAAGGCAAAATCAACCTATTGTAGAATATATTTATTGTATATCAGCATGGGGATTATTAATATTGCTAATAAAACCATTATTTGTAAAAATTAAGATTAATAGAAGAATCGTTCTATTTTCTCATAGTTTTAAATAGGATAAAAATATATTCTATTCAAAATCCTATTTAAAATATATCCTATTCAAAATTAAAAGAAAATGTAAGAATGGTTTCCTTTTTTTTGAGACTCTGCTCTGCCACCCAGGCTGGAGTGCAGTGGCGCAATCTTGGCTCACTGCAGCCTCTGCCTCCCAGGCTCAAGCAATTCTCCTGCCTCATCCTCCCGAGTAGCTGGGATTACAGGCATGCACCACGCCGCCCAGCTAATTTTTGTAATTTTAGAAGAGACAGGGTTTTGCCACATTAGCCAGGCTGGTCTTGAACTCTTTACCTTAGGTGATCTGCCTGCCTCGGCCTCCCAGAGTGCTGGGATTAAAGGCGTGAGCCACCACGCCTAGTGGAGTGATTTCCTTTCATAGTAAAGTTTTAAATATGGCATATTTGAATGACTTTTAAAGAAGGAGACTGGGTGTGATGGCTCACACCTATAATTCCAGCATTTTGGAAGGCCAAGATGGAAGGATCACTTGAACCCAAGAGTTCCAGACCAGCATGGGCAACATAGTGAGACCCCCATCTCTACAAAAAAATTTAAAAAATTAGCTGGGCACAGTAGAACCTGCCTATAATCCCTTAGGGGGCTGAGGTGGGAGGATTGCTTGAGCCTGGGAAGGTGAGACTATGGTGAGCTGTGACTCTGCCACTGCACTCCCGGCTGAATGAGACCCTAACTCAAAAAAAAAAAAAAAAAAAAAAAAAAGGATGTTATTAAGTCTGGCATTTCTTTCCATGTAAGTTCTTTTTAAAAGGCAGTCTCACTCTGTCATGCAGGCTGGAGTACAGTGGTGCAGTCTCGGCTCACTGCAACCTCTGCCTCCCGGATTCAAGCGATTCTCCCACCTCAGCCTCCCGAGTAGATGGAACTATAGGTGCACGCTACTATGCTTGGCTAATTTTTGTATTTTTTAATAGAGATGAGGTTTTGCCATGTTGGACAGGCTGGTATCTTTCCATATAAGTCCTGAAAATTAGAAATAAAAATTGCCAACAGTTGAAAGCTGTTGACAGAAAATTGTAGGGGAGAAATAACAGATAAGAACATAATCCCAGTATGTCAATGAAAAAAAGTATGTTTAAATTAGAAAGTTACTAATTTGTGAACACATATGAGTGAATCAGAATTGTCTGTCTAAAATTGGGCAGTGGAACATTGAAAAGGAAAAGTCTCCAAAGTTAAAAATTGGTTAGCATTCCGAATAATAAAGTGCTTCTATGGATTATTTATTTTGGGACTCAGATATTTTGAGATGGAGTCTCGCTCTGTCACCCAGGCTGGAGTGCAATGGCATGATCTTGGCTCACTGCAACCTCTGCCTCCCAGGTTCTAGTGATTCTCCTGCCTCAGCCTCCTGAGTAGCTGGGATTATGGGTGCAGGCCACCACGCCTGGCTAATTTTTTTTTTTTAATTAGAGATGGGGTTTCACCATGTTGGTCAGTCTGATCTCAAACTCCTGACCTCATGATCCACCCGCCTCAGCCTCCCAAAGTGCTGGGATACAGGTGTGAGCCACCGCCCCCAGCCGGGACTCAAATATTTTAAATGAAGATTAGAAGTATGTAAGTCACAGATAGTATTACATCCAAATCGTATGCTGTTAAAATAGCCCGGGGTTCCCAGGGCTCACTCCTTGCTGTGAGGGATTAGCTGGGAAGTCCGAGTGTAATCTTACAGCACAGATGCAGACACCTTAAGGGGCTCTGAGTTGTGACGAGGCCCCTGGAGAGAGTGCGAGAAGCTGCCCCCTGCGGTGTCACTCGCCCTTCTGTTTAGCGCGGCTGCATCTGCTCAGAGCCAGCCCAACCCTCAAGGGCGGGCACAGCCTTGCAGCAGCAGGGGCGTCACTAAGGCCCCCTCTCTGTGTGTTGAAATCCACCCCACCTGTTGGTTATTTCTCATTAAAACTGACTGTTCTGTACTATCAGTGCTGAGAGCTGATTATTCTTTCCTTTCACTCTCTGGAACACAAGAAGGCAGTGGAGTACTGCTTGCCTCACTTGGCATTTTGGATCCAAATTTTTGGGTTCTACACCTGAATGAGATTCTTTAAATAACTTCGAGAACAAAGAAAAGAAAAAGAAAGCCCCTTTTATTTGAAGCTAAAGTTGAATCATTGTAATAAAAATGCGAGTCACCTGGATGGGCCCCATCCAACAGTCATCATCGACTTGGGGACAAGAAAAATGGTCTTTTAAGTTTTGTAGGTAGGGGCGTATTTTCTTCCTGCAGGTGCGCCATCAGTTTGGATTTTGCTTCATTGTAGTTTTGGTGTAGTGACCTGAGGTTTTAACTTTAAAGATGTTTGGGCCTGTCCTTTGAATGCTAGTGTGGACAGTTCAGTTGGGGCATTCGTTATGTCACATGGCCTGCAGGGATCCAGGGCACGCACATGCTCACGTTTATACAGGTAAATGTTAACATCCTTTGTCTATACTTCGAAGCTGGACAGAGATAGTGGTGTAAACAGGATGCAGCAGAGCATGGAGTGTTGCCCGTCAGGGGATGCAGGCCCACATGGCTGCGCACATCCAAGACACAGGACACAGGGCGGGTGACAGGGGATGCAGGCCCACGTGGCTGCGCACATCCAGGACACAGGGCGGGCGACAGGGGATGCAGGCCCACGTGGCTGCGCACATCCAGGACACAGGGCGGGCGACAGGGGATGCAGGCCCGCGTGGCTGTGCACATCCAGGACACAGGGCGGGCGAGGGGATGCAGGCCTGTGTGGCTGCGCACATCCAGGACACAGGGCAGGTGACAGGGCTCTGTGTCCCCAGCACACCTGTGGAGTTGGCTACTGGGCAGCTCAGACAGCAGCTCACAGCCCAGGATTTTCTGCTTTGTTTTCATTAACTGAACATACTGACTGACTCGAAAAATTATTTTTAAAAATAAAAAGCTAATTTTATTTTAGTTTATTTTAATTAAAAAATAGATTTTAAAATCTGCTTTTTAAAGTCATAGATGTTTATCTTTAAGAACATTAAACAATTAAAGAACTAGCATGTTTCTACAATTTTACAACAATTATAAACCATAGGCTTCTGTATAAGACTAGTTCTGGAAATTTTTAAAAATGTGATTTCTTTTAAAGTATGTCTTCCAGAGATGTGTCATGTAAGACCCAATGAAGGAGAAATTTTTCTTTTCCTCAGAACTGACTGTTGACCCATGGATAATTGAAATATTTGATTAAGGAATGATTTTAATTCTCTCTAGTATGCTGTCTGCTGATTCTCTGTTTTATTTCCTAGAGTGTCTTTTATTTTATTTCCTAGAGGGTCCTTTATTTTTCCTAGAGGGTCTTTTATCTATTTTATTGATAGATATTTGTGGAAAGGCTGTTGTGGTGTTATGTAGAGCTAGGCCTCATTCTGAGCATCTCTGTTCTGGCACGGGAGCATGAGAGGTCTTGGCCAGGGTAAACCAGTTTTTTCAGTTGTGGGTCATTGACATTCTCAGTCAAAATTATAGCATTTCATAGGCTTTAGAATCTGACAAACTCAAGGGAGAGCTGCGTGAATTGTGAAGAAATGGTTTGGTCTCAGCTAAGATGGTTTTGTTTAATTCTTTTCTTATTTAATATTGAATTTTGGTTGCTTTCGTTTAATTTCGTGTACATGTAATTTCTCTTCCTGACTGGTCTATACTGCCTTGCACAGCTGCATACTTTTGTTTTGTTTTTTGAGACAGAGTCTCGCTCTGTCGTCCAGGCTGGAGTGCAGTGGCGCGATCTCGGCTCACTGCAACCTCCGCCTCCCGGGTTCACACCATTCTCCTGCTTCAGCCTCCTAACTAGCTGGGACTACAGGCGCCCGCCACCATGCCCGGCTAATTTTTTGTATTTTTAGTAGAGACAGGGTTTCACCGTGTTAGCCAGGATGGTCTCGATCTCCTGACCTTGTGATCCGCCTGCCTCGGCCTCCCAAAGTATTGGGATTACAGGCGTGAGCCACTGCGCCCAGCCAGCTGCATACTTTGAGTGACCTAATAGTGACACCCTCTACATGCTAGGGCTGAGTACTAGCCAAAGAAAACATACAGTTTACATACCTGCAACTTCGGGAATTATTCACATAATCGTATGATACAGTTTACATACCTACAACTTCGGGAATTAGTCACATAATTGTATGATACAGTTTACATACATACAACTTTGGGAATTATTAACATAATCATATGCTTTAGAGATACAATCTAATAACCAAACTAATGAGAAACATACATTTAAATGTTGTAATGATTATGCACATTCTAATAATTTGGAGCACTTCTCTAGTTTTAGAATAACTCAGAACTCATTGATTGGCATTGTATTGAGTCTGTAGATCAATTTGGGGGAATTGCCAAGTTAACAGTATTGAGTATTCTGATTCATGAACATGGTATGTCTCTCCATTTATGGAGGTCTTTAATTTCTTTTAGCAGTGTTATACAGTTTTCAGTGTTCAGCTCCTGTGCATATTTTGTTACATTTATCTCTGAGTACTTCATACTTACAGATGCTATCGTATTCATACTTATGGATACTATCATAAATGGTATTGTATTTTAAATTTCAGTATCCAGTTGTTCATTGGAAGGATGTAGCAGTACAATAGATTTTTCTTTACTGACCTTTATCCTGTGTCATTTCTAAATGAACTTGTTTTAGATTTTCTGTAGGATTTTTTAAAAATATGCATAATTATGTTACCTTTAAATAGAGTTTTGTTTCTTCCTGTAGAATTTCTATACCTTCTCTTACTTTAATGTGCTGGCCATGATCTTTATTTCAGTGTATTTTCTTTATAAAAATATTTTTGCCTTATTCCTCATCTTTGAGTGAAAGCGTCCAGCATTTCACCATTAAGTCTGATGTTACCAGTACATTTTTCCCAGATGCTCTTAATCAGGTTGAAGAAGTTTCCTTCTATTCTTTGTTTCATGGGAGTTTTTTCGCATGAATGAATGGACATTGGATTTTCACATGCCTTTTCTGTATCTTCCGAGATGATGGTATTGTGATCCTTCTTGATTCTTTTGTTAAAGTGAATTACGTCGATTTCGAATGCTAACCGAACCTTGCATTTCTATTATCATAAACCTGACTTCATCTACGTGTATTGTGCTTTTGCTATACTGATCAGTTTTCTAATATTTAATGAAGAGTTTTTGCGTCTGTGTTTGTGTGACATGTTAGTCTGCAGTTTTCTTTTTTTGCCATGTCTTTTTGTTATCAGGATAATGCTGACCTCAGCAACGGAGCTGGGAAGCTGCCTGTCATTGTCTAGTTTCTGAAAATGTTTCTGTGAGATTAGTTTTATTTCTTTTAAACAATTTGATAGAATTTGCCAGTGAAGCCTAGGTTTTTAATAATAAATTCAATTATTTTAATAAATATAGAACTGCCAGGCATGGTGGCTCATGCCTATAATCCCAGCACTTTGAGAGGCTGAGGAGGGTGGATCACCTGAAGTCAGGAGTTCGTTACCAGCCTGGCTAATGAGGCAAAACCCCGTCTCCACTAAAAATACAAAAATTAGCTGGGTGTGGTAGCGGGTGCCTCTAGTCTCAGCTACTCAGGAGGTTGGGGCAGGAGAATCACTTGAACCCAGGAGGTGGAGGTTGCAGTGAGCTGAGATTGTGCCACTGCACTCCAGCCTGGGAGACAGAATGAGACTCCCCCCCAAAAAAAAAAAAAAAAAAAGAACTTCGATAAATGTAGAATTTCTTGAGTTAGTGTTGTTTGTGTCTCTCAAGATTATTTTCTTTTCCCCCAAATTCTAGAGTGTGTCCGCACACTGTTCCTCATGGTACCCACTGTATGTTTCCATGTCTGTGGGTCCACAGGATGCTCCGCGGCCAAGCCTCCCTGGGCTCCTCTGATCTGTGGCCGTTTCTCATGCTTCCTTGTTTTTGGCGACTTTTTGAGGACCGTTGGGGTCGGTTATTTTGTAGGATGTGCCTCTGTTGGAATTTGTCTCCTGACTAGACTGGGGTCACAGGTTTTGGGGAGGGAGGACATGGAGGTGAAGTCCTTCTCATCACATCCTGTCCAGGCCAGCACTGTCAGGAGGACTCAGTGCTTAATGCTGATGCAGGTCACCTGGCTGAGGTGTGCTCTTCAGCATTTTCCACAGTCAAGTGACTCTTTCAGCTTTCATCCTGCACTTTGGAAGGAAGCTGCTATGCCCATCACCCAGTTAAGGAGTGGGGAGTTGTGTGCCGCCTCTTCGAGGGTGGAGCATCACAGATACTGTTGTCAGTCTACCCGGGAGCCTTGTTTCTTCTTTCCCATTTATTCACTTATTCACTCATCCGTTTCCATCAGTGTGTGCTCATGGAGATGTATTTTACACTCTGGGTTAGAATCAAGTTCTGCTTCATTCTGGTGCTCACATCCTTCCAGCTTTGGCCATTGGCAGCTCGTCAGTTGGCTCCCGTGCCCCTTGACATTTCCTCCATTCCCTCTTCATTGTAGGTGTTTCATCATTAGTGTTTTTTTTTTTTTCTTGTTTTCTTTTGAGACAGAGTTTTGCTCTTGTTGCCCAGGCTGGAGTGCAATGGGGCGATCTCTTACTGTAACCTCCACCTCCTGGGTTCAAGCAATTCTTCTGCCTCAACCTCCCAAGTAGCTGGGATTACAGGCCGTGCCACCACACCCGGCTAATTTTTTGTATTTATATTAGAGACGGGGTTTCACCATGTTGACCAGGCTGGTCTCGAACTCCTGACCTCAGGTGATCCGCCTGCCTTGGCCTCCCAAAGTGCTGGGATTACAGATGTGAACCACCATGCCCAGCCTGAGCACTTTTTACTTGCACAGCACTACCAAATGCTTCTCCGGGCTCATTGTGAGTACTTGTCCCAGCCTAGAATCAGCCGTTTCTCCGTGAATTGAAAAATGACGTTAGAGACCAGGATGCGGTGTTTGGAGGGCCCTGGCGTTAGAGACCAGGATGCGGTGTTTGGAGGGCCCTGGCATTAGAGACCAGGATGTGGTGTTAGAGACCAGGATGCGGTGTTTGGAGGGCCCTGGTGTTAAGAGACCAGGATGCGGTGCACGGCGGTGCGCTGCGTCCTCTGAGCATGCGAAGGGCCCTGGGCGGCTTTTCACCCAAACATGTTGCCTAGGAGCCCTGCATCCTGTGCTGTTGCAGAGTGCTGACTTCTGTGGAGTCAGTCCTGACACTGCTTCCCTCTCTCACTGGTAGTCATTTCTGTAGCTTCTAGGAAAGAGGAAGAAAACACACCCGTCTTTGACCTGCTCGCCCTCTGATTTGGGACTGTTGGGTGGAAGTCACAGATCTCTGTCGGAGCACAAGCGTGGCTCCTTGGGGAGAGCAGCGTAAGGAGTTAGATCTGGAGCCTCTCAAAGCCAATTGCCAGAAGCTAGAAGCTTCTTTCTTTCTTTAGCAACGAGGTTTTAAAGTTTGTTACATTAGGTTAGTCCTGTTTCTCTGGTGCAGTGGTTATTTGGAGAGTTGGTTTTATTTTCAGTTTTGCTTATTTCATTAGATTATTAGGAAGAAAATTTTAATGCCAATTTATTTTTACCCCTGGGTATTTTTTGTTAGATCATGTTTTTATAACTTTTTAATCTTTAGCGTGGTACAGTGGCTTAGGCCTGTAATCCCAGCAACTCGGGAGACTGAGGTGACCCAAGTCACGTGTGAGGAATGTCACGCCCAGCAACCTCAGGGAACACGCTTTTCTCCAAATTGCCACCCACTAGACTGTGAAGCCACCTCAATGCCACAGGATGGGGGCTTGCAGAATGTGTTTTGTGACCAAATGGAATTAAGGCAAAAATTAATGAGAAGAAAAGTAGAAAAATCCCTGAATGATTGGGAGTTAAATAACAAACATTTAAATAACCCCTAGGTCAGATAAGAAAGAAAACTGGACATGTGAAGGTATTTGTAACTGAATGACACATGCAAATTGATCAAAACTCGGGGAATACATCGACAGTTGTATTAGAGAAAAGCTTAAAGACAAGGAAAAATTAAGGAAATGAGGCACAAAACGTAGAGTAGATACAACCAACAAAACCAAATTGGATTCTTTGAGAAGATTAGTACACTTGAGAAAGCCCTGGTACACTAGTCAGAGAAAAGAGAGCAGGGACAAATTACAATGTCAGAATCTACGAACCCTTCAGACATAAAAACTTGAGGCTGTCTCAAAAGTCAGTGGGAAACGTTAAATGCAATTGACAAATTACTAGGAAAAAACTGCTATCAGAAGAAATAGAACATGTTACTAGCTCCTGTCTTTCAGAAATCTTACCTATATCTTGTCACAAAGAAAAACTGCCACCACACCCGGCTAATTTTTTTGTATTTTTAGTAGAGATGGCCTCAGCCTTCTGTACAGTCTCTGGGGCTGTACAGAAACCTGTTTCCTGCAGGGACATACATTTAACGTCTGTGAAAGCCTCAGACCCCCTGAGCACACCTGCCTAGCCGTGTTGTGGACGAACAAGGGCTGATGAAATGCCTGTGGAGGCTGATTTCACCGGAGTCAGGGGAAGTCGGTCTAAGCAAAGAGCAGGGGCAGGGATGAAAATAACAGAACAGTGATCCAGGTAGCAACCGTGTGCCGGGGAGGCTGGGCCAAGCATTTATAGAAACTGCCCAAAGAACAGCGCAGGGAGGGCATTTCGGCCCATTTTACAGACCAGGAAAACGGGCGGAGAGGCTGAGTGACTGCCCGAGGCGACACACAGCTCTCCCGCCCTGTTCGCTTATGCACAGTCTTGGCCATGCAGTGAAGGGAGTTCCCAGCAGTGTCCCCCGCCCACTCCCATCCTATTGCCCAGCTGAGCCCCTCCCTTGGCTCTCCCACCCATGGGCCCGATGGCCGCAGCTGGGATCCACCGGACACTGCAGTCCCCCAGGCTTCGGGTCTTTGCCTCCTTAGTCACCTGTGAAGCACCTCCTATGCGCCAGCTCTGCCCGTCTAGGGAGAAGCAGCACAGCCCGGCCACCCGAGGCCTCCTGTGCGCTTCCCCATCTGAGGTCCGTGATCAGAACTGCGGGCTTCTCCGCAGAGGTCGGGGCAGTGACAGGACAGCCGCGGGCTTCTCCTCAGAGGTCGGGGCAGTGACAGGACAGCCTCAGCCTCTTTAGACGCTGCCTTCAGGGAGCAGTGAAAGAGGGAGGGAGAGACAGAGAGCACCCGGGCGGGTCTCCCAGCCACGCCAGGCAGGTGGGCAGGATTTATGTGCCAGGTACTGTGCTGGCTATCACCGGGGCCTGGTGGTCTCTTGGAGTCACAAGCAGCCGCCTGAGATGAGGTTTATGATTTTGAGTTAGAATAGGACTGAAGCTTATTCCCAGGGGGCTGGCCGGGCCGGCTCTCCCTGCCCGCCGGCATCTCCACTGCCTCTGCTGTCCTGAAGCTCTTATGAGGGTTCACATTACTAGGACGCCAATGTGGGTTCTCCTCTGGGCTCTGGCCCCAAGGCACCCCAACCTCAGACATGTCACTGTCTGGGCCTACTACAAATGGAGACTGCAGTTCTATGATGGGAAAATCTCTACACCATCGGTCATTTGGGCTATAGAAGAAAAAGAAATTATTTTCAGCTGCAGCTTCGTTTTTGGAATCTTGGCAAAAAAGTTAACAGTGGAGGGGGAAGGAGGCTGGGCACCCTGCCACGAGGCTGGTTCTTGTGGTCCTGGGCACCATCCGGTCACTTTAAAGAAGCAGGTGTCCCCGATGGTACACACGTGCCTTGTCAGGGTGCACTGTCGGCCACCTGCTCGCGGTTGGGACACACATGAGGGCTATGAGGACCCGGGGGTGGTGGCCAAGTGACTCCACAGTGGCCCAGTTGCGGTCTCTTCACTTGCTGGATGGTGGCTCAGCCTGACAGGTTTCACAGGTATCCACGGGTCTGAGTCCAGAGCTGCCCCACACAGATGGCCCCTCCCCAGGTCCTGCATCAGCCATCGAGAGGTTCCTGCCCAGACCTCAGGTGACCCCAGCTCCGGTCACTTCTGCCTAAAGGCAAATGAGCTTTTCCTAAAGTCCAAACCCAGTGGTCCCCACAAATCTGAGCAAAGCTGGAAACCCTTGTTCGTTCTGTGGTGCACAGGGCGGGCAACTCTGCGGCTGAAATTGCTGTTTTCAGCTACTGTCAGCTGAGCCTTGCCTGGAGCCTGAAACCGCATTGAGGGCTTTCTGTGCTTTGCCTCCCAGAATCCTGGCTGTGGCCTCATGAAACAGGTGCCGTTAAAATCAGTTGCATTGGAAACAGCCGAGTCAGGCAATGAAGGCACAGAGAGGTTAGACAACTTGTGGAAAATCACGCAGCACCGGTGCCTCCACATTCACACTCCGCCCCTCCGTGTCCTGCAATCCTGACCAGCCCCATGTTCCCCAGGACAAGCTGCCAGCATCCCGGAAGGGGTTAATCCCCCTCTGGTGGCTCAGCTCCTGCCACTCTCCCGAGTGCTTTTGCACATGGTCTGGCCTCAATGTGCCCAGGACGGCCCTGTGCTGGGGAGGAAAGCGCTTACATAATCCTCCCCGAGTGTTTTCTCTCTCAGGCGGCGTGCACATCCCACTTGGGTTGCAACACAGGCAAGCAGATGCCAGGAAATTCTGAGGCTGCTGCTGAGCCTGGGCTGGGTGAGGCTCAGACCCGAGACCCCCTCACCTGTGTGGGCCCTTGGCTTCCTCTGTGCCCCTCCCGATCGGGGTCCCTGGCGCAGACTCTTGTTCAGACCGTGCAAGGTAGATGCGTGGTCAGGAGCCCACGGCTCAGGACAGAAGCCATTTGGGGAACCAGTGGGACCTCCAGCGGCTTGGAGGAGGCTGAGTGGGAAGCACGTTCCTACCCAGGCTGAGCACTTCACACAGGGGGCTGGGCCAGGGGGAGAGCTGCCTGCCCCAGAGACCCCTACCTGCCTTCCTGTGCTGGCACAGCCATGCCCAGCCTCCGCTGGACAGCTTGGACTGAGGTTTCCTTGTGGTGGCCCCTCCCCAGAGTGTCTACCGGGGGCACAGGCCCTGGCAGCATGCACGTCACCCGGGGGGCTTTTAACAGAGACCAGCAACCCTCCCACAGAGGACTGGCGTGGGGGAGGCAGGCACTACCCAGCCAATCCGGGTGGACAGGCATTTTCCACAGCTCGGGAAACGGAGCCGGGCCAGGAAGGTTGGAGCTCAGCTCTTGGGTGAGAGCCACGGAGCCCTGGCTGAGCCTCACCTGCGCTCGGAGCCCATTTCCTTTTCTGTCAAATTCACGATGGGATCTGGCCCCTGACTCCACCCCAGCAGCACCAAAGACACCGCCCTGCGCTCATTACATTTCCTCCCAGCCCGCGGGGGGTCAGGGGGGGTGGGGGTGAGGGTGGGCGCAGGCACTGCCTGGCAGGGGAGTGAAAGGAAGGGCAGCGCCCGCCCAGGCCTGGGCCCCTCCCCAGCACGTCTCCTCCCCAACCTGCTGCCGCAGAGGGTGGACACCCGGCAGGGCCTGGCGAGGGGCGGCAGGGCGGGTTGTGTGCCTGGGGCTGGGGGATGAGTGTTGGGGTCTGCTGGCGCTGACAGTGGGGTGAGGACTGTGTCCCCTGGATTCCCTCCACCCCCGGGCCCTCTTGCCTGGCGGGGAGAGCCAGGAGACTGAGCATTCTCCGTGTCCTGAGGCTCTTCTTGAAACGGTCCCCAGGATCCTGTGAGCAGGAGCCGCGCAAGGCCTGGATCAGCCTTGATCTCGTCTTGAACTCCCTGACTTCTTGCACAGGAAGGTGCTGGGCACCAAGTCCTCACTGCGGGTGAAGGACCCAGAGGAGAGGAGTGAGCCGAGGCTGCCTGCCCATGGCCAGGGGGTCTGAGTTGGGGCACGTTTCCCATTTGGTGGCCTCAGACCCTGCTGGCTGCCAACCCTTGGAATAAGCAACAGGGCACCTTGGACCCAAGAGCCTGGTGGCCATGAGCCCATCTGAATGCCCGGAACTCACCTTGGACCCAACGGCCTGGTGGCCACGAGCCCATCTGAATGCCCGGAGCTGGGGAGCTGGGACCAAGTAGTGGGAACTGTGCTTGCCTCCCGGCCAGGCCGCCTGTCATGGGAAATGGGCCACCGGAGCCCCTGCCCAGCAGTTGGCTGCCCCCCAGGGCTGCTCCGGCCAAGCTTCTCCAGAGGTCACGCACTCCACCACATCCTCCCACCCCACTGGGGCCAGCCCTGCTGGAGGAGGGGGTGCCCCCACAGAGTCTGCCCCCGCCGCTGCAGGCGAGGACCTCCGGGTGTGACCACACAGGGCCCGGGCTCCCATCCAGGCCGAGTGGGCGCAGGGCACGGCTTCTCCATGGAGTCCCAGGCTCTCTGCCTCCAGGGGCCAGGCATGCCTGAATGAGGGCCTCATCCTGGAGGACGGGGAGGGGTGCAGGAGGCGGCTCAGGAATCCCTCAGGGCGCCCCAGGCCAGGCTGATCACAGCAGAGCGGCCTTAGCAAAGCTTCCAGCTTACTCCAGCCTTTGCCGCACGTCTGCAATGGGGACTTTTCAAAGCTGATCTCGGTGCAGTGGGCGTAGCTGATTCCGGCCCCGGGCTGCGGAGCCAGGAAGGAAAGCCTGCGTCTGCTTTTTGATGGAGTTTAGCACGAGTGCTGCAGATGGCAATGCTGTGCCGCCATGAATTAAGTGGGTTTCATCCCAGTGCTGCTCTCTCCAGCCAGGGCCAGGCTCCTAGAGGGGCTCACAGGGCTCCCAAGCTGGACTCCCTGCCCCAGCCCCTTCCTCTTCCCCGGCTCTCAGCAGAGCGGGGCTGTCATTTCACCAAGCAGCCATGGGGGTGGGGGCCAGAGCCTTGTGGGCTCATGGGTGTGGGGGGAGTGAGGTGGGTCCCTGCCCGTGGGGGAATGTGGGGGCCCAGCGGTGCTGGAACAGGAGTGATTCTGCCCCCAAGCAGGAAACACAAATCAATATCTGAATGTTTGGGGTTGTTGCAACTGGGGAGGGGGCGATACTGGCAATTTGGGGGTGTAAGTCAGAGGGAGGAGGGAGGGAGGGAGAAAGAAGGGAGAGAGGGAGGATGGAGGGAGGGAGGAAGGAGGAGAAGAAGGTGCCCAAGCCCCCATTCCCCAGGAGAAGTAGTGCCCAGGACTATGGTGCCCTTTGCAGGGCCGACCTCCCATCTCCATGGCGTCACTCTCTTTCCTTCTCGGGGACTTGGGGTGACCATGAGCCATACTATCGAAGTACTTACTGTGGAAAGTGGAAGAGCTGAGGAGGGCGCCCGACAGGATCCCCCAGGACACCCTGGCCCATTCGGCACCATTCGAATGCATGAGATCGCAGGCCCTGTGCAGGTGCCCGGGGCATGAGGGGCCTGCCCGTCCTGCAGGGTGCTGCTCAGATGCCTCGACCCTGGGAGGCCCCTCCTGGCCATTCTTGCAGGCCTGTCCCAGCCTGTGCCTTCTGCTGGGGCAGGGCCTCAGGCAGCAGTGGACAGTGGCCAGGAGGGCGCTGCTCAGGTTGGGAGAGGCCCGTGGGGGATCAGCCTCCCCGGATCCCGGGGTGGGGCCAAGTTACACACAGAGATAATGCAGACTCAGGCAGTGCGCAGGCAAGGCCGGAGTGCCGAGTATGGTACAGGAAACGCAGTGTGCGCAGCTGGGCTGCACCGTGGTCCACACAGCCAGGCTCTTTGGTGTGTTTCCTGCACACAAGGACATTCACAAGCCCTCAGCATCGTCAGAATCAGGGAATGGACAGGTCCCTGCAAGGCCCCACTGCAGCCTGACCACTGTCCCCACGAGTTTCTGAGAGCAGAGTCTGATGGTGTCACGCCCTTCCCCAAGCCGCCGTCTCTCCTCCATCTCTGTCAGCCTGTGCAGGCTCCTGGCCCCTCCGTGCTGTGGGCACTCGGACTGCTTTGCCTTTGGATTCCTGGTGATGAGATCCTGGGTGGGCGGGGACAGCAGGGGGTGAGGCTGCGCTTCTGCAGGTGTCCTGGCGGCAGGTGTAAAATCTCACCCTGGGCGGTCTCTGGTGACGTGAACGCTGACGGTTTAATTGATGCCGTGTCTGCAGCCTCCCCTGCAACGCTGTCCTTTCTCTCTATTATGATTAATCCGTGTTCTGTGGGGCGTCCTTTAAAGCCATGGGGACATCCACGCGCACCAGGCTTCCAGCTGCTTGTCTGAGCCTGAGCTGTGGGGCCGCTTGTGCCCCAGGCCATCTCCTGGCACTGTCAGCTCCCACCACCCCCCCCCCCCCCACCCTCCACATCAAGCAGGCTCCTGAGTGCTCAGACATGGCCTCGTAGCCCTGGAGGGTCGTGATCTCCTACAAGCCTCTGGTGTTTTCCGTGCCCAGGCTGGAGCTGGCCAATTCTCCCAGGAGTCCTGGCCACTTTGAATGGAACACGGTACTGAGAAGCCGAGGTCTGGGTGCTCGGGATGCTCATGCCCATGGAGGCCGGGACGTCAAGGGGCTTCCAACTCCAGCCTCTCATGGGATGGTAGAGCGGCCTGGGCAGGGGCGGAGCTGAGAACAGAATTTCACCCCCGAGGTTCTCGGACTGGAGCTCCAGAGGAGCCGCTGCCCAGGGGCACTTATCGTGTCCTTCATGAAAACAGAAAGTTGAAAACCCCAGATGTCTAACAATGAGTGAATGATTTGGCGAGCTGTGGCTCGGGGTCTGCCACGAATTCTTGGCTCCTGGACTGTGGACTGGGGGCGGACACCAACAGGAACTCTTAGAGGGAAGCTGGAGGAGGTGGGGGAGACAGAGCTTTGGAAAAAGAGCTTCGACTTCTCTCTTGGGTGGAGGAGACAAGGGGAGGGCACGCAGCCAGGGACCACGGGCCGCAATGCTCCCTCCTTCCCAGGGTCCACAGGCGGCAATGCTCCCTCCTTCCCAGGGTCCACGGGCGGCAATGCTCCCTCTTTGTCAGGGTCCACGGGCGGCTGGTGCTTTTTCCTTCCCGGCGTCCACAGGCAGCAATGCTCCTTCCTTCTCAGGGTCCAAAGGCAGCATCACTCCCTCCTTCCTGGCATCCAGGGCGGTCGGTGCTCCCTGCTTTCCAGGGTTCCAGGGGAAGTCCCACCCCCTGAATCTTGGGAGTTGGGGAAGAGGTGGGACCCTCAAGGACAGGCTGTAGCCCTCATACCCAGCCACCCCTAAGGGAGCATAGCTGCTCCACACAGCGGAATTCTCCGCGCACAGACAGCGCAGCCCTGACGCCTCCAGACACCCCTTCTTGCCGATGCCCTTTTCTAGCTTGATCTTGATGGTTCCTAGAGCCTGGGGGTCAAGTGTTCCCTGGCTCGCTTCCTGTAACATCAACTGGAACTTTTCATTGTGGTCTAAAAATAATCCCAGCACTTTGGGAGGCCAAGGCAGGAGGATCGCTTGAGGTCAGAAGTTCGAGTCCAGCCCGGGCCACGTAGCAAAACCTCACCTCTACTAAAAAAAAAAAAAAAAAAAAAAAAATTCAGCTGTGTGTGGTGGCTTATGCCTGGAGTCCTCGGAAAGCTAAGGCAGGAGGATCACTTGAGCCCAGGAAGTGGACACTGCAGTAAGCTACCGATAGCAACATTGCACTCCAGCCTGGTGGACAGAGCAGACTCTGTCTCCATCATCATCATCTCTCAAGCATCAGTAAGACCTTATTCTATAATGATGATGGTCACACAACTCTGAATAGACTAAAGACTAGTGAATTGTGCACTTCACATAGGTGAAATGTATAGTATGTTAATTATATCCAAGAAAGCTGTTTATTTCTAAAGGGATTTATCATTCTAATAACAAAAATAAATGATAATAGTGTGACTCTTTGGCACTTTCATTTTTTTTTTTTTCTGTTTGCTCCTTTGATCATCCAGCACATGGGTGGGAGAAGGCTGGGTTTCACTATCATCTCTGCCTTGTCAATGGATGAAGCCCAAACCCCAGGTGGGAAGTGCTGGGGTGGAGACTTCAATCCAGGGACTCTGCCCAGGGCCTGTCCCATGTTTTCATGTCAGCCGGCCTTTCGTCATCTTAGCCTGATCAGTCCTGTCTAAACTGGTCATTCTTGGGTTGAATCATTGGAATCCCTTTGGCCCTGTCACCAAATCCCCCTCTGGGACAATGCTGAGACAGCTCTGTGGCCTCCAAGATGAACCCACTGACCCACGCCTCCTGGGGTTTATCATCTTCCTACATTGACTCAGGGCTGATGCGTGTGGCCTGTGGAACATGGCAGAGCTGATGGTGTGTAACTTCCATGACTGAGCTGTACAAGGCACCACAGCTTCTGTCTTGGTCTCTCAGGCCATCCACTCCGAGGGGAGCCAGCCCCCATGCTGTGATATTCAAGTGGCCTCACGGCAGGGTCCATTTGGAGAGAACTGAGTTCTGGCCAGCAGCACCACTGGCCAGTGTGTGATGGAGTGACCTAGGAGTGACCTGGGAAGGCCAGCCCCAGTCAGGCCTTCAAATGAGACTGCAACTCCAGCTGATGCAAGACTACAGCTTCAGGAGACTTTCAGGCAAGAATGCTTAGTCAAACCCCTCCAGAAATAGGGGCTCTTATTCTATCAGCAAGACCATGGCCTGCAGTAATGTGGAAAGTGGCCCAATGAGCTGAATGATCAAGCTAGCAAGCTTTGTAAGGAGGGCACTGAGGGTGGCATATCTTGTACCTTATTTTATTTATTTATTTATTTTAAATAGTAATATTATAAAATAGAGATGGGGTTTTGCCATGTTGCCCAGGCTGGTCTCAAACTTCTAGGTTCAAGCAATCCACCTGCCTCAGCCTCCCAAAGTGTTGGGATTACAGGCATAAGCCACTACACCTGGCCTCTTGCTACTTTTAAATAAAATAAGAGAGGGAAGAGATAAACTAAAGGAAGGGCTGCTAAATATGAAAGAGATGCTTTCTGTCTGAAAACACTTTTTCTCATTCCCGGCCCCTCAAGGTGGCACACAAAGCTGAGAATAGGAAACCCAGGGATGCAGGTCATTTAGGGAACAGGACAGGTGATGGTGGCAAGCCTCCCAGATGGCTCCAGTGACCCCCCCCAACTCCTGTATTTGTCTGTGTGTGCTCCCCTCCCACACAGCAGGGCTGGTCTGTGTGGTCAGCATAGAGTACGGTTGTGGGCAACATGTGACTTCCCCTTGAGGCTGGATTATAATGGCATGGCAGCCTCCACTTAGCCTGTTGGCTCACTCACTCTAGAAGAAGCTGGCCACCATGCTGTGAGGACATCAGGCAGGCCCTGGAGAGTAACTGCGGCCCTCAGCCAATAGCCAGCACCAGCCCACCCGCCTCGTGAGGGAGCCACCAGCCCCAGTCTAGCTTTCAGGTGATGCACCCCAAGCTGACATAAGACCACATGAGAGACCCTGAGGAAAACCACCCTGCTGAACACTTCCCACTTTCCTGGCTAACAGTCTGTGAGAGATAAAAAGTGATTTTTGCTCTTTAAGCCATTAAGTTTTGGGTGTGTAGCAACACAGCAACAGATATAAAATATAGCAGCATGTAAAAGACCTGCATAGAATTCCTATGGAAGTGGGGATGCACCATGGATTTGGACCAGGGACAGACAATATCATCTGTTTTTCCTCCCTGAAACCCTTCTTAATGATCCTGGAGTCAGGGCACTCCTATCAGAATCAATGACCTGCTTTGGGTTTTAATTCTAACCAGCACTGGCATGTCCCCTCCAACATGCGAGGTATGAGAAGGACTTGCTTTTGGTTACTTAAACATGCCAGGCCATCTGACACCCTCACTAATGACAACCACTTTGCAATCTCACTGATTCTCACTTGGGTGGCCAGTGTTTGACCAGTGACTCTTCTAAAAAGTTGGACATGCCGTTACCCAGGGGTGTGCTCCGTGTCTGCCCCGTGGAGGAAGTACTTTGTTCAAAATGCTTAATCAGTCCTAGCACCAAACCAGGGTGTCAGCCTTGGCTGAGCCCTGGAGACACCTGGGAGCTCTGAACATGCAGCTGCCCACCCCACCCCACCCCGGGAGTCCCTGGGAGCTGGAGGAGGCCGGAAGGGGCCTCCCCGGGGCCCTCAGAGGGTGCACAGCCCTGGAACAACTGGCTCTCAGACTTGGCCTCCAGCGAGGGAGAGGGTGAATTTCTGTCACATGGAGCCCCTGGTTTGTGGCACTTTGCTGCAGCAGCCCCAGCACACGGATGTAAAGTGGGGCTGGCATCAGCCCCACAGCCCTTTGTTCCTGCTTCATGGCCCCCAGGAGAGACACCCTGAGCTCCCACTCTCCCACACACACTCGAGGCTGAAAACGCAGGATTTTTATGCCCAGACCTGCTGTTTCTTTCAGTTGTAACCTTTATCTTATGAAAACATTTCTGACCTGCTCGAAGGTAGAAGGGCAGGACTCATCGCTTCTGCCTCCTCTTTCTGCCCAAGGATAGAGAGAATAAAAGCCAGCCACGTGGTCCCTACAGGAGGACGCCATGTGGTCACTGCTGTCACCAAGAGACTGCACAGGCTCCAGCTACGCATGGGCGCCCTGAGTGTTAACTGGGCTCAGCCATGTCCTCACTTTGATGGTGACACACAGAGGCATCTGCCTGTTAAGCAGGTGGTCCCCTGGGGTCCCCTGAGAGCACAGCCAGGGAACTGGATGCCCACATTTCCTCACTCTCCTCCCATCTTCCCTCCCTCATCTTCCTCCATGCGCTTGAGTGCTTGCTCTGAAATCCAACCTTTAGTGACAATAAAGGAATGAAAAAGAATTCCCTCCACTTAAAGTGGACAGCAAGCCCCTCAATTCCTCTAGGACCCTCTGTCCTTGGTGTCATGGCAGAGCAGGTGGGTCTGCGGAGACGGGGGGCCCATGGGTGGCTGTCCGGGGCTGGAGGGGATGGGCAGTCATTGGGTGGCCTTTGGGGATGATGAAAACGCTTTGGAAGTAAACAGAGGGCATAGTACAGCATGCGCCTCATGCCACCTATCGTGTCATACTTTAAAACGTTAATTTTATGTGCAGTGAGTTTCACCTCAATTTAAAAAACAGGAAGAGAAGTACCAGAGGATGAGAATTGTTTACTCCCTGTGTGCTCTGTGCATGTGAGATGAATGTCACACTCCACACACACTTGCAGACTCCCAGCCGGGTGCCGTTCCTGCCCTTCTGGGGTTGATGACCTGTACAAAGCCCCCAAAAGAATGGGATGGTGTCCCGACAGCCTGGGGCTTCGAGGGGGGAGGGCATCGCCCGGGTGGACCCTGCCCCACCCACATGTTCTCGAGGTCAGACCCCTCATTGAGGGGTGGCCGAGGGTACACCAACTGGCAGGCTGGGTCTCTGTGTTCCGAACACAGCGCTGGGGCCCTTTCTAGAAGCTTCCTGGAAGCGAGAGTCAGTTTTTGTGTAGGCGCGGGGAACACAGGCCGGAGGCCCCGTAAGGACGGGCACATCTCCCTCCCGTTGCCTCACTGGCCGCACCTGCTTCAGGGGAGCAAAGGGGGCTGCTGGGGTGCTCGGGCTGTGGGAGGTGCCCATCAGAAGGTGAGTGTGAAAACAGCAGTGTGTGTGGAAGCAATGGAAGGGGGGTCTGGGGAAAATGAGGGGGCGGTCAGGACGGGCTTCTGAAACAGTTTTTAAATGTCTGTTTTCTGATTATAAAGGCAATGTATGCTCATTGTAGCAAACTTCAAAAATACAGGAAAGTAGAAAGTGGGAAAAGGTGCTGCGAATCTGCCGTCCAGACCTAACTGAGAAGGCATGGCGTGTTGCTGCCTTCAGGGCATGTGCCAATGGCTCCTCCTGGGCCCACGCCTCCTCCTGCACCCACCCTCACATCTCCCCATCCGGCATGAAGCCTCTCAGTAGCTATTTATGGGCTAAATTTTGGCCATGATTAAATTCCTGTAACTCGGCTTCCCTGGAAGCTCATAAGAGCCCAGGACGCCTTAAGTGGATGGAACGGCGACTCGGGGCTCAGGGGAAGGCAGGCAGAATCACTGAGGCACCTGCACTCCGCCTGGCAGTAGCCTGCCTCA
Organism: Homo sapiens; assembly: GCF_000001405.40. Lineage (NCBI taxonomy): Eukaryota > Metazoa > Chordata > Mammalia > Primates > Hominidae > Homo > Homo sapiens. Next base: position 29,139,117 of record NC_000016.10, read on the forward strand.
GTGGCAGCAGCTCAGTTTTGGGTGCTGTTTATCTCCTACGAACGAGGAAACCAGGGCTCTGAAAGCACCAAGGCTGGCTAAGGGTCCCCACAGGGAATTGAGGAGTGGGCTGGAATTCCCCCCCAACCAGTGCCCCCTTGCTGAGCCTGGAGTGGGGTCTGAGTGTTAAACTCTCCAGGGGAACCCCCACCAAGGGTGACCCCCCACAGAGACCGGAGGGCTGGACATCCCGAATTCCTTGGAGCAGGTGCACCCCTCTGCTGCCTAGGAGGAAAAAAGCCCAGTGGGTTAGGAAACACCCGCTCACCCTTGCAAAGCCGCAGCAGCATCCAGGGTCTTGGCCGCTCGTTCTAGTTTATGGCGAAAGCCAGGTGGAGCCAGGAACAGACTCTGTGCTTCTGAGGCAGCCGGACACAGCTCTTGACGCAGAAGGTTGATTTTGTTTGGATCTCTCTTGACCAGACAAGGTAGGGTTAAGTGTGTGAAGGGGGAGAAGGGAATGCAGACCTCCTGGAACTTGAAACTTCCCAGCCCAGAGCCAGCCAGTGCGTGGAGACGCAGCCCCAACGTGCTGCTGCTGCTGCGGACACCTGGGGCGTGGAGCCAGGGCACGGGGCAGCTGTCCCTCTGCAGCCACACACCACAGGGGATGGGCACCAGCAGACACGCCTGCTCGCTCCAGGGTAAGTGCAGTGTGTGGCGTCTGGGGTGGCTCTGGTGTTAAGGAGGTCAGAAGTGAAGTGTTTTCACGCAGGCTGGATTCGATGCGATTGGGCCATCCGGATTGACGATGGTGACGATCGCGATGCCTTCAGGCTCGCAACCGAGAGGGTGCACGCAGGGGAACGTGCCATCTGGGAACGTCTTTCAGGCAAAACAAAGCATTTTGCTTTCCAGTTGATAATAGGGAGTGCTGAACCCAATGCCAAGAGCTCAAAGGCGAATTCGTTTGGTGGGAAGAGTCCGCCTGCATCTTTGATCTGATGTGGTTAGGGGCGTCCTCCCCAATTAACGATTTCTATTAGCTGCTGGCTTTGTCTTCTCTCCTTTTTGTGGCACGCTCCAGGTGACCGGCTTATCTCTCAGCGCCCAGGTTGGGATATGCCGTGGACAGACTCAATTAGCTAAACATGTTGTTAAACGTGCAGCTCATTACGCTTTTTTTTTTTTTTAAGAAAAAGAAAAACAAAGTGTGGAGGCAGAAGGCCCGGGTGCCCCGGCCACCCAGGGGCAGGACGAGTTTGGGGCTTGCAAGTCCACAGCGAATCTGAAGCAGGCGCCATCAATAACAAAGTGCCTTTACGATATTTATAAGAACTAGGCTCTCCTCAATCCTTTCATTTGAACACGTTTCAAAGCAGACCCCTTCCTGGCACTTCGGTGAGGTGTCTGTTTCCCATTATAAAGCTGGGCCATGAACGAAAGTGACAATCGCAGCTTCCAAACATAAACTTCCTGAAACTCCTTTAGAAGGTTCCTCCATGACGTGTAGACATAAGCAGAAAGCCGTCACGCTGGGAGGTCGGCCGCGGGTGCGTCTTGGCTCCGTCATGATCCTGGTGAGGGTGGCAGGTCAGGATTGTAAACTCCAGGAGGGGACTTAAGAGACAGAACAGGGAAGAAAAGTGGCTGAGCTTAGCGACAGGCCGGCCTCAGAAGTGACATTCCCCCCGCCGACCCCTGCCCCCCGCCCAGTGTCCTTACACTTTGTGCAGAAATCTGGCGTGATCTAAGATATTCGTTCAGAATTCCCATGTGCTGGTGATTTATCACACCTTCCAGTGTCCTGAGCAGGAACAGGACAGAAGGCGTCGGTGGCTTTTTGGTTAAAAACAGGCAGGGCCATGCCAGGCCAGGCTTGGTGGCTCACGCCTGTAATCCCAGCACTTTGGGAGGCCAGGGCGGGTGGATCACCTGAGGTCAGAAGTTTGTAGAGCAGCCTGGCCAACATGGTGAAACCCCATCTCTACTAAAAAAATACAAAAATTAGCTGGGTGTGGTGGCAGGCACCTGTAATCCCAGCTACTCAGGAGGCTGAACCTGGGAGGTGGAGGTTGCAGTGAGCCGAGATCGTGCCATCGCACTCCAGCCTGGGGCACAAGAGTGAGACTTCGTCTCAAAAAACAAAACAAAACAAACAAAAACAAACAAACAAAAGAACATGGGCAGGGCCTCTCGCCCAGTGTGGTGGCTCTTAGGGACGCAGAGCTTCCTGGCCGCCCTTCGGCTCTGATTCTGTTTGTCCCCACAGCAGTCCACGGGCCGTGAGATCTCAAAGGCTGGGCACTGGACGCTTTGCTCTCTATCCTTCACACCAAGCTGGTCTGCGCTCTCCACCTGCTGGGGCTGCCCAGTGCCCCTTGCCAGAGACCCAGCTCAGAAACTCAGAAATGCTTCCAGCCACCCGCCCTCGGGACCGGCGTGAAGACCCGGTGCTGGGGCTCCTGGGTGGGGCTGTCACTGCCTGAGTTTGGGGCCTGCCCTTCTTGTCCCCCCCGAATCTCCCCCTCCCTAATCCCTTGGGGGGGATCGGGAGAGTGGGGGTTCCTAGTTTCATTTCTCCTGCGTGAATCAGATCATCTTCTCACCCCACGGGAGCCCTGGGACGCCGAGGCTGGGTGGGGGCGGTGGGATAATCCTCCGTGGCACGGGGTGGGGGTGGAATAATCCTCCACGGCACAGGGGGGGCGGTGGGATAATCCTCTGTGGCATGGGGGGGTGGTGGGATAATCCTCCGTGGCACGAGGAAGCAGTGGAATAATCCTCCATGGCACAAGGGAGCGGTGGAATAATCCTCTGTGGCACGCGGGGGGGGGTGTGGAATAATCCTCCGTGGCACGAGGGGGTGGTGGAATAATCCTCCGTGGCACGGGGGGTGGAATAATCCTCCGTGGCATGAGGGGGCGGTGGAATAATCCTCCGTGGCACGAGGGGGCAGTGGTATAATCCTCTGTGGCACGAGGGGTCGGCGGTATAATCCTCCGTGGCACGAGGATGGTCACCGCATTCGTCACTCTTAGCTGCAGTGCGTGTGACAGTCGCCAGGGCTGCTGTTTGAGGAATGGGAGTTGCCTGCGTCTGCTCTGCCCCAGGTGGTTTGTAGGGTGGTTTTTACTCCTTGCCAAAGCCCACACAGCCCCGCAAGGCAAACAGTGTTCAACTCTTTTCATGGCTGAAAAACTGGGACATCAGAGAGGTTAAGACACTGGCCAGGGCCACCTGGCAGGGAAGCTTCCGGGCCTTGCCTGCACCAGGACTGTCCGATGGGGACGTCATCTGCCTCCCAGACGGTATCTTAAAAAAAAAAAAAAAGACAAGGGATTTATTGAGATACACTTCACATACCATAGAGTTCACCCATCAAAATGCAATTCCGTTTAGACTGCAGAGAGATGTGCACACACAACCACTATCAACTTGGAAATTTTCATTACCGCAGACAGAAGCCCCCAGCCTCTCGCCGGCCCCTTTCATTACCCTAGACTGAAGCCCCCCCAGCCTCTTGCCTGCCCCTTTCATTACCCCGGACGTTAAGTCCCCAGCCTCTCGCTGACCCCGCCAGCCACACTCTGCTTCAGTCTAGGAGTCGTCAGCTCTGGTCCTGTCCCATGCGCGGGTCACACAATGCGTGGCCCTTTGGGAGTGTCTCCCTTGCTCAGCGTCACATTCCGGGGGCCTGTCCACGCAGCCAGCACCACCCCAGATGTTCTTGTCTGAGCCTACAAAGATTCCTAAAGAAAGGTTAGAAACTTCAGCTTCATTGGCTCCAGCCAGTGTGGACACTCCTATCCTTCTGTGATCCTGTTTTCTGCCTGTCCCCACAGCCTGATAAAATGTGCTCCCCACCCCTCCCTTTTTCTTACACCTGGAGGCCTCCAGCTAGACTTCCTTCAGGCCTGCGTTTCACTATCAGTGTGTGGACCTCTGGTTATTTTTTTCCTGGAGAGGAAACTACTTGGGTATTAAGGGGAATTTTGGCCGGGTGCAGCAGTGGCTCATGTCTGTAATCCCAGCACTTTGAGAGGCTGAGGCAGGAGGATCACTTGAGTCCAGGAGTTTGAGACCAGCCTGGGCAATACAGTGAGACCCTATCTCTACAAGAAACAATTTTAAAAAATTAGCCAGGGGTGGTGGTGCGTGTGTATAGTCCCAGACAGTTAGGAAGCTGAGGCAGGAGGAACAGTTGAGCTGGGAAGGTCAAGGCTGCAGTGAGAGCTAGGATGGTGCCACTGCACTCCAGCCGGGGCAACACAGTGAGACCCTGTCACAAAAAAGGAAAGAGGAGTTTTGATCCTCAACACTATAAAGGCCTCTATAACACATACAGCATTTTCTTTTTTCTTTCTTTCTTTCTTTTTCTTTTTTTTTTTTGAGACAGAGTTTCGCTCTTGTTGCCCAGGCTGGAGTGTAACGGCGCAATCTTGGCTCACTGCAACCTCTGCCTCCGGGGTTCAAGGGATTCTCCTGTCTCAGTCTCCCAGGTAGCTGGGACTATAGGCACCTGTGACCACGCCCAGCTAATTTTCGTATTTTTAGTAGAGATGGAGTTTCACTGTGTTGGCCAGGCTGGTCTTGAACTCCTGACCTCAGGCAATCCATCTGCCTCAGCCTCCCAAAGTGCCGGGATTATGGCGTGAGCCACCATGCTTGACTACATACAGCATTTTCAAAGGGCCCAGGGGGACACAGTGAACCCAGCAACCCCAGGCAGGATTAGCAAATAAGCATAATTGGGAACGGATGAAGAGCTGAAAGCCTGAGTGCTAAGTTGTAAAGACTCGGAAGCCCTGGTGGGAGCTCGGTAGTTGATGGATGATGTCTGCCATGACTGGGTAGGGGTTTAATGGCATGTGTGCTACGTGGTGGCATCTGGTGCAGATTTGGTTGGGTGGGAGAAGTCCCTGGATCCCAGAAGTCAGGGTGGGCACACCCAGGAAGCAAGCACTCACACCACCTCGTGTGTGGACAGCAGGGCCTGGCTGGCCTGGCCCAGGGGGCTCCATCACGGTTGCAAGCTGCAGGCCGACTGGGTCTTGGCGCGGGCCCAGTAAGCTGCTTTCAGGGAGTCTGTGAGGAGCTGCCTCTTGGGTCAGCCACCTCTGAGTAGCAGAGGATTTAAAAACCAGACCCCATTGCCCTGCCACACCTGCAACATCTGGCCCAGCACAGTGTGTGTCCTTCTTGGGTAGCCGGGTCCCTGCAGAGGGAGACAGTGTGGCGGGCGCCAGCAGGCCGTGCTCCAGCCTCCACCCGCGCCCCCACACCCTGGAGTCAGCGCACTGCAGAGCTGTGACGGCCCCTCCTCTTCCTCCATGCGGCTCCTGCACCCGCCTCTCCCTGCTCGTGATTCACCTATGGGGCTCAGCACAGGGATTCCTGAAGGAATTTTTCTCCATCCGAGAGGCAGGACGATAAACTCCCACAGATGAGATTGGCTGTCTAGCAGAGGAGAACCCTGTGTACTCTTATGTTCTAGAGCTTTCTTTTGGTGTCACCTTATTTTTGCAACCTCCTGCCTAATTTTCTTTTGAAATGTTTTTTCACTTTAAAAACTGATTCAGAGAGCAAATGTGAACAGAGAAAGGAGTAGGCTGCCTGTGCCCACGTGTCTAGGCCAACCAGCGGCTTTTCTGCAATGCTGCACCCGGAGCAGCCCCCACTGTCTGTGGCCTTGGCAGACACTCCCTTGTTCATGTGGCCTCGGCAGACACTCCCTTGTTCATTTTGCACCACGTGAGCCAAGGCAGGTTGGGTGGGCCATGGCTGCTCTTGGTCCCAGCGACGGGCATTCAGGTGCAGGCTGGGGTGGGCGTGGATGCCTGCTGGCCACCAGCCTGGGATGCCGTGGGACGGAGCTCAGCTCAGCCACCGCCTGCCATTGCCGCACAGGCCAGGAGGTGAATTTAGCTGAAGCCGTCGCCCCCAGGCGGGAATCCCACTGTCTGCCTTCAGGAGGGGTGGCAGCAACGCCAGCCTCTCCAGGGTGATTTTCGGTAGAAACAGACCCCTCTAGATCCCAGAAACTGGGCCCTCACCATGGCCAGCTCAGCCTCATGGGGTGAAAAGCCATTGTAATATCCAAGTAACAGCAGCGAGGGTCACGAGTTCTGCCTTTGGGGCGTGCTGGCAGGCGGGCGGGGGTCTGCGTGCCTCGGCTCTCTCAGGCCCACGCGGGAGGTGCCGTGACTGTCCCAGGCTTCAGACAAGCTGACTATGGCCAGCTGGAAAAGGCTCCCCCAAATGCCCTGATCCCCAGAACCTGTGCTTGATGCCTGGATTAGCCCATTTTCACACTGCTATAAAGAACTGCCCAAGACCGGGTAATTTACAAAGGAAAGAGGTTTAATTGACTCACAGTTCAGCATGGCTGGGGAGGCCTCAGGAAACTGACAATCATGGCGGAAGGCAAAGAAGCAAGAACCTTCTTCACAAGGCAGCAGGAAGGAGAAATGCAGAGCAAAGGTGGGAAGAGCCTTTTATAAAACCATCAGCTCTCACAAGAACTCACTCACTATCATGAGAACAGCATGGAGGAACCACCCCGTGATTCAGTCACTGCCCCCTGGGCTCTCACTCCACACGTTAGGATCATGGGGATTAAATTCGAGGTGAGATCTGGGTGGAGACACAGAAACTGACCATGCCACTGCTGTGCACAGCACTGCCGGTGGCTGAGGGTCACGAGGCAAGGTCTTCCCAGATGATCCAGCTGGGCCCAACATAATGGCAGGGTCCTTTTAAGGAAGAGGCAGAGGAAGATTCGGCCCACACAGAGGCAATGGCCCTGGGACACAGACGTGGAGGCAGAGATTACAGCGAAGCAGCCACAAGTCAGGGCACGCCTGGCTTGCAGACGCTGCAGAAGCAGGAAGGACCCTCAGGAGAGCACAGCACTGCAGCCCTTGGCTTTGTCCCCACAGGGCCCATGTTGGGCTCCGGCCTCCACACCACATTTTAAGGCCCTCAGTTTGTGACGTCATGGCAGCCCAGGTGCCTGGTAATGGCTGAGGGCTGAGGTGCCCTCCCATGCCCTGCACACAGGTCTCACTGACCCCAGAGTCAACTCCTCCGTGCGATCTGTATGTCATTTGGAGGTGGATGCAGGGTAGAGAAAAGAAGACTTTCTTGAGGATTTTTGTCCCCTTCTCTTTGAAGAAATAAGGCCATTTGCACATCTGTGGGGATGTGGGGATTGAGGTGCACGTCTGTGGGGATGTGGGGATGGGGGTGCACGTCTGTGGGGATGTGGGGACGGGGGTCCACGTCTGTGGGGACGCGGGGATGGAGGTGCACATCTCTGGGGATCCCAGGACAGAGGTGCACATCTGTGGGGACGCGGGGACGGGGGTCCATGTCTGTGGGGATGTGGGGATGGAGGTGCACAGAGGACGCCTTCTGGTGAGCCCTGCACCATCACACTGTGGCCCTGGCCATCCCTGTGGGACAGCGCGTCTGGGTCTGGCTGCTGGTGCAGCCCATCTCGATTCTGGACTGAGATTCAGTGGTCACACCCGACGTCTCCTGGGTGAAGGCAGAAGACAGGGCTCTGGGGTTGCTGCCCAGAATTCAATTGCTCTTTCCACCCTGAAGAATCAGGCTGTCAAGTTGCACAAAACTGGTGAAGGGGACTTCTGGGGGTGAGGATCTTTGGGGGTTGAGTTGCTGATGTCCTAGGATCTTCTCCCCACCTCTGTTTCCCCAGAGAACTCTTGCCTCAAGGGTCCCCACTTCAGCGTGACTTCCCTGAAAGCAGGTGGTGGTGACACTGTAGGGTGTTGGCCTCCTTTCCTGGCCTCACCCTCTTTCAGGGCCTTGCCCACTGTATGGGGGGGCCACGCATGTGTTTGCTGAGGCTAGGTCATCATGGGCACCAATAGCTTCTTGCCCTCACTCCCCAAGACCACCTGCTCCAGGGGAGGCCAGTGCCATATGCCAGCAGCTCTGTGGGGAGGCTCAACAGGGGAGTGCTGAGGCCTCGAGCCACCAGCCCCGGTCAGGACTTCAGATGACTCCAGCAAAGACATCTCGACGGCAGCCTCATGAGTGAGCCTGTGCCACAGCTGCCCAGCCAAGTCATGCCACATTCATGACCCAGAGAAACCAAGATAATCAATGACTGTTGTCCTTTTTAGCCACCAAGTTCAGAGGTGACTTGTTACACAAAAGCAGAGAACAAATGTGCCAGCTGCCAGGGGTGTCGACGGCTCATAGCTGGGTCCCTCTGGAAATGGCTGCCGTGTCACCCCATGTAATGCCTTCTCCTGGGAGCAGCTGCATGGAAGGACTGGTCCTCATGTTTCCATTCAGGACACCCACAGAGGGTCTCTCTTCTTTGTGGGTGAGGCCTCAACAGTGAAACAGCTGAGGCCTCTGCTGCAACCGCATTGCAGCCCAGTGGCTCCCCCTGCCCAGGCCCACTTTCCACACCCCTGCAGGTGTTGCTCCAAGGAGCCTCTGCACCTCCTCCCAGACTCAGATCTGTTTCCTGGGACCCAGGCATGAGGCTTCTCCCCGGCAGCCTCCAATGTCACGTGGATCAGGCAATGCTGGGCATCTGTGTCCACGCTGTCTCCTCTCCAGGATCAGGAGGTGCTGAGCGTCTGTGTCCAAGCTGTCTCCTCTCAAGGATCAGGAGGTGCTGAGCGTCTGTGTCCACACTGTCTCCTCTCCGGGATCAGGCAATGCTGGGCGTCTGTGTCCACGCTGTCTCCTCCCTGGGATCAGGGGCTTTGCCAGCTTGCTCACCTTTGGCCCCTGGGCACATGATGGACTCTTACCAAATGTTAGTTGAGTAAATGTGAGTGGGTGGCACGGGAGGAGTCAGGCTAGGTGGCCGTCTGTGTGGGCGATTCGAGAAAACTCTTCCTGCAAACAGCCACCCAGAACCTAGCACCAGAATGCCTGGGCCTCACCATTGGTGACTCCTTTTTCCCTCACTCCTCACGTATAGAATGCAAATACTATGAGGAAGACAAAGGCATGAAATCATTAACACTTCAGAGTTGGAAGCAGCTTCAGAGTCACACACACGTCCAACTGCCCCTCCCCAAATCACCCAGGCCGAGGCTGCCCCACCCCAGTACCCATCAGAACCCCCTGGAGGGTGAGTTCAGACCCCCGGGGGGCTGCCTCCTGGGCTTCTGATTCAGGAGGCTGGGGCAGGCCCTGAGGCTCCACATTGCTGACAAGTTGCAGGTGGTCCGCTGCCAGTCCGCTTGGAGAACTCTGCTCCCGCTCACACTGGACTGAACTGGCTGCTGCCTAGCCTACCACGGTCTCCGTCCGTCTTCTCTGGCAGGGGCTGGCTCTCCCAGGTGTCGCTGAGTGCCTGGTTGTTCCAATTCAGTTTGCTTACAGTGTCTGTGAGTAATAAATACCCAAGGCTCCCCTCCTGCTCCTCCACACCCACGTGGCATGAGCAGCTTCCCCAGCCCTGGTGCAGCCTCCTGACTTCAGGCCTGTCTCTGCCTCGGTGTGAACTGTATTGGAGAGATGTCCTCCCAGCGTGGGCTGCTGTCCTGCAGGTGAGAATCATAACGTGGTCATTCAGAACCACTCGTCTTAAAGTGCCTTCTCTAGACAAAAAATGCCTTTTCCATCGAAGGTGGGGAGGGGAGAAAAATGGCCTCCAACGCAGGGAGTGCTGTGCGGGTTGGGCAGGTGCTTGTGGGCTCTAACAAATGGATTTCCACGAGGGGCCCAGGGCAGCAGGTGCAGCTTGGCCGGGTGTAGCCTCGCTGGAGACATGCGTCTGCAGCCGGGCTCTGTGGGGCCTCGGGACAGGCACTGGGAAACCTTAGAAACTGCAGAGCCGGGCCAGCGATGGCACAGTGTCCGTGGCAGGGAAGCTCAGGAAGCTTGTGGTCCAGCCCCCTTCACAGATGAAGACGCTGCGGCCCAGACGGGCACTCATGGCACTTGCAGTCAGTGTCGAAGGCCCCTTGCTTTTCTTCAGCCCCCAGGCACCTGGGCCGGGTGTGGCTTCCTAAACCCCACTGTCAGGGCCCCTCCCGCACCGCCCCATGTCAAACCATTTCCTGCAGCAATGGGGCTGTGACGCCACTGCCAAAGAGGCCAGCGTGAGGAAGGGCTTTTGAACTAAAACCACTCCCCGCAGTGGCCAGTCTGCAATGGGCTGTTTTTCTAAAGTCTTTTTTTGTGGGTATGTCGTAGATGTATATATTCATGGGGTACATGAGATGTTTTGACACAAGCATGCAAGGTGTAACAATCACATCAGAGAGAATGGGGTCTCCATCCCCTCAAGCATTTATCCTTTCTGTTACAAACAAGCCAGTGATTTTATTTTAGTTATTTTAAGATGTACAATCAAATTATTGTTGACTATGCTCACCCCGTTGTACTATCAAATAATAGGTCTTATTCATTTCTTCTATTTTTTTGTACCCATTAACCATCCCCCCACTTCCCTTCCCAGCCTCTGGTAACCCTCCTTCCACTCTCTATGTCCATGAGTTCAATCGTTTTGATTTTTAGCTCCCACGAATAAGTGAAGACGTGTTTTTGTTTGTTTTGTTCGTTTGTTTGTTTGTTGAGACGGAGTCTCGCTCTGTCACCAGGCTGGAGTGCAGTGGTGCCATCTCAGCTCACTGCAACCTCCGACTCCCAGGTTCAAGCGATCCTCCTGCTTCAGCCTCCTGTGTAGCTGAGACTACAGGCGCCCACCACCACACCCAGCTAATTTCTGTATTTTTAGTAGAGATGGGGTTTCACCATGTTGGCCAGGCTAGTCTTGATCTACTGACCTTGTGATCCGCCTGCCTTGGCCTCCCAAAGTGCTGGGATTACAGGCTTGAGCCACCGCGCCTGGCTGAAAACCTGTTGTTTTTCTTTCCATCCCTTGATTATTTCACTTAACATAATGACCTCCAGTTCCATCCGCGTTGTTCCAATGACAGGATCTCGTTCTTTTTTGTGGCTGAATAGTACTACGTTGTGTACGTGCCACATTTTCTTTATCTGTTTGTCTATTGATAGGCACTTAGGTTGCTTCCAAATCTTGCTACTGTGAAGAGTGCCGCAGTAAACACAGGCGTGCCAGCCAGGCGCGTTGGCTGATGCCTGAATCCCAGCACTTTGGGAGGCTGAGGTGGGCGGATCCCTTGAGGTCAGGAGTTCCAGTAAACACAGGACTGCAGACATCTCTTTGATAGATGGATTCCTTTCTTTTGGGTCTATACCAAGCAGTGGGATTGCTGGATCCTATGGTAGCTCAATTTTTAGCTTTTTGAGGAACCGCCAAACTGTTCTCCATAGCGGCTGTATTAATTTACATTCCCACCAACGGGGTACGAGGGTTCCCTTTTCCCACATCCTCGCGAGCATTTGTGATTGTCTGTCTTTTGGATAAAGGCCATTTTAACCGGGGTGAGGTGATGTCTCATGGTAGCTTTGAGTTGCATTTCTCTGACGATCAGTGATGTTGAGCTCCTCTTCAGATGCCTGTTGGCCATTTGTGTGTCTCCTTTGAGAAACTTCTATTCAGATCTTTTGCCCATTTTTAATCAGATGATTAGATTCTTTCCTATAGAGTTGTTTCAGCTCATTATATGTTCTGGTTATGAATCCCTTGTCAGACGAGTAGTGTGAAAATATTTCCTCCCATTCTGTGGGGTGTCTCTTCACTCTGGATTGCTCTCTTTGCTGTGCAGAAGATTTTTTTTTTTTTTTTTTGAGATGGAGTCTTGCTCTGTTGCCCAGGCTGGAGTGCAGTGCCACGATCTCAGCTCACTGCAAGCTCCGCCTCCCAGGTTCACGCTATTCTCCTGCCTCGGCCTCCCCAGTAGCTGGGACTACAGGTGCCCGCCACCACGCCTGGCTAATTTTTTTGTATTTTTAGTAGAGACAGGGTTTCACCATGTTAGCCAGGATGGTCTCGATCTCCTGACCTCGTGATCCACCCGCCTCGGCCTCCCAAAGTGCTGGGATTACAGGCATGAGCCACTGCACCCGGCCTGCTGTGCAGAAGCTTTTTAGCTCGAGGTGGCCCCATTTGCCTGTGTTTGCCTTGGTTGCCTGTGTGTGGGGGCATTGCTTGAGAAATGTTTGCCCAGGTCAATGTCCTGGAGATTGTCCCCAGTGTTTTCTTGTAGTAGTTTCATCATTGGAGGTCTTGGATTCCAGACTTTAATCCATTTTGGCTTGATGTTTGTATGTGGCGAGAGGTAGGGGTCTCGTTTCACTCTTCTGCGGATGTGTAGCCAGTTTTCCCAGCACCGTTTATGGAAGAGACTGTCCTTTCCGCAGTGTACGTTCTTGCCACCTTTGTTGAAATTGAGTTCACTGTAGGTGCGTGGGTAATGGGCGGCTCTTCCAGCTGGTGAGTTTCCATGGCTTCTGGCGCTTTGACACTTGGTGACAGGAGAGCCTGGTGAGCAAGGATCCAGCCCTGTGGATGCAGGACATGAGGACCTGTGGCTGAAGCCCGGCTGGGGGAGGAACAGTTTACCTCCAGCCCTGGGCAAGGCCATGCTTTTTGTGTCTCAGTTACCTCCGCAGACCGTGGTGAAGGCACAAAGGCTCTCGCAGCTGAAGGGCCTATCGTAGGTCAGGTCTGGCCTGTCTTAAATGGGTAACAAGTGGCCCCTCTGGGACAGGCGGTGCAGGGCCCCAGCTGTGAGGCATGCGTCCCTTCTTCTTAATTTCACCGACATGGCTGGTTTGACACCCCCCCGGTGCAGGCTGCAGGGAGATCAGATACACGTGCAGCCTCTTGCTCTGGAAAGCTCACCGTGTGGTCTAGTGCGTGGAGAAGCTCCCGGGTGTGAGGAAATTTCTTGCCACACTGAGAGTGCTGTGGGACTGGACACCTGGCTCCTGCCAGGGCCGCACTGGGCAGGGCTGTGGGCCATGCGATGGGAGGTCCTGTGGTCCCATGATGTCCGGTGAGCACCATGGGTGGCTGAGGAAGGGTCTCCCCCACCCCACAGCCAGTCCTGTCCCCCACCCCCAGCTTCATGGCCTTTGCAAGTCCCTCCACCTCTCTGTGCCCAAGTCTGCCCACCTGTGAATGGGGAGAACGATAAGGGCCACACTCACTCACTGCGGGGGTCTCCGGGGAGAATGACAGGGACCACACTCACTCACTGTGGGGGTCTGAGGGAGAATGACAGGGACCACACTCACTGACTGCGGGGGTCTCCGGGGAGAATGACAGGGACCACACTCACTGACTGCGGGGGTCTCCGGTGTGGGGAATGACAGGGACCACACTCACTGCGGAGTCTGAGGTGAGATTGGATCAGGGAACACGCGGTGCCCAGCTGACTTCCCAGCCCATGAGCTGGGGTAGACGGAGCCGTGGTTCTGGTACTGCATTCTCCTCCGTGCCTCCAGCTTCTGCAAGTGTTGCCCTGGGCGTCCGAGACCCTGTCTGAGCCTCTCTGCAGCCTGGTGAAGGCGGGCCTGGCCCCCAGATGCAGCTGTGTGTGCAGTGAGTTGGCTTGCTGGGCCCACAGAGGGGCAGGGAGCTCAGAGGGGCTGTTGGGGAAGAGGTGCCTCCCCTTCTCCACCTACAAGCCCAGCAAACCTGGTTCCTTGTGGCTGCCGCACTGAGAATTCTTGGACGCCATTGCTTTGGGAGGAAGTGGGCACTGGAAACAGGCCAGGGGGAAAATGTCTTATCAGTCTGTAAAAAATTTCAGCCGCCTTTCTCTTTCTGTGGCCTCTCATGGAGATAATGCTTCTGGGGCCGGGGAAACAGAACCCAGAGGTGACTTAAAAAACAACCACCAACCCTCCAGGTCGCAGGGCAGTGAACGGTGGCTCCGCAGGGAAACGCAGCTGGTTCTGCCCCTGCCCAGCCTGTCTTAACCATGCCGCCTGGTCTTCTGTGCCGGGCTCTGCGCGTTCAGGATGTGATTCCATTTAATTAATACTTAAACTAAACCTTAGTGTGCAAAGGGGAAACGTGGCAGGAAGCACACCAAAAACAGCCACTGTGTTTATTTTCAAGGGGCTGGATTATTTTATGCATTGCTGCCATTTCTGATCTGCAATAGATATATATTATTTTCATAATCAGAAAAACACATTATAAAAAGCTTTAGGAAGACAAGTACATGTGTGACGCTCATATGTCCCGGCTGATCAGCCAAGGTTGCTCCTCTGGAGAAGCTCGGGGGTCACCGCCGTGCACCCCTCCAGCTCATGTCAGCCTTGCACAGTGCACACGACCCCGTCCCCTCCCGCTTTCCCTCCTGAGTTGACCCTGGTTTATCTGGGATGGCCATGGGCTCCGCTAAAAATATGCACCGTCCAGGACGGTGGTGTGGAAAGAGAAAGGTGCCGGGGCCCTGTGTGTTCCTGGACTTCCTAACTCTAGTTCTGGAGACCAGAAGGGAAATCAAGAGGCCCGCCGAGCCATACTCCCTCCAGAGGCTCTGGGCCCTTCCAGCCGTACTCCCTCCGGGGGCTCTGGGCCCTTCCAGCCGTACTCCCTCTGGGGGCTCTGGGTCCTTCCAGCCGTACTCCCTCTGGGGGCTCTGGGTCCTTCCAGCCGTACTCCCTCTGGGGGCTCTGGGTCTTTCCAGCCGTACTCCCTCTGGGGGCTCTGGGTCTTTCCAGCCATAGTCCCTCCGGAGGCTCTGGGCCCTTCCAGCTGTACTCCCCCTGGGGGCTCTGGGTCCTTCCAGCCGTACTCCCTCTGGGGGCTCTGGGTCCCTCTAGCCATACTCCTTCCAGAGGCTCTGGGCCCTTCCAGCCTCTCCCAGCTCCTGGGCACTCCAGGTATTCCTGGGCTTGTGGCCACATCGCTCCCATGTCTGCCTTTATCCTCATGTGGTCTCTTCGTCTTTGGGGGCAAACCCTGCCCCCCCCCCACCGTCTCGCTCATGTAAGGATACCTGGTCATCCAGGGTGGCCTCCCCATCTCAGGTGAAAAGCGTGCGCTCTGGGAAAGGCTCTTTGATGAGGATGGAAAGAGAAACTGCAGAGCGGGGAAAATATTCACAAACACACACGCCCGACTAGAGCCCTGGGGTCCAGACTGTATAGAGAACTCTCAAAACTCAACCATGAAAAAACAAGCCGATGTGAGAATGGGCAAGACGTGGGGGGGCTCTTCCCTGAAGAGGATGCAGACAGCCAATCAGGGCGTGGCAGGTGCTCCTTGCCAGCAGCCGTCGGGAAATGCACTGAGACCACAGGCAGAGATCGCCACACCCCCATCAGGACGGCCAGCACAGAACCGGTGATGCCGCGGTGTAGACACAGGGCCTGGACCTCCAGAACCAGCGATGCCCCAGTGTAGACACAGGGCCTGGACCTCCAGAACCAGCGATGTCGTGGGGTAGACACAGGTCCTGGACCTCCAGAACCGGCGATATCGTGGTGTAGGCACAGGGCCTGGACCTCCATTGCTGGCAGGAATGCAAATGGCATGGCCACTCTAAACACCAGCTTGACAGTTTCACCCAAAAGTAAACACCCGACTAATGTACAACCCCACAATGACACTCTTGGGGTGTTTATTCCAAAGAAATGAAGACGTATCTTCATGCCAAAAACTGTGCAGCTGCATTTGTAACAGGCAGAACGTAGAGACAACCCGAGCGTCCTTCAGTGGACACACGAACGGCCGCACCGCGGAACGCTACTCAGCCATGAAAACAAACAGACCAGCTGCACACAGCAACTTGGACCATCTCCAGAGAATTCTGCCGAGTGGGAAAAGCTGACCTCAAAAAGCCTGTACATGCCATGACGCTGTTTATGGAACTGGCATCATCAAACCAGAGACCGAGAACAGGTTGGTGGTTTGCCAGGGCTGGGGATGGTGGGTGGGGGGAGTAGGGGCCGCAGGGGGGCAGCTGGAGGCAGCCTGTGATGAGGGGAACAGTTAGTGCTTTGGTGGTGGTGGCAGTTACACGAATCTACACGTGTGATAAAATGGCCTTGCCTGAAGTGAGTGCACGCGCGCGCACACACACACACACACACCAGGGCATGCAGAGCTACGAGAGTCTGAACGGGCCCTGTGGGTCATGCCAGGCTGATGGCTTGGCGTGCTGCTGTGTTGGCACGCCTGATGCTCTGAAGGGTGTGGCTGGGTGGGAGTGAGAGTCAGGGATGCGTGAGGGCCGGGGATATGTGAGAGCTGGGGACGTGTGAGAACTGGGGGCATGTGAGGGCCGGGGATGTGTGAGAGCTGGGGGTGTGTGAGGGCCGGGGACACGTGAGAGCTGGGGTCATGTGAGAGCCGGGGACGTGTGAGAGCCGGGGGCATGTGAGGGCTGGGGATGCGTGAGAGCCAGGACAGATGCGTGTGGCTCTCTCTGCCTTTCTCTGCAATTTCCTGTGCATCTATAATTATTTCAAAAATAAAAGTTTTTTTACAAAAAGAAAAAAATGAAGACAAAATCACCGCAAATTCCTGTTTTGTCCCTTTGATCTTTTTTTACTTGGAGAGATGATTCAGGTCTCTGAATACTCAGCCACTGACTGCCTAGAAGACCCTGGGGAGGGCTGGGCCTCTGAGGCTCAGGCCAGTTTATACCTGTGGAAGTGCCACGTGTCTTCATGGACCGTGGAAGTGCCACATGCCTTCACCGACCGTGGAGGTGCCATGTGCCTTCAGGGACCGTGGAGGTGCCACGTGCCTTCGGGGACCGTGGAGGTGCCACGTGTCTTCACGGACCGTGGAAAGTGCCACGTGTCTTCACGGACTGTGGAAGTGCCACGTGTCTTCATGGACTGTGGAAGTGCCACGTGTCTTCATGGACTGTGGAAGTGCCACGTGTCTTCAGGGACCGTGGAAGAGGGGCTTTTCCTGGGCTTGATGCTGCTGCACTGTTGCTGGGACCCAGCTTCTTGGAGCCCCGGTCGTGTGCGAGTGACCTGGGAGGTGGACCTGTCGGAGTGACTGTGAGGGAAGCTGTGTGAAGGTGGGAGGCCGCCGTATCGTCAGAGGCAGCTATGGCAAAGGGAGGCTCCGCACACAGCGCCCATCAGCAGAGCAGGAGGAGGAGCACGAGGGGAGGCGCCATACTGTGATTTTACTTCTTTGTTTTTTTGAGACGGAGTCTCGCTCTGTCGCCCAGGTTGGAGTGCAGTGGCGCAATCTCAGCTCACTGCAACCTCCGCCTCCCAGATTCACACCATTCCCCTGACTCAGCCTCCCCAGTAGCTGGGACTACAGGCTCCCACCACCACACCTGGCTAATTTTTGTATTTTTAGTAGAGACGGGGTTTTGCCATGTTGGCCAGGCTGCTCTCAAACTCCTGACCTCAGGTGATCTGCCCGTCTCAGCCTCCCAAAGTGCTGGGATTACCCAGGCATGAACCACCGCACCCGGCTCCTATCTTTTCATTGAAATCTTGCCTCGCAGCTTTTAAAGACTGTACATTTCTTCTAAGTTCTTTTTAGAATTCTTCGCAGTGTTTTGGTGGAGCCTTTTGAGTTTCTTCACGGGCTCTCCACAGCCCCACCCTGAGGACGGGAGCCCTTTGGATGGGGCCGGTGTCAGCAAAGGAAGCACAAGAGTCTCAGCTGCTCGACCTGGTCCTGCCCGCCGTGGTCCCAGAGAACCATGGGAGCAACATCTACCATTTGGGCTGACTCTCTGCTTTCTGTGTCAGCTCACCTGTCACCTCCACCTCTGCAGAGGGAGGGTGATGGCGCGCAGGGGTCAGGCACGCCCCGGGTGCTCCTGGAGTCTCATCTTCCTCTTTTCTTCCCTTCAGAGTGTGCTGATCCAGGCTCAGATTCCCGACTCTATGGCTTCCTTAGCAGAGGGGCCCTGGTGTCAAAGGACTGCTTTTAAAAGAAGATACAATTCTGACTCAAAAATACAGAATACATACATGTCAAAGACTTTATTTAACTCATTAACTAATGCAGGCACCAGTAAGATGTTTCCGGCATTTGGGAGAGAATTCAGAGAACCACACGGATAAGCAATAGGGAATGCTGAGATGAGTTTACAAATAGATGTGGAGATGCTTTATCCCCAGGTGGTCCTCGGCTGCATTCCACGGAGATGCAGTTCACTTGTGTTTCCACTGCTCTCACTTTTCTAGGATTTACAAAGTTGCAAAATAGCCCCAAGACAATGAGAGGCAGGGCCTAGGCAGGAACTGAGTCACTGTTTGTTTTTGCTCGTTTCAAAGTCTTTTGCAAGTTTCCCTGACAACTCGTAACTCTTGGGCTTGTTTTGCCATCTGTGGAATGAAAATAACGTTTGTCCTGTCCTTGAGGAGTTGTGAGCTTGAAAAGAAAGTAAGTGAAGAAATGTCTTCTAGAGGCTTCTTTGTATCAGCCGAGGCGGTCTCACGGTTAGCTCTGGGCCCCCTGAGAACCGGGTCTGAAATTCACTATTTCATGGTCTCCTACAGGTTTATCTCCCTCCCTCGCTTCATCTCCGCACTCTTCCTTAAAGCCACATGCCTCAGTGCAGAAGCCTGGCCATCCGCAGCCTGTGGTGCACCTTCGGGGCCCATCTGTGCTGGGTGTTTTTCATTATTAAGTGACCCTGATGAGAATAACCTTGCACGGCTGGGAGCAACTCAGCATTCTTCTTGGTCACCAATTTTCCTTCCAAGCCAATTGCTCAAAGCAACCAAATACCAAAGTTTTCATCAGAATGCCTCGCTCCACGTGCACTGATGAACAACACCTGCTCCTGGGTCACGGGGCCGGCAGCCTGGATGTGTTTTACACAGAGGGTGGGGTGGAGACACAGGTGCGGGAAACTGTCCCCCACCGGGTCCAGCCGTTTGGGTGGATGCTGGCCGGCCCAGCTCTGGATGTGTGGGACTGGGCTGTTCCCAGGTGGCTGCCTCTCCTGGTTCTCCTCTGGGAAGTCAACGGCTGACTGATAAGGTTTTGCCCAGCTCCCTGAAGCCTGGTCTTGGTTAACTGGGAGCGTGTCGTAGGGAGTGGGGTTAGGGAAGAGATGGGGACATC
Organism: Homo sapiens; assembly: GCF_000001405.40. Taxonomy (NCBI): domain Eukaryota; kingdom Metazoa; phylum Chordata; class Mammalia; order Primates; family Hominidae; genus Homo; species Homo sapiens. The sequence continues at coordinate 29,158,042 of NC_000016.10, forward strand.
TGGTTTTTGTCCTGCCCACTGTTTGGGACAGGATGGTTCAGTCAGACCACATTTGCAAAGCGAGAGCCGTCTGTGGAGTCCCGGCCCGTGGGGTCCTGGTGTTGGGTCTGTCTGCTGCCGCCGTGCGCGCTGTGAGGAGAGCACTCTCTTCTGAGGAGAATGGGATGGGGAACCACACACAACCAAGAGGCCCCCAAGTCCGCCTGGGAGGGTGGAGGCTGCACCGGGGAGAGTGTGCTGGGCCAGGGTGGGTGAACGTGTCCTGTGGAGGGGGAGGCATCGCCCCTGAGCCATTCTCCAGCTTCCCTGCTTCCAGGGAGTGCAGAACTGCCCCGTGGTTGCTGAGGAGGAGAGCAATCTTCAGGGGCAGCCCTGGGCCCAGGGGAGCCACTGCCTGCCTCAGCAGAGCCTCGTGACACTTGCTTTCTCTGGGGTCCGTGCAGGAGGCCCAGGCCCCCGCCTTCTGCTGCATGTGTGTGTTACAGAAATGGCAGATGATAAACTGATTCCTCTATCGGAGCTTGGTGCTCATTTCCCGGAGTGATGTCATCGGGCCGGCGGGACGCATTAGCCAGAGGGCTGGGAAACAGCGGAGATGGCGCGCCCCACCTGGGAGAACACAGGCAGCTGGAGGACGTCGGCGGTGTTACTGTCACGGTCACCTGGACTGGGCGGTTGCAGGCGGCCGGATGCTGGACCCGCAGCGTGAGCTCCACGGCCGCAGCAGGGAGGCGAGAGCCCTCAACCAGGGACGGAGCCGCCCTGTCCACGGAGCCTCCAGACCCACCAGAACGCCTGGGTCACCGCGGCTCCCGGGCGGGCCTCACTGCGCTGGGACACGTCAGGACACGTGGCAGCTCCCAGCGCGGTGGAAGGCCTGAGCCCTGGGAACACTGGCTGGAAAATGGAACTCGGAGGACAGAGCTTGTCGACGGCGTCTCGTATGAATCCTGGAGGAGACGCCCGTGTCGAGGGCAATTAGAATCCAGGCGTGAGCCCCGGCTGGCTGCGTCCACTGGAGCCGCCTGACCTCACCCGAGGGTGGGAGGCCGTGTGGTTTCTTGGTTCTCAGCCATGCAAACTTTCTTGGCCGCAGGCGTTGGGTGAGGTTCTAGAAAGACCTCACCATCAGTGTGGGGTGTTTTGCACCCTCTCCTTCACTGGGGTGGCACGAGGCACCCGCTATGTACCGTGCACAGTGGGGTGGGGGGGTGGTGGGCGCTGCATGAGGTACCCGCTGTGCACCATGCATGGTGGGATGGGGGGGTCGGGAGGGGGCACTGCATGAGGCACCCGCTATGTACCATGCATGGTGGGGTGGGGGGTTGGGGGGGGCGCTGCAGTTGGCACCGGCTGTGTACCATGAACGGTGGGGTTGGTGGGGGTCGGGGGGGTGGGGGCGCTGTACTTGGTGCTCTCCTTACACTGACTTTGGTCCTTGTCCAAACCCTCCGAGGAGTTCACCCTATTATTAAAACTCGAAACAAAAACCAACCAAACATAAAAACATACTCAGAGAGTTAAAGAGAGAAACTAAGCCGCTGTCGCCAGCGCCGTGTCATGAGCCGAACATTTCAGTATCGATTCTGGCCATCGGAGGGGCTGGCTCAGTGAACTTCCAAAAAGAATTGTTCGCAAAGAAACAAAACTGACCTTGAAGAGAGCTCAGCCTTGGCCAGATGGGCCCTTGAAGTCTGGCTGTCACGTCACAACCCCGGCTCACAGGCTGAAATCCGGCCCTGGGCCGCTGTGAGAGTTGAGTAGGCAAAATTCCATACATATTTAAGCTTATCTATAATTTATTCCAATGACCTAAGGAATCATATATCATTTTGTCTGTTGTTCAGTAACTTTTAATCCCTGCCTTCCTAATCCTAAATTGGCCAGGCGGTTGCAGGCCGCACTGCAGAGTTCTCATGTAACTGTGCAAATACTCGCCCACTAGGTCCTGGGTTTGCTGAAGTTTACTGTTTATGATTAGGAATTTATTTGTCAAAATATGCTTCTTTTTTACTCACTGGCCACTAGAACAGAGGCTCGTGGTAACGCGTACAGAGATGGTACATCCCTGTCCTCTCATCAAAGTGATTCCTCTCCCTTTTGCCAAACTTCCACAGAAGCCAAATAAACAGTGTAGACACTCCGTCACTCGCTACGGCCACGGCGGCCACTCGGATCACACTCCGTCACTCACTGTGGCCACAGTGGCCACTCAGATCACACCCCGTCACTCGGTATGGCCACGGCGGCGACCACTCGGATTGCATCCCGTCACTCAATAGGGCCACGGCAGCCACTGTGATCGCAACCTGTCACTTGCTACAGCCACAGCAGCCACTCTGATCACACCCCATCACTTGCTATGGCCACGATGGCCCCTTGGATCACACTCTGTCACTTGGTGTGGCCACGGTGGCCACTCGGATCACACTCCATCACCCACTACGGCCACAGCAGTCACTCGGATCACATCCCGTCACCCACTACGGCCACAGCAGTCACTCGGATCACATCCCGTCACTCACTACAGCCATGGCAGCCACTCTGATTGCATTCCCGTCACTCGCTATGCCCACGGCGGCCACTCAGATCACACTCCATCACTTGCTATGGCCACGGCAGCCACTCAGATGGCACTCTGTCACTCACTATGGCCACGGCAGCCACTTGGATACTTGGTCAATAAAATAAGAAGGTCAAACATTTACCCTGTGTGAGCCGGCAACCTCCAAAAGGCAAACACAGTCAGTTTGGTCAGGAGCTGGAGGATTTGTACACGTATTTGTATGCTTTAGTCTGCCACAGTTTTATGTGTGTGTACATAAATATACTTTAGGTATATATTCTTAGCTCTGTGTATATATATGTGTGTATATATGTGTTTATATGCTTAACTCTCTGTATATATGTGTGTGTGTGTATATAAATATATATTTTAGAGATGGCATCTCACTCTGTCCCCCAGGCTGGAGTGCAGTGGTGCAATCATAGCTTACTGCAGCCTTGTCCTCCTGGGTTCAAGTGATCCTCCTGCCTCAGCCTCCCAAATAGCTGGGACTACAGATGCCCGCCATTGGGTCCAGCTGCAATTGTTATATTTTTGATACTCAAATTGCCTCTTTGTTGGCTATCACTTTTATTTATTTATTTTTGCTAAATGATTTTAGTGGTTTGAATGGCATATGCTGGAGAGTATGGACACATTTTTGCACTCACATAGCCAGCACCACCCCTAGACTACCCATCACCTGGAAAGGCCCTGCTCCACCCCTTGTATGCCCCAACCCGTCTGCTTTCCCTTGCTTGGATGAGACAGGGTTTTCCAGGGTTTCGTGTCCATGGAGTCAGGCAGCACGCACGGGCTGTGTGTCTGTTCTTTCACCCAGCGGAGTGTCGAGGTTTATCCGTGCCGTGTTGCCTCTCAGAAGGTCATTCCTTTCATTGTTGAGTAGTGCTTCATTTTTGGATGTACTACGGTTTGTTTGCAGGCGCACCTGTCGATGAAGATTTGGGCTGCTTTTAATTTTGGGCTGTTGTTAGGAATAAACTGCCGTGGATGAAGATTTGGGCTGTTTTCAATTTTGGGCTGTTGTTAGGAATAAACTGCCGTGGATGAAGATTTGGGCTGTTTTCAATTTTGGGCTGTTGTTAGGAATAAACTGCCGTGGATGAAGATTTGGGTTGTTTTCAATTTTGGGCTGTTGTTAGGAATAAACTGCCGTGGATATTAACAGCAAGTCTTGGTGTGTGCCTGGGTTTGCATTTCTCTTGGGTGAGGGCCTAGGAGGAGAATTGCGGGGCCATGTGGTGAGTATATGTGTGACTTTATCAGCAGCGTCAAACCCTTGCCAAAGGGGTCGTTTCTCCCGATAGATGTAGGGGTGGGTTGCATATTATAATTATATTTTTTATTTTTCTAGTTTTTTCATTTTCTAGTGACTAATGATTTTGAGAATCTTTTCCTATACTTCTTTGCAATCTTTGATGAAGTGTCTATTCAGATATTTGACTCTTTTTTAAATTTCGAGATGGAGTTTCACTCTTGTTGCCCAGGCTGGAGTGCAATGGCGCACTCTCGGCTCACTGCAAACTCCGTCTCCCAGGTTCAAGCGATTCTCCTGTCTTAGCCTCCCAAGTAGCTGGGATTACAGGCATGTGCCACCATGCCCAGCTAATTTTATATTTTTAGTAGAGACGGGGTTTCTCCATCTTGGCCAGGCTGGTCTCGAACTCCTGACCTCAGGTGAACCACCTGCCTCGGCCTCCCAAAGTGCTGGGATCACAGGCGTGAGCCGACGCACCCAGCCAGTTTCACTCATTTTTATGGGGATGTTTGTGTTGAGTTTCAAAAGCTTTTGATTGTGGTCTGGATGCAAGTCCTTTATCAGGTATCTGTTTGGCCAGAATTTTCTCCCAGTCTGTGACTTGTTTTTTATTTTTATTTTATTTTATTTATTTTTTGAGACAAGGTCTCACTCTGTCACCCAGGCTGGAGTGCAGTGGTGCAATCATGGCTCACTGCAGCCTCCACCTTCTAGGCTCCTCCCACCTCAGCCTCCTGAGTAGCTGGGACTTCAGGCACATGCCATCACACCCTGCTAATTTTTGTATTTTTTGTGGAGACAGGGCCTCACCATGTTGCCCATGCTGGTTTTGAACTGGGCTCAAGCAATCCACCAGCCTCAGCTTCCCAAAGTGCTGGGATCACAGGCATGAGCCACCACGCCCAGGCTGATTTGCTTTTTAATTTCTTAATCATGTGTTTGGAATAATAGAAGTGTTTTTTGTTTGTTTGTTTTTGTTTTTTTTTTTGAGATGGAGTTTTGCTCTTGTTGCCCAGGCTGGAGTGCAATGGCACGATCTAGGCTCACTGCAACCTCTGCCTCCTAGGTTCAAGCGATTCTCCTGCCTCAGCCTCCCAAGTAGGTGGGATTACAGGCATGCACCACCACACCTGGCTAATTTTGCATTTTTAGTAGAGACGGGGTTTCTCCATATTGGCCAGGTTGGTCTTGATCTCCCGACCTCAGGTGATCCACCCGTCTCAGTGTTCCAAAGTGCTGGGATTACAGGCGTGAGCCACTGTGCCCGGCCAAGAATAGAAGTTTTCGATGTTTAATTTATCAGTCTTTTAAAAATACTTTTTGTGTCCTATCCAAAAAAAATTTGTCTATCCCAGGGTCATGAATAATTTTTCCTATGTTTTCTTCCAGAAGTTTTCTAGATTAAGCTTTTATAATTAGATCTATGCTCCATTTCAAGATACTTTGTGTGTGCTGTGAGGTGGGGTTCATATTTTTCCATATGAATTTGCAGTTGTGCCAGCACCATTTGTTGAGAAGAATGTTCTTTCCTCACAGAATTGCTTTAGCACTTTGTTGAAAATTGACCATTTATGTGTGGGTCTATTTCTGGACTTCTTTCATTGATCTACACATCTATCTTTACATTGGCATGCTGTCTTGTGGTTTTATACTATATCTTAAGATAGTATGTCTTCTAAATTTGTTCTTTTCAAAATTATTTTAGCTATTATAGATCCTTTGCATTTCAGAAATTCAAAGAAGAATTGGTACCAATCCTATTGAAACTATTCCAAAAGACAGAGAAAGAGGGAATCCTCCCTAAGTCATTCTATGAAGCCATATAACTTTTAGAATCAGCATGTCGGTTTCTACAAAAATAGCCTGCATGGCTTGGACTGGAATGAGTTAAATCTATTGGCCAATTTGGGAAGGGTTGCCATCTTAACTCTATCGAGTAATCCAATCCATGAACATAGTTTGCCTTTCTTTTTATTTAGATCTCCTTTAATTTCTCTCAGTAGCATTTTATAGTTTTCACTATCAGGTCTAGCTCATACTTTGTAAAAGGTGAAGGATTTGTATGATCTGAAGAGAAATCAGAGTATAGTAGCTCATATTTTGTTAAATTTATCCCTAAGAATTTTATGATTCACTTGCAAATGGTATTTTATTTTTTTGCAAATGGTATTTTTTTAAAAATTTAAATTTCCAATTGCTTGTGCTTATAGATAGAAATACTGTTAATATTTGCATACTGGCCTTTATCCTGAGACCCTGCTTAGTTCTAGTTCTAGTAACTTTTTAAAAAGTTCCAGTTGGGCGCAGTGGCTCACGCCTATAATCCTAGCACTTTGGGAGGCCAATGCGGGTGGATTGCCTGAGCTCAGGAGTTTGAGACGAGCCTGGGCAACATGGTGAAACCCCGTCTTTACTAAAATATAAAAAATTAGCTGGGAGTGGTGGTGGGTGCCTGTAATCCCAGCTACTGAAGAGGCCGAGACAGGAGAATTGCTTGAACCTGGGAGGCAGAGGTTGCAGTGAGCCGAGATTGCACCGTTGCACTCCAGCCTGGGTGACAGAGTGAGACTCCATCACCAAAAAAAAAAAAAAAAAAAAAAAATTCTTTGGGATTATCGAAGTAGATGTTTGCATTGTCTGTAGATAATGCAGTTTTATTTCTTCCTCTCCTGCATGCTTTTTATTGTTTGTTTCTGTCTTTACTGTACTGGCTGGAACCTAGTACAATGTGAGATAGAAGTGATGTGTGGAGACATCCTGGCCTTAGGGGGAACGTCTCGTATTTCACCATTAAGGATGATGTTAGCTCTAGACTTTACAGAGATGTTCTTTATCAGTTGAGGAAGTTATTTCCTATCCCAGTTGTGCTTGGAGATTTTAATCATAACTGGATGTTGAGTTTTGCCAAAGCCTTTACTGCATCTTCCACAATGATCTTATTGTTTTTCTCCTTATTCTGCTTATATAGTGAATTGTGTTGATTGATTTTTGAATGCCAACTCTGCATTTTTGGGATGAATCTCACTTGGTGATAATATGTTTTTTGTTTTTTGTTTTTTTTGAGACAAAGTCTTGCTCTGTAACCCAGGCTGGAGTGCAGTGGCTCGATCTCGGCTCACTGCAACCTCCGTCCCCCGAGTTCAAGCAATTCTCCTGCCTCAGCCTCCTGAGTAGCTGGGATTATAGGCACGCACCACCATACCCAGCTAATTCTTGTGTTTTTGGTAGAGATGGGGTTTTGCCATATTGGCCAGGCTGGAGTGCAGTGGGGCAATCTCGGCTTACTGCAACCTCTGTCCCCCGGGTTCAAGTGATTCTTCTGCCTCAGCCTCCCGAGTAGCTGGGATTACAGTCACACGCCACCACGCCTGGCTATTTTTGTATTTTTAGTAGAGACGAGGTTTCATTCACCATGTTGTCCAGGCTGGTCTCGAACTCCTGACCTCAGGTGATCAGCCCGCCTTGGCCTCCCACAGTGCTGGGATTACAGGTGTGAGCCACCACGCCCGGCCCAGTTTCATGTTTTCTGGGATGGATTTGCTCATTTTTGTTGAGGAATGTTGCCGTGCTCACGAGGGCCTTGCTCTGCTGTTGCCTGCAGGTTCTTTCCAGCGTTGTCCGCGTCACAGGCCTCATAACACAGATGGGAAAACAGTCCCTCCTCCTTCACTTTCTGAAGAAGTTTGTATGAGTTTGACGTCATTCTCTTCCTTAAATGTCTAATAGAATTCAGCAACGAATCCCTGGCTTCCAGGATCTCACTAGAATAGAATATTATCGCCTTGATTTCACTGCTTTCATTTTTATGGCGACTTTCTGTTTGGTCAGTCGACTCTGATTTTTCCTTTACAGTAGTAATATCAAGTTTGATTTCTCAATACTTGCATTGCAGTTTATGAGAAAATTTGTTTAAAGAAAGATAAGTGAACAGCATTCTGGGGCGGGAGGAGGAGGGCGGTATTCAGATACGGCGAAACCATTTGTTGAGAGTGGAAAGGCTGGTGTGATGAGCGCCGTCAGTGCTGCAGGCGGCAGGGAGGGCCTGGGGCTGCCCTGTCTCGCCTCTACCTTGGGAGCTGCTGTGTGAGTTGAGCACTGGGCTGAGGGTGGGGTGGCCTCCTTTCCATCTGAATTCTGTATTTGAGATGAAGAAGGTTGGATTTGGTGACAACAAGAACTGTGTTTAGAAGGAAAACTCTGTTTCTTGAAGCAACACCTACTCCAAATTTCCAGAGGGTTTTGCTGTCTCCTCACCTCAGTTAAATGAGGGAGACTGTGAAGGACCAGCCCAACACTGAAGATCTAAGAGTTTATTCCCAAAACACCTCCCCAGAACCAAGCTCCAGGACACACAGGCATGAGGCTTGCCTGTGCCGGCGGCCACAGCAGTGAGTGTAGGCCCAGGGTTCTGCACAGGAGGGGCTGTGCCCCTGTTTAGGTCTCGGCCCACCGGCCTCTAGTCTGTGTGAATTCTATGGGAATTACTCCCTGGGCCCTGGGAGAAGGGCAGAGGATGGCAGCTGTTGGGTGACCCAGATGGCGAGACAGCACCAGCACAGATGCCTGAGCCGCTGAGGATGGGTGGCCCCTCTCGAGGCCAAGGGTTGAGCCCCTGAAGGCCACGTCGCCCAGAATGCAGGCCTTTCTCGGGGGGCCGTCAGGAGAAGTAGGGGGTGATCCTGGGTAACTTGGGGCACAGGCTGGTGCAGCCCTCTCCAAGGATGGCATCTCTTGAGGTTTTACATTGAATTCCATGATATAGCATATTTTTAAAAATATGAAAATGATGTTCATAATAACCAACTGGTTGAATTATTATTTTTTGCTGTTCTCACCCTCCAACCCTCAAATACAATCGATCCTCCATGAAGTGGCGCCACTGTGGTTCAGAACACTTTACACTTTGCTTAGAGGGTGCTCCACCTGGAAGGGCCTGAGCTCCTAAACAATCGGTAATGCAGTGATAAAGCGTTAACTTCCAACTATCAAAAAGTACCTGACTCATTCATTCCAACTGGAGCTCATCCCCGTGAGCTCTGGGTCAGAGAGATGAGCTCCCCAGCCCTGCCACAGCGTCATGCCAGGAACCAAACTAACACGAGCCTCAGGCTCCTCATCTTAAAGTGGGGTTAGCCTTAGGGTCATCTCGGCCTCTGGTGAGCCATCATGGCAGCCTCTCGGCAGGGTCTGGTGGGCAGGAGGTCCTCGGTGAGTCTTGTCACTGCCTCTGTTCTTCCTTGGAATCTGTGGAGCCGAGAAGACAGAACTCATTGTCCTCTGCTTCTGTACTTTGCACATACCGGTTTTTTTTGCTACAAGTTCTATATTGCATTGCATTGATTTATGCAAGTATCTGTTTCTTTATCTGGGGTCCTACCCTCTTTCAACACAGTGCTTGGAATTCAATAGGTGATAAATATATTTTTTGTTAAATTGAAGCTGCCTGGGAGTGGTGGTTCATGCCTATAATCCCAGCACTTTGGAAGGCTGAGGTAGGAGGATTACTTCAGCCCAAGATTTTGAGACCAGCCTAGGCAACATGGGAGACCCCATCCCTACTAAGAATACAAAAAAATACAAAAAGCCAGATGTGGTGGCACACGCCTGCAGTCTCAGCTACTCAGGAGGGCTGAGGTGGGAGGATCACTTGAGTCCAGATCAAGGCTGTAATGAGCCAAGATCGTGCCATTGCACTTCAGCAGCCTGGGCCACAGAGCGAGACTCTGTCTAAAAGAGAAAAAAAGAAAAAGAAGGCTATTGCCACACCAGCCACCAAAGCCCCTCTGAGGGAATCCTGGCATGCTTTGGTCTTTGGTTTGGAAAAGTTACCAGTTTCAGACTTAGCTTTTCTTGCTTGTGATCAAGTCCTGGTCCTGTGGTGGCAGAAGTTTCTGTAGTTTTCTCTTCAGTGAAAAACCATTTCTAGATCTGCATTAAGAGGACTAAACTGAATGCGTGGGTCGGCAGAGTTGGGCTCGAGGACCATTACCGTCGGGCGCTGTTTGTCTCTAACCCGAATACCAAGCCTCCCAGATGGCAGCTTGCAGCATCGGGGTGCGTGCGCAGGAAACGGGAGGCTGAGCTGTCCAGCCCTCCCTCAAAAGCCGGGGTCGAGGCCATTTGGGGGTCTTCAGAGAGGTCTCGCTGTATGCTCTGGACAAACTGCATGCCGCACACAGCAGGTATAGTCGGTTCTGCCAAAACGTGATATCGGCGTCCCTAGAAACCACCACGCAGGCAGAATGGCGCAGTTAAAAACCACGGTGTGTGGGGAAAGGAAGCCAAGGGTGCAGCACTCAAGGACTTCACCGGCACCAGGTTACAAAGGGAGTGGAGGCCGAGGTGGGCGGATCACCTGAGGTCAGGAGTTCGAGACCAGCCTGGCCAACATGGTGAAACCCCGTCTCTGCTAAAAATACAAAAAATTAGCTGAGCGTGGTGGTGGGCGCCTGTCATCCCAGCTACTTAAGAGGCTGAGGCAGGACAATCACTGGAACCCCCCCGGAGGTGGAGGTTGCTGCGAGCTGAGATCGCGCCACTGCACTCCAGCCTGGGCGACAGAGCGAGGCTCTGTCACAATGAATGAATGAATGAATGAATGAATGAATGAATGGAATCATCACAGTGATCCCAGTACTTAGGTTTAGAGCATCATCTTTCTGAATGTATTGTCATGTAAATGGGCAGCCCTTGGCATTTAGCTTTATAACCACTTTTTCCACCCGGTGGTATTTTGTGGCCATCCTTCTGCGTTGGGACACACTGCTTTGTTCCTTTTCATGGCTGCACGGTGCACTGTTGTACTCACTCTTTGGGCAAACGTTTACGAACCACGTGCTGTGTGCTGGAACCATGTGCTGGGAGCTGGGGACACAGTGAGGAGGACAGAGAGGTCTGCGTGGATGCACCACCATCCATTTCACAAACCCCTTATGGATGGGTCTAGATCATTCTGTGTAGTTACTTTCTGCAATGAGCCATGTTGCAATGCATGTCTTCACTTATCCATCTTTGCATATGTATCTATTAGTTATTTAGAATAAGTTCCTGGAAGTGGAATTACAGAATCAAGAATAAGCACATTTAAAAGCCAGGCGGATGTCCAAGAAGCTCCTAAAAAGCTGCATCCATTTCCATCTGCCGACCCCGTGTGGGTGTGCCCGCCTCCTCACCCTGACAGCAGGGTGTTGCCACACTTGTAAATCCCTGCCGCCTGGCAGTTGGCCTGTGCCTCGAGCAAGCTGGTGTCATGGATTGTGAGTTAGGATGGACAGCTGTTTGCATTTTTTCTTTGGCTGATTGCCAGTGTATATTATTTTAAAATTTTAAATGGATTTGTTTTTTCCTCATTGATTTATAAGAGCTCTTTCTATATGGAGGATATTTACTCCTTGCCATATACCCATTGCCATTTTTCTCTCTGTTAACTGATTCATTTCATCAGAGTTTTCATCTTGTTTCAAAAGAAAGTCCCCAGGCCGCTCCTCCCTGCAGGCAGCTCCTGGACAGGGGTCAGTCCCCCCGCCATGTGCCTGCCTTGCTGATGAAGCCAGGGTGAGGCCCCGGGCAGCAGGGGCTCCTGACCACCTGGGAAGAATCGGCACTCCCTGCTGGCATCTGGAACAGAAGCCTATTGGCCTGGGGACCCGAGCATTCCGTGGGGCAGGGCTATGAAGGAATCGTCTCTGTAAATCTTCAGTGTCCTCATTTCTCCCCTCCTTTATCTCACAAGGCCTCTTGGCCGAGCCCAGTCTCCCCCGAGGAATCCTCTCTGGCACACATCATTTGTCATCTGCTTTGTTCTGCTACTCAATGTTTGGAATTCCAGGCTCACTGAGAAGTCATCTGTTGGGGAGAATTTGGGGCTGGTTGACTCTGTTGTCAGTGACACCGCCAGATGGGGCTGACTCCAGATGGACGGGGTTGGCCAGGGTCGATCTGGGCCAACAGTGCCAGCCTGTGGCTGCTTCCCGGGCAGGGGCCATCTCATGGGTGCCTGAGGGGTGAAAACTTGGGGTGTTCGTGTCACCTTGGCTGGGGCACAGGAAGGCCCCACACGTTAGCTGTTGGTGAGGAGCACCCACACCCAGGGGAGCACTCACACCCAGAGGAGCACCCACACCCGGGGCCCCTCTTTCCTGGGCATTCGGTTCCTCAGCGACACCGGCTTGGTGCTGGGACCCGTGATCCACAGGCACAGATCTGTCTTCAGGGATCTCACTGTGAAGCTGGCCATGTTTTATTCTTTTTTTTTTTTTTTGAGATGGAGTCTCGCTCTGTCGCCCAGACTGGAGTGCAGTGGTTTGATCTCGGCTCACTGCAAGCTCTGCCTCCTGGGTTCATGCATTCTCCTGCCTCAGCCTCCCAAGTAGCTGGGACTACAGGTGCCTGCCACCACGCCCAGCTAATTTTTTGTATTTTAGTAGAGATGGGGTTTCACCGTGTTAGCCAGGATGGTCTTGATCTCCTGACCTCGTGATCCACCCACCTTGGCCTCCCATAGTGCTGGGATTACAGGCGTGAGCCACCGTGCCGAGCCAGCCATGTTTTATTCTATGTGTTCAGCTGGACAAAGGTCCCCCAGTTGTCCATGTCCTAGTCCCTGGACCTATGAAAGTGCAGCTGGACAGCAGTGCCAGAGCCGTTGTGAAATGTAAGCCACTGCTGTTAAGTCAGGTTCCTCTGCGCTGGGGAGGCTGCGAGGATAGAGCCACCTCCAGCGTTGTCTTCCAGCCTGGCCCCTGCCCTCCTCCTCCTCATCCCATCCGGCCCGCCCTACAGGCACAGATGTCCTTCTCACAACTCTGATTTTCATTTTGTTAGATTGCTGGGATAAAGCAGAGACATGTTCAAGGCATGCAGCTGTCCTGAGCTTTGAGGATGGCGTGTTGCAGCTGTCTCCGGCTTGGCCAGGAGGCTGGGTCCAGATGGCGGCAGCAGGGTCTATTTCTGGCTATTCGTAACCCCAGGCCAGGGTTTTAGATGGGTTTTAGAACATTTAGATGAATGAGTTGTGTGCTCCTGGTCAGCGGCACTTGCTGTATCGTGTGCCCTTCACAAATAAACCTAGCTAGCAGATGTAGCGTGGGCCCTGCCCGTGGGGGCCCATTGACATTTTGCTAATTACTCAAAGAGGAGGCCTGGAGCCTGAACGATGGACGTCTGATGGCTCATCTCATCCAGAGATTGCCTCGTGCCTGTTACGAGTCTGTCCCCAGCTGCCATCCTGCCAGCTCTGCCTTCTTTTTGGAGAAGATTAGATGATTCTCATGTACCGAGCATGCCCAGTACAGGGCAGGGCCTGGGTGAGTGCTCAGGTTGGTGCAGTTTGTACCTGAATGATGACTGTGGAGGGCTTTGTCGTGAGCCTGGCCACTGGGAGGGGAGGATGCAAAGATAAGTTCTGTCCTCCACAGTCAAAGATCTCAGCATCCTTGGGCAGACATGCATGTATGTAACTATGGATGCATACAGCCATGTGCATGTACAGCTGTGTGTGCATATAGCCATGTGTGCGTACAACCATGTGTGCATATGGCTATGTGAGCATACCACCACACAAGCACCATGTGTGTGCAACCATGCGTGTGCAAGTCATGTGTGCATACAGCCATGTGCACATACAACCTTGCATGCAATAACCACGTGTGCATACAACCATGTGTGCATACAGCTGTGCGTACATACCACCAAGCCTGTGTACAGCTATGCATGCATACAGACGTGTGTAACTGTAAACAGTCATATGTGCATACCACCATGTGTGCGGTTGTGTACATACAACCAAGTGTGTGACAGCTATATGTGCATGCAGCCATGTGTGTGCAGCCATGCATGCATGCAATCATGCATGTATACAATTATGTGCACATATGACCTTGTGTGCATACTCCACACATGCATGCAACCACGTGTCAGCTATATGTGCATACCGCCATGCATGTATACAGCTATACATGCATACAACTGTGCATGAATACAGCTATGCGTGCATACCACCACAGTGTGTGCACAGCTATGTACGCATACCACCATGTGTGCATATAACTGTGTGTGTATAACTATGCTATGAGCCATGGTAACTCATTGCAAGAGGGAAGGGAAAGACAGCCAAGGGGTTATTGTAGTCTTTAGAAGATGAGCTTCTTTACAACTGAGGAGGAGAAAGATGTTTGATACAAGGCATGGTCAAGGCTCAGGGAGCAATGTGAGGTGCAGAGCCCTGGGTCTGCAGATTTGGCTGGGAGACCATGGCTAGCCCAGGGAGACAGAGGGTGGGAAGAGGAAGATGGGATTGGAAAGCTGTAGGGGTGCTGTCTTGCCCAAGACGATAGAGCCGGGTTAAAGCAACAACAGAGCCTGGAGAGGAGCTGGTGTGGCCTTCACCCCATCACGGAGCATTCCACCACTCCCGGTCCAAGGGAGTGCCCGTCTCACTCAGTGTCTGTGACGCTGGACAGCAGAACCATGTAATCAGACACACAAACTATCAAGGTGTGTTGAAACTATCACATTCTAGAATGTTCCATGGACTCTTTTGGCATCCAAGAGCAGGGACTTTACTATTCCAAACTCAGCCATAATTTTGTAGTACTTGGTGAATCATTACTCACTGGCAAGAGTTCACTGTTGTTTGTCTTCTAATCACAATCCTGTTTAAACCATGTCCTAGTGCTGGGATTGGCCCCTCCCCTGCCCTCACCCCACTTTCCCAAATGCCACACCAAAGTCTTGGCAGGGGATGTGCCTGTCTGGGAGCGCCCAGTGGGTTGTCAAGGGATGATTACACAGAGTCATAGCCCTAGCTTCCTTACCTCTTGGAATAACATAACACATAAACCTCCTAATTTTCATCTTCCTTCTACATAAGCCTGATTGAATAGTAGAAAAGTCATCTTTTTAAAAGGAATCTGCCCCTAGATACAATATTAGTAAACTTTATGTGGCAGTGTCTGAATAAAAGGGACATTTGTAGTCATGCAAGGTTGATTCTGCAAAGGAACATAACAACCCACCACCAGATTAACCTCTGAATCCATTCAAAATGCCATGTGACCAAATTCATCTCTTCCTGATTTCAGTAAACTAGACATAAAAAGCAGCCTTCTTAACTTCATAAACTTGCATAGGATATTATTCCTAATGGAAACACATTTAAAGCATTTCCACTAAAGTCAGTAGCAAAACAAGGGTGTCGGCCTTGCTGCTACTTTTCTATGTTGTATCTGAGGTCATCACCAAAGGAATAAGACAAGAAAAAGAAATAAGCAGTGTGAGCACAGCTATTCAGCTATTCACCATTCGGCTGCCTGGAAAATGCTAGAGGGAGGCCTCTGGTGAAACTCTAGGCTGTGCTGACAGAGGGGACCCTCTCCCACTGTAAACACATAGACATTCTGGGTGAAATGTAACCTGCAACATTTTAAGTTCATAGACAAGCTTGAAAGAAAGACAGGGAAAGCTTTCAGGACTAGAAATGAAGAGTGAAATGAGAGGGTGTTTCGGAGACCCTGAGAATTGTGACGAGTGTCAGAGCGGAGACTGCTCTGCATCCCACATGCTGGAAGCTGGGATGAGCCCAGCCAGGAGGCTCAGAGCCCCAAGGAACTGCACATGCTGTGAAAAGTGGATCTGAAACCTTTTTGCCCCCTGGCCTGGGGACGTGATGAGGAAAATTGCTATGAAAAGTGGATCCGAAACCTTTTTGTCCCCTGGCCTGGGGACGTGATGAGGAAAATTGCTGTGAAAAGTGGATCCGAAACCTCTTTGTCCCCTGGCCTGGGGACGTGATGAGGAAAATTGCTGTGAAAAGTGGATCCGAAACCTCTTTGCCCCCTGGCCTGGGGACGTGATGAGGAAAATTGCTGTGAAAAGTGGATCCGAAACCTCTTTGCCCCCTGGCCTGGGGACGTGATGAAGAAAATTGCTGTGAAAAGTGGATCTGAAACCTTTTTGTCCCCTGGCCTGGGGACATGATGAGGAAAATTGCTGTCTGTCCAGGCTTTGAGTAGAGGAAAGAAGTTTCCCGTAAGAAATAGAATCTCCAGACCTTCTCGACACCTGAGTCTGGTGACTGCATGGTTGGCACAGCACAGAATCCCTAAGAAAGAAATTCACAGAACCCCAGGCCAGAGGATCTGGTAAATGAGGACATTTCCTCAGCCCAGCATTCATGAGACAGTCTCCAAACAACAGCATCAACAACAAAAGATACACAGAACAACTCCTACCGAGTTTGAGCTCCAATAAACAGTCACAGGAAGAAATGAACTGTCAGGATCAAGTGCAGTGAACACACAATCAGCACTGTGCAGACAGGGAATAATTGAACAGCAGGAAATACATGTGTTTATCTAAAATTATTTAATACAAAAGAGGGAGTCATAATGAAAGTCCGGAGCAAAAGAAATGGATTTGGAATTGAAGTGGCAGAACCGATTTAAATGAAAAATATAGTCATAAAAAAAAAAACTTTGGCTATATTAAATGGAAGGTGTAAGATTGCTGGTAAGAAAAGTGGCCAGGGAAATACAATACGGAGGAATAAATATTTGGAAAGGAGGACGGAGCCATTTAGAAATCGGAGGGTAGCACGGAGGAAAGGAGGACGGAGCCATGTAGAAATCCGGGGGTAGCACGGAGGAAAGCAGGACGGAGCCATGTAGAAATCGGGGGGTAGCATGGAAAGTCTGTGACAACACTGATTTACAAATGAGCAGGCAGAACGTGAGAGACACGATGTTCAAAGATCCTGCAGAAAAGCCGGGGGCCTTGCCCTTCTAGTTACCAAAATATACTCTAAAACTGTGTTAATCCAGGAGGAATTTCAGTATAGAAACAGATAAGTGGATTTTAAATTGAGGCCGGGTGCAGTGGCTCAGGCCTGTAATCCCAGCACTTTGGGAAGCCGAGGTGGGTGGATCATTTGAGGTCAGGAGTTCGAGACCAGCCTGGCCAACATGGCGAAACCCCGCCTCTACTAAAAAATACAAAAATTAGCCGGGTGTGGTGGCGGGCGCCTATAATCCCTGCTACCTGGGAGGCTGAGGCAGGAAAGTCGCTTGAACCCAGGAGGCAGAGGTTGCAGTGAGCTGAGATCACGCCATTGCACTGCAGCCTGGGTGACAGAAGGAGACTCTGTCTCAAAAAGCAAACAAACAAAAAAATCAAGTCTAGCATATGGCCATTTACAAGAGAATTTAATGTAGGAAATTGGTCATGTTTGAAAGAGAGGAAAGAATCATTCAAAGGCATCGTTGGGCCGATCAATCCACCATCTGGAAAAACAAAGTTAGAACCCCACCTTACGGACACAATAAATTCTGTGCAGATAAATCCGCTAAATTGCAAAAAAAGTTTAAAAGAAGAAAAATGGAATAGTTGTATAATTCCGGTGGAGGAAAAGACTTTCTACCCCAAATTCTAATCCCAAAAAGGACAAGATGGACGTCTTCAGTTACATAAGAAGTTAAAGCAGTTGTGTAACAAAAGACACCAAAACCAGTGTTAGAAGACAGGAGTCGGACTAGGAAAGAAACATGCAGCCCGGGAAAGAGGCCCTGGGAGGTACCCCCATCCTGGTCCCCGGAGCCTGCTATGAAACGCTCAGCCTGGGAAAGAGGTCCTGGGAGGCACCCCCGTCCTGGTCCCCGGAGCCTGCTATGTGCCTCTCCCACGGCAGTAGGGCCTGTGCAGATGGGACTGAGCAAGGGGCCTCCAGGTGGGGACCATCCTGGTCATCTGGGTGGCCCAAGGTCATCACGGGCATCCTTGTAGGAGGGAGGCGGGAGGTCAGGGGCAGGAGGGTCAGCAGCAGGCAGTGGCAATGGAAGCAGAGGTCGTGGTGACATCAGAGGCACCATGAGCCCAGGAATACAGAAGCCTCTGGAAGCCAGAAAAGGTAGGAAATGGATTCTTCCCTGCACCTCCAGAAGGGACCAGCCCTGCCGACACCTTGATTTCAGCTCCATGAGAGCCGGTTGGGCTTCTGACCACCAGAGCTGTGGGAGAATGCATTCATGTTGTTTCAGCCATAAGTCTGTGGGCCATTTGTGACTGCAGCCGCAGGAGGCTACGCAGACAGGCTCATGTGTGCAGATCTGAGCTGAGCTCGAGATGCCTGATGCAGACGATAGGAAATAGTCCACAGCGGCCAGGATCTCAACAGGCTTCCAGGGGAACAACACAGCGATGTCCAAGGGTGCATCCAGGGTGAAACTGCAGGGCCACGTTCAGCACAGGGAAGCAGAGAAAGAAGGTGAGAATAAATCAGCTGTCCTTCCTGCGAGACCCGGCTGGGCGGGGGGTCTGGGAAAGGCTGCCCTGGGAGGGTGAGCAGGTTCCCTGGGCTCTCAGCCACAGCCCTGCCCTACTTTGCTAGGTCAGGCGAAGGCACCTGACCTTCGCCTCCTGGCCCTGGCCCTGCCATCCAGGCTGGGCAGATGATGTTGGCAGGCCAGAATCCTGCGAGGGTTATCCTGAGGCTTGAAGGTGGAAATAGATGGGAGGGACCTTGAAAAGCTCAGAGTGATGCCTAAGCGGGTCCTTATCAACGGCCCAGTGTGAGCCTCAAGCACTGAACTCCAGCCTCAGGACTGAGAAGGTCATTATCAACAGCACAGACCTCAGCGTGAGCCTGAAGTCTCAGGAGCTTGAAGAACTGCTTCTGTTTACTGAGCACGCGTGATGTGCCAGGTGTGGCCCTGGGGCTCGAACTCTATTGCCCGGTCTATAAAGCACATGTTGTCACCACCCCGTTTTACAGAGGAGGAAACTGAGGCTTGGGGAGGCTCATCAGCTCACCCTGCGGGGAGTCGGCCGGCAGCAGCTGCGTCACTGTGGATCCCACCCGAGGGTCCCTGATGTGGGTCACACCTGTGTGCTGGCTTTAATCCCCAGCCCCACCTGGATGTGCAGCCTGGGGCCAGCATGGCCCACAAGGGTGGGACGGATGGCATCGTCACCCTCCACGCACAGGGGCCTGAGAGCTCAGGGCCCCTCAGGGAGAGCCCCTGCGGCAGAATCAGAGTCTCAGGAATAAAGGCAAGCAGAGGTCTCAGTTTCTCTGCCTGAAAACTGGGGGTGGCAATCCCCACCTCACTGGCCTGTGATTAGGATGGGAGGAGACAGGCTGAGATGGGGCCCCAGGCACTTCACCGACACCCGGTGAGCACTCACTGAATCCTCACCTGGAGAAGCCCTGGGGGGGTGGGGGGCTCAGCGGCCCTGCCCACGGAATGCCCACCTGGGGCTTCTTCAGTCATGGCATCAGGGGCAAGTGCTTGATCATTTTGTGCCTCAGTTTCCCCCTGTGTCAATGGAGATTTCAGCAGTTCCAACCTGTTCAACACCATGAAGATGGAATAGGTTAGCGTGCTTAACGCACTCAGGGCCGTCTCCAGCCTTAAGGAGGCACCGCCCAGAGCGGGTGGAGCGCCTAGCGGGGTGGGGTGCAGAGCGGGCTGGGGCGCCGAGCAGGGTGGGGCACCGAGGCTGTGTTCCTTGTTGCTGGGGGGATACAGATGCCCCCCCACTCCTTCCGCCTAAGACGCAACCACCAGCCTGGAACTGGAAGTGGGGATCACCCCCACCTTCGGGCCTCTGCTCCCCCGACACGTGGCCCATGGCCATGCATCTCCCTGCAGCGGGAGAAGAAAGCCAGGAGGTGGCCCAGGCCCAGGGCTGACATGTGTCAGACACGGGTGAAAATGCTGCCTTTGTGTCTGACATCTGTCTCTTGCTGTTAAACGATGACAGCTTGTCAGAAACATCACACACGTTTGCTCTAATTAAGGGAACGTTGTGAACAAGTCGCAGCCTTGGGGGGAGCTGTACCGGCTGGATGTGTCCTCTGAGCGGCCCCTGCCTGTGTCCTCCCTGTGGCCTCCCAGGCCATGCACTGGCTCTGTGTCTCCTGCATCTTCACTTGTCTGCCTGGCTGGCGGCCAGCGGCACCAGACCAAGGACCCGCCGCTATTTCCCTGTGTTCACTGCCTTCCTCTTCGCAAGGACACCGAGAGCCCCTGGCTCTGGGCCTCCCATCTGCCCTTCCTCCCGCCCATCGTCAGCGTTTACGAGGGTCTGCCACGTGCCAGGCGCAGGGGAAACAGCGCAGGGTCGGAGGCAGAACCCGCCTACTGGGGAGACAGGAGTGGGGAGTGGCCTCACACCCCACAGGAGGGGATGGAGGAGGTATGCCTGGGGCCATGCCAGAGCAAGGCAGAGGCTTGGTCCAGCCTGTGGCAGTGAGCAGCCGGTGGGACAGAGGCCACAGCAAGGCCAAAGGTGTGGGGAGGGCGGGGGGTGTCTCTCTGGTCCTGGCAGAGCTGCCAGTCCCTACTACGTCTGTTTGTTGATTGGGTCATGTTTAACTTCGGGAACCATGCACAGTGTTGGCCACGAGATGCCGTAACCAGAATAAAACAGGACTCTGGCGTCAACGTAGCTGTCTCATGTCCTGTCAGGAGGTAGGGCAGAGATAAGGGGCTGGTGTGATTAACGCCAGCTGCCTCTGCCCTGGTGGAGAGGACGGAGGACATCACGTCCCTCCAGCCACCCCAGCCTGTGACACGTGACATTTAAAGATTTTTCTTGCTCTTTGAGGCACATTTTTCTATTTTCAAGGACAGATGAGGTCACAGACGCAGTGTGTGCTGCATTTGAAATGTTTTAGGCTAATTTTTGGCCTTTGATTCCAAAGCCTCTTTAAGACATATGTTCTCTCTGTCATCACCCGTGTGGCCCAGCGAAATCCTGAACTCTAAGGAGAAGGCAAATCTCTCTCCTTGCTTTTCAGCCTCAGACAGTGAAGTGAGAAGTTCAACATGCTGGGCTTTGTAGCTGTTTTCTCCTTGTTTTCTAGACGTGTCCATATTCTAGAGTCTCTTATCTTGGGAAGTTACATGCTCTGTTTTTGCCTTTTTTTTTTTTTCTTTTTTTGAGGCAGGGTCTCGCTCTGTAGCCCAGGCTGGAGTGCAATGGTGTGATCTCGGCTCACTGCAACCTCCACCTCCCAGGCCCATGCAATTCTCAAGCCTCAGCCTCCTGAGTATCTGGGATTACAGGCTCCCACCATGACGCCCAGCTAATTCTTATATTTTTAGTAGAGACAGGGTTTCACCATGTTGGCCAGGCTGGTCTCGAACTCCTGACCTCAAATGATCCGCCCACCTCAGCTTCCCAAACAGGCATGAGCCACTGCACCCGGCCCATTGTTGCCTATTTAACGATTACAAAAAAAAAAAAATCTTTAAACTTAAGTGACCTTAAGTCCCAGGGAAGGGTGATGCGTCATGTTCAAGGAAACAGCTTTGCAGTCAACCGACTAGCATTTTAAAAGCAATTATTTTGGAGCATTTCAAACACACACACATAATGAATGCATGCCACCTGGGGCTGGGCCACAGCACCACGGCCCCTCGTGCTATCTCTGCTCCCCCCACCTCCCCTCCCACTGGGCTATTGGTGGCAAATCCCAGATGCCTTTCTCAAACTCACGCATTGGAATCCCACAGCACTAGCTTTGCCATCCAGCCCCTGCGAGCCTCGTGCTTGGCCGCTGTTCACCAGGCCAAGCTGCCCTCTTGGGTTTGCCGCTGTTGGTGCAGAGGCGCCTGCAATGGGCCCAGGGCGGCGGTTCTGCTGCCAGATCTGGTCTTCCAAATGGCTTCTAATTGCTTCTGGCAAGAGCTCCCCTCTCTGGCTCCCCTAGGGGCCCAGTGAAGACCAGAGCTGGATGTTGTGTCCTGGCTGGGCTTTCACATCCTCCTTATTCCCGATCCCAGGGGGCCTCTTGCCCCCTCGCTGCAGGCTTAGGGTGGTGCCCCAGCCCCCAGTGCTGGGCAGCTGCTCTGCAGAAGGATGCTTGGGAGATGGACGGGCTCCCCCTGCCGCCAGAGCCTCCTGTGGCCCGAGGCCATGAGGGCAGTGGGTGGCAGATGTGGGGTGATGAGTGGTGAGTGTCCTGATGGGGCCTTCAGACCAGGGCCCAGTGGTCCAGCCTCTGGGAAGCGGCCGAGAAGCTGGAATTTTCCCAGCCGGCCTCGCAGTCCCGTGTTGGGAGACTGGGCCACTTTGTGTTTTCTGGGCTTAAGAACAGGAACAGCAGCTTCATCCAACACTGCCTCCCTCCACACGGTGCCCAGTGCAGGGCCTGACTGCTCGCCCTGGCTGTGCACCCCTCCTTGCTGCCTGTAATCCTGGAACCACCAGCTCCTTGGGCACAGTCCAGGCTGCTCAGGCATCCATGCACCAGCGGCACCACGACCCACCCGGGCCCGCGTGACTAGACTCAGGACTCAGACAGTGCCTGGCACGTGGCAGGTGCTCTGGCCATGGCTGGGTGGCAGGGACCCTCGCTGCGGGCCACCATAGCACGTCCTCAAGGGTGAGGTCAGGCCCTTCTGGCTGTCTTTGTGCCTGCTCCATTTATTAAATCAAAGCCACCTGTGTTCTCTGGGGTCAGGAGGAGCCATGCCACCTGCAGTGGCAGCCGTGGCTGGAACCTTCTTTCCTGTGGACCCGGGTCTCACGCCCGCCCCCAGGTGCAGCACGGAGCTAAGGTGAGGCCCGGGGAGAGCGGCACCCTCCCCCCAGTCTCAGCCCCCATGGGGTTTTCTGGGCTCCTGGGAAAGAATCTGGTGGCCAAGGCCCGAAGCAGAAGCCCCAGGGATGGGGACAGCTCTTCTCTCCCGCCGTCTCCAGTCTCTGCCCTGGGGACGGCTGCTCCCGTGTGCTGTGCATTTGTGGGGGGCATTCCTTACACCTCTCCCTGGCCCTCCACACAGCACAAGGGTGGTTTCCAGCCCATGAGATCCATTTGCACCTGAGAGAAGGGGCTGCTGTCTGAAGGGCCTGCGGGAGGGACTCCAGGGCACTCACGGGGCTGCCAGGATGGAAGGGACCCCTGGGGCTGAACGTGACCAACGGGTGGACTAAGGCTGAAGGGGCCAGAAGAGCACGCTGGAAGAGAGGGCAGTGGGGCTTCCAGCACGGTACAGCGTGGGTGGCCTCCTGGGGGTGTCTCAAGCTCAGAGAAACTGTCCCCACGTCAGGAGGGGTCTGCTGAATAACAGCCCCAGAGGCATCCATGTCCTGATCCCTGAATCCTGCAAACATGTGCCCTCACGTGGCAAAAGGGACTTTGCAGATGTGACTGAGGTTCCCTTTCCAGGGAAAGGACCCTGGATTCCCTGTCATCTCAAGTCCTTGGAAGAGGAAGGCAGAAGGACGAGGCCACGGAGAGACTGGAGCTGCCACGCAGCTGGCTCTGATGGCAGAGGAGGGGCCACGAGCCAAGGGATGTAGGGGCCTGGGAAGCTGGAAAGATGGGGAAGATTCTTCCCTGGAGCCTCCGGGAGCAGCCAGCCTGCCCGTGCCTCACCGTAGCCCAGGGAGACTGGAGTCCCACGTCGACCTCTGACCTTCAGAGCCAAAGTCGGTCCATGTTGTTTTAGCCACAGAGACTGTGGCCATCATTCTGGCAGCAGTGGGAGACACAGGAAGCTCTCGGGTGGGGAGCACCGACTGGGGTCCAGGGCTGCGAATTCAGGCCGATGGAATCCCAGCCCCCAGGGGTGTGGGTGGGAGCCAGGAGAGGTTCTGGTCAGTGCTGGGAGGAGAGGCCAGGCTGCTTTCACTCTCAGGGAGGGGCCTGTGAGTTGGAGGAGGTGGGGACCTCCAGGCCAGTGCGCAGAGCACCTGCTGGGTGTGATGTGCTCACGGGATGCTGTGCCCCCTGCCAGCTAGGGAGTCCCCGGGCAGCTGCTTGCTCAACCCTGGGCCATTCCAACATACCCCTTAGACTGTGAGCATGTTGGATGCACACTGGCCTCCCGGTCATCACAGGGGCTTCCTGCCCTCCACAGCCCATGCGCAGCTGACCAGACGGCTGAGCTCAGAGAATATCCCATGTGGAGGAAATCTGAGTGTCGAAGAGAAACCACAGCCTATGGAAGGGACCCCTGAGTGTCGAAGAGAAATCACAGGCGGCAGTGATTGTGGCTTCCTTCGTCGTTGTGTGTACGCCAGCGGTCACCTGTCTTTGCACCCCACTCTGAAGCCTGCAATGGGACAGCGATTGCAGCTTCCTTCGTCGTTGTGTGTACGCCCGTGGTCACCTGTCTTTGCACCCCGCTCTGCAGCCTCCAGGGGGCAGCAATTGCGGCTTCCTTCGTTGTTGTGTGTACGCCGGCGGTCACCTGTCTTTGCACCCTGCTCTGTAGCCTGCAATGGGGCTTTCCCCCAATTCCTCCCACGCATCAATGTGTGTTCACTCACCAACTTGCCCCTCTGAGGGGCAGAGGCGTGTGGTGTTTTGCTCCTTCAGAGACTCCCTTGGGGCCTCGTTCCCAGCTCCACCACCCCCATGGGGCCTGCAGCATGTTCTGCACATGGATGCCCCAGCACAGGAGGTCCAGCCACACAAGAGGATGCCCTGCTCCATGCTGGACACACACTAATGGCCCAAGGAGAGCAGAGTTGGCCCCGGCGCTGTGCCTCCCACCAGCGTCCCACTCTGTGAGGTCTTTCTTTAATCATGAATCCTAAGGGAGGAGGTCTCCTGTGGGGCACAATTGGCCAGAGGGGCAATGTGGAAGCCTGGCTGCGGCACCAATGTCTCTGTGAATTGCAGCTCCTTTGAGCTCATGGGACCCTTTCTCCAGGTTCCCTGAGCTCCCAGGTCACTGGTGTCCTTGAGGCAAACACCCTTCCAGAAGCTGTCAGCGGATCCGGGCCTTGGATGGGCTCCTCCCTCTGGGCTTGGCAACCCCGTCTCGGGCATCTGCCACCACCCTGCCTTGGTGGCGGTGAGGCTGTCATCATTCTGGGGCTGGGCTGGCGGGAGGTGTCGTGCTGGGGCCAACTCTGTTCTCACTGGGCCATTGGCCTGAGTCCGGCATGGAGCTGAGCATCCCCTTGTGTGGCCATGACCTCTTGTGCCAGGGGGGTTCATGTGTGGGACATGCTGCAGGGTCCTCAGGACTCAGACAGTGCCTGGCATGTGGCAGGTGCTCTGGCCGTGGCTGGTGGCAGGGACCCTCGCTGCGGGCCACCGTAGCACGTCCTCAAGGGTGAGGTCAGGCCCTTCTGGCTGTCTTTGTGCCTGCTCCATTTATTAAATCAAAGCCACCTGTGTTCCCTGGGGTCAGGAGGGGCTGGGCCTGGTTCATTTGTCATTGTTCAGAGTCAGAAGCTGAGTTCACAGTCTTTCCTCCAAGGTCACACAAGGTCTCCTGGTACCACATCAGCTGATATTGTGGAACATTCTCCTTGAAGGACAGCAGCCAGTCCCGCTTCTTTGTGCTATTCCTGGAAAGAGATGTGCACAGGCCACATGGGAGACCTCCGTGGGCTCTCCGGCCTTCACTCAGCCAGAGATAATTCCCCTGGTGAGTGCTGGGCGGGAGAGATTTCCATGGATTCATTTTCACGGAAAAGACCAAAGCCGTCCAGCCGCCCCTTATCTGTCGGGCCGGTGTCTGTGTCCTGACAGAGGCCATTTGTCGGCCCCCGCCTCTCCCGCCCTGTCTCCGTGCAACCGCAGCCTGAGTGTAGAGATGGGCGCATCCCTGAACAACCCTTTCTGCTTCTCCTGACACCCTTTGCAGGGCTGCGGCTTGGGGAGTGGAGTTTAGCAAGCAGTGGGCGAGTCTTGCACTCAGTCCAAAAGTAGCAAGGGAACTGATTTGTACCGTGGTCTCACCACTGAAGAACCCCCCGCACCCCCAGCAGCTCCTGGAGACATGGATGATGCCAGGACAGCAGCTCCCGGAGACACGGATGATGCCGGGGCATTGGGCCTCACCTCCTGGCTGCAGCTTTACCCCTGACACGTGCTGGGCAGGCTCTCTTTCCCTCTTTCAGTCTCAGGTTTCTCGTCAGAAAACAGGCTGAGGAACTGGTCTATAAACTCCTTTGCCCCCAGTGAACTCCTACTTATCCTTCAAAGCCCTGCTCACATGCCCCTCCTCTCCAGGTGGACAGGCATTGCCATCCTCCGGCTTTGCTGTGCTCCCCATAGAACTTTCCAGGTGTTGCCTACCTCTGTCAGGCAGGGGCACAGCCCCCCAGCACATCATTGGGTTCAAAAAACATTTGTTGGTTAGGAGCAGTGGTTCATGCCTATAATCCCAGCACTTTGGGAGGCCGAGGCGGGTGGATCACCTGAGGTCAGGAGTTCGTGACCAGCCTGGCCAACATGGTGAAACCCCGTCTCTACTTAAAAACTACAAAAATTAGTTGGGTGTAGTGGTAAATGTCTGTAATCCCAGCTACTTGGGAAGCTGAGGCAGAAGAATCGCTTGAACCGAGAGGCGGAGGTTGCAGTGAACCGAGATCACACCACTGCACTCCAGCCTGGGTGACAGGGCGAGACTCCATCTCAAAACACAAAAAAACCAAACAAATAAACTAAAAAATGTGCTGCAAAAATCAATTTAGAGCCGTTTTCCTCTCTGGATTCAGTTACAGCTGTTTTTTGGTTTTTGTATAAATATTTCGAAGGGCAAGCCATAGCATCTGGGTAAAATCTAGACTTGCCCTCTGAGCTGCCTCCACGTTCAGGTGGGTGTTAGGGTCATCCGGAGGGGTTGCTGACAGCAAATAGCTGCTCCCCCTTTGTGGGTGGACTCTCAGTGCCTGGAACAGTGCCCAGGAAGCTGCATTGTGAATCAGCCCTTCAGGCGACTGGCTGCAGGTGGTCTTTGGACCCCACGGTGAAAATCCTGCCGGCCTGGGAAAAGTGCCGTGAACAGGAAGCACCAGGACTGGGTGGGGCCGATTCGGGAGCTTTGAGCTTTCCAGGTTTGAGTTTCCGGACTTTGGGAGGTGACACTCAGGACGGGGGCTGGGAGGTCGCTAATTTTGAGGAAGCAGCCTCTAAGGAAGAACATGAAACTGGCCCGGCCGTAGAAGCGCCGTGGGGTTCCGGTAGGCAGGCTGTGGAATTCTGCGCCACGTCATTCATCTCTCGCCACGGTGGGGAAACTGAGGGTAGAGACAGGGGTTTGAATTCCTCAGGCCCCGGGAAGGGGTTTGGAGCCATGGAGTTTGAAAGTATTGTCCAAAGAAGTCCAGGAAGAAAGTGCTTACGTGTAATTTACGACTCACTAATGAAAATGGCACAGAAGTGACACGCGACTCCAGAGCCAGCACCCGTCCAGGTGAAGCCCCACAGGGCGCAGCTTTCTGGGACCTCAGCGAGCTGAGCTCCTCCGCCGGCTCAGCCCAAAGGCAGCCCCTCTGCAAACAAAGTCTTATTCTTTGAAACAGGAACCCTCAGGGGCCGCCTGGGGACTGGTGCCGACTGTCAAACCCAGCAGATGGGCTTCATCCAGGCCTCAACTGTCAGCCGGGACGACCCCAGATCACACGGGCGTGGGCCGTGGTCAGCCGGGAGCGTCCACGTGGTCAGCCAGCCTGATGTGTTCGGTGACTCAGCCAAAGCTTAAAACACGGAAGCCGGGTAGCGCTGGGCGGCTGCGTGTCAGAGAATGAGTGTTTCCCGATGGAACGGCGGGATAGAAATGGCCGCAGACTCTCCCTGCTTCCAACCAATTTCGCTTTGCGGTGCTCACCTGTAAGCGACTGTCCAAAAGTCCACAGATGCGCAGGGCTCTGGGTGAGACCTCTGCCAGGGTGGCGTCTGCTGCAGTCCTTTGCTGTTAATATAGTTGTGTGCCTCACACCACTGCTTCTAGTGTCTTCCGTGTGGATTGGTAGGCACCATTAGTATCGTAATCATTCTTTTAAAACCAAACAATACTTGTGTGCACCCTCAGTTGGCTGCTGCTGTAAATGTTCTCCGTAACCCAACCTGCTGGTCGAGAAGGATCCTCGTTCGGCCACTTCTGAATTGCAAGCTACAGCTCCTAAGAACCTGAGCCCAGGCTTTGGCAGGAAGCCTCCAGCAATTTTTAAGGCACCTTAGTAAAGACGTCCCAGCATTCATCACAGCAAAAGTGCAGAATTGCTCTGAGCAACAAAGTCATGGGAACCCAGAAACTCAGAAAACCCTTTTCTGATAAATAAATACTTGTGTAAAAGATGTTTCTGCGGAGGAGCTGATGTTCCCACACCAGCAGTAGATACTCCCTTCTTAAACAGAAGAGATGGAAACGCCTGCGTCTCAGCTCTTGGGGGCAGGGTGTGGGGAAAGCCCCACAGAGAGAGCTGGCTTTGGAGAAGATGGCCTGGAGGTGAGGCCATGGGCGGAGGAGGGCAGGCGTCTCAGGCTGTGGATGCAAAAACAATTCTGAGAACTGTAGCGAAAGGAAGATTTCATTTTAAATGTGTTGAAAAAATCACCATTTGGCTAAGATTCTGCACCAGGCCCCACCTTGCTCTGGCCCTAACGCGTAGCCCTCTGAGATGGGCTTTGGCGTTGGAAAAGTCATGGGCAGCCATGAGCAGCCTACAGACACGCTCTGGTTTCCATAGCTCTCCAACACTCCTCTGCAGGGTTTCTTCTGGGGCTGGGGGAGCGCAGCTGCTTTTCCGTCTATGGTGCTGGCCGAGGCTGGGGCCGGGGCCTTGGCAGCTGTGGATTTTGGCTGCCCCCGCGGTCCCGGATCCGTGCTGCTGATGTCTGCTTGGCCCGCTGGTTGCCTCTCTGTGGAATCTGTCCCTGGCTGGGTCTTCTGTTGAGCCCCCCTGTGCCAGCCCTGACAGTGTCCCGGCGTCCACAGGCGGGCTCTGTGGTGCTTTGTAGCTACCTCTGTACTAATTGGAAAAAACCATTTGCCCCTACCTGGGCCTCTGGATGGATTTTTTTTAAATGTAAGAATTACTTAGCAGTTGGTAAATCACTTCCCTCTCTTCATTTCTAGAGAAACTGTCCCTTTCTGGGAAGGCGAGGGTCGGAAGGACTGCAGAGTTGCCAGGGAGGCCGCAGCCAGGGTGATTTGCTTTGTGTTTCTGACACAAGCCGCCGTCTAATGATTTCCCAGACTTAAACCATTTGCGTTTTCATTAATGGTTTTGGAGCCGGGGCAAGTTTCTGTCAAGGGGATCAGCTCCAAATGCCGTCTCCTCCACCTCACTGGCCGTGAAGGGCTCTGGCGGGGCACGCCCCCAGCACCCTGGCTCCGGCTGGCGTCTGCTGCTGTGGTGACGTTCTGCGCTGTATGGGGGGATGGCGTGAGGGTTCCCTCCCACGACAGGATATTTCTTTCTGAACTCCTGCTGCCCTGGGCAGGTTGGTGGGGCCGGGGGTGTGGACAGTGCCCAGCACAGGCTGGACAGGGTATCCCATTTCCAGCCCAATCTCGTTCTCTCTGCACCCCTGGAATGCAGGCGAAGGGGCCGAGTGGCTGCACCACAGCGGAGCCTCCAACCAGGGTGTTCCGGGGTGTCCCCTCACTTTTGTTGGGGGCCTGCAGTGGTGCCGGGCTCCACACTGAGCACCCTAACCCCAGCTATTCCCTGTATCCCTTCACATGTAAAGCAATGGGCTGGTCTAGAAGAGTCTCCATTGTCTCTTCCGATCCTAACACCTTGGTGTCGGTGATGCTACCTGGTGTTTTGGAAGCAAAACAGTGGCTGGGAAAATAAGGTAGAATTTACCCATTGCCCTGAGGATTTTTCCCGAGTGGGTAGAAGGATGCACCTGCCCGTCACAGGGTGAGGTTGACCTTTGCTTATGGGGACACAAATGGCACGTGCAGGCGAGAAGGTCATAGCAGCCCTCAACAGGGTCGCTGACTGTGGACTGCGGGAGGCCTTGTGTTAGCCCAGGCCGCCTGCAAGGCACACAGCCCCGGGTGCCTGAGGCAGGCGCTGGCTGCTGAGAGTTCTGGAGGCTGCAAGTCCAAGGTCAAGGGCCCTACAGAGTTGGATTCCCCGAGGCCTTTCTCCATGGCCTGCGGATGGCATCTCCTCCCCCATGTCCTCATAGGGCCTTCCCTCTGTGCATACATCGGGGTAGAATGAGAGTGAGAGAGAGAAGGGGAGACAGAAATCCCTGGTGTCTCCTCCTCTCCTTAGGGGGCACTGGCCCCAGTGGATCAGGGCCCCACTCTCAAAGCCTTATTTATCCTAAGCCCCCTCCTTAAAGGCCCCATCTTCAAATACAGCCACACTGGGGCCTAATTAAGGCCTCAAGGTATGAATTTGGGGACACAGCTCAATCCACAGGAGGAGTGAATTAGTGCTTCCAGCTTCTCCGGTCCTCTGGTCAGTCTCCATCCGGTGTGTAATGGCACCTTGCCCAGCCTTCATGCTTTTCTAAGCATCTTTTTTGTTTGTTGGTTTGTTTTTGTTTTGTTTTTTGAGATGGATTCTAGCTCTGTCGCCCAGGCTGGAGTGCAGTGGGGTGATCTCGGCTCACTGCAACTTCTGCCTCCTGGGTTCAAGTGATTCTCCTGCCTCAGCCTCCCAAGTAGCTGGAATTACAGGCATGCGCCACCACGCCCAGCTAATTTTTGTATTTTTAGTAGAGATGTAGAGATGGGGTTTCGCCATGTTGGCCAGGCTGGTCTCAAACTCCTGACCTCAAGAGATCCACCCACTTTGGCCTCCCAAAATGCTGGGATTACAGGTGTGAGCCACCGCACCCGGTCTGCCCCATTGCTTCTGTCAAAAAACACTTTGGGAAGAACCACGGTACCATCGTAGAAAGCTCTGCCATTTCCAGGCCACTGTGTTTCCTGATTGAAGCCTCGCTGGCCTCCAAGGCCAGCATATCCCCATCACCATTTGCTGAGGAGGAGCTGAGGCTCAGAGAGAAGGGCTGGCTGCTCACTTTCCTGTTTGTAAGGGATGCTTAGACTCGCTATTTTGTGAGCTGCATGGGGCGGATTCTGTTCATTTGTCTATCACTGTCTGTGTCCCCAGAGCAGCATCTGCCACATCACAGGCAGCTGCCCGTGCCATCGAGGGGACGGTGAACGCAGGCAGGGATGTGCACAGGAGTGGCACGGATGGGATTTAAGCCTGGGTCTTCTTGCTCCAGATCATGGGCTTTTTTCCTCACTAACCTGGTGACTGATGTGACTTATCTACATCCAGGAACAGCTGGCAAGCGCTTCTGGGCAGTGGGGTGTGGGTGGCAGGGTTCAACCCGTGCTTTAATGAGGACATGAGCCACCTGTACGGCAGACAAAATGCAGATCCCGTCTGCAGGTCCATGTGGGGCTGGAGATTCTGCATCACCAGCAGACCCGGGCACCGCAATGCTGCTGGTTCACAGACCGCATTCCATGGGGTACAGGGCTAGGCTGGCACAGGTGAGAAGATGCAGAGCTGGGGACACAGACACAGAGCCTCCAAGTCCAGAGTGGGCCATGGAGCGCAGCTGCAAGTGCCGGCCCACAGGGCTGAGTTCAAGTCCTGCTTCTGCCATTGGTGTGTGTGCAGCCCCCTGCTGACCCTGCTGAACCTCCACTGTTTTGAATGATGGCTTTATTGAGGCATAATTTTCCTACCATACAATTCAGCTTTTTAAAGTGTACAAGTCAGTGATGACTGGTTATAGACATAGAGGTGTGCAGCCAGCACCAAATCAATTTTAGAGCATTCTTGTTGCCCCAAAAGGAAACTCTGTCCCCACTGAGCAGCCACTCCCATCCTCTCATCCCCCAGCCTCTGGCAACCAGTCCTCTGCTTCTGCTTCTGTGGATTTGCCAGTTCAGGATGTTTCACAGAACCGGGATCACACAAGACGTGGCCTCTGCCTGTGGCCTCTTTCACTCCGAATGGCGTTCTCCATCTATGTTGCAGTGTGGACCACAACCCCATTCCTTTGTATGACTGAATCATATTCCATGGTGTGGATGGACCACAGTTTATGCATGAATTTGGTGGGAATTTAAGTCGTTTTCACTTTTTGGCCATTACAAATAACGCTGCTGAAAACACTGGTGTGTCAGTTTCTGTGTGGGCATCGGCTTTTGGTTCTTGGGTGTGCATGGAGGAGTGGAATTGCTGTGTTTAACTTGAGAAGCTGCACCATGACGTTCCCACTAGCAGTGCATGAGGGCCTCGTCATCGCCATGTTCTCATCAGCACTCACTGCTGTCTGCCTTCTTCTTACAGCCGTGCTTATAGGTGTGAGGTGCCTCTCGCATGATTGTGACTTGTACTTCCCTGGTGGCTGATGACACTGAGCACCTTTCCATGTGCTTGCTGGCCATTGTGTATCTGCTTTGGAAAAATGCCTATTTAGTTCTTTTGCCCGTATATTAATCAGGTTATCTGTCTTTTTATTATTGAGTTGTAGAGGTGCTTTATATAGTCCAGATACAAGTTCCTTATCAGATGTGTGATTTGCAAGTAGTTTCTCCCATTGTGTGTCTTTTCACTTTCTTGATGATATCTTTTGCACAGAAGTTTTCATCTTGATGCAATTTATTTATTTGTTCTTTTCTTATGGTGCTTTTGGTGTGATATATAAGAAACCATTGCCTGACCCAGGGTGATAAAGATTAATACCTTTGCTTTCTTCTAAGGCTTTTATAGTCTTACCTCTTACATTTACCCTTGATCTACTGTGAGTCCCTTTCTGTGTATGGTATGAGGTAGGGGTTCAGCTCCATCCTATTGCACATGGATATCCAGGTGTCCCGGCACTGTTTGTTGAAGACTATTCTTTCTGCATCAAATAGTCTTGATGCCTTTGTTGAAAATCAATTGAACCTACATGTGAGAAGTTGAAGCATTAGATTTATATCTTTGCAATCAGGATAAAAATTAATACCTGCATCATATTGCTATTACAAGGGTTGAATGAAATAATTCACAGGAGGGATGTCTTATCCATGCCCTGGCATCCTACAGACTCCTGGAGCACCAGGTGATGACAAAGTGAGGAGGAAGGACAGGGATGTTCTCTCCTGGAGGGACTTGAGGTGCTGCTGGGGGCTGGCTGGTGGGAAGCAAGCAGCGTGACCCAGCTGGCTGTGCAGGCAGAGGCTTCACCACTCCCAGCCCTGTCTTGTTGCCATGCCAACAACAGCCTGGCCCACGAACACCCAACCTGGCCAGCAGGGATGGAAATAATTACTCTGTCTTTTCACAGAGATGGACGATGATCTCAGGTGAGGGGCAGGGATTTGGCACAAAATGTCCTTGGTAACAAAGCCTGGAAGAAAACACAGCCCCAACAGTCATCTCTAGATGGGCCTCGGTGCCTGGGTTTCCTTGCTGGGCCTCCACAGCCCATGCAGCCGATGCAGGGATGCCACTCCCCTCTGCAGGGCTCCTGTGTCCCGGAGGCTCCGCAACCATCACTCATGAGCACCAGGGCGCACAGGCAGCCGGCGCCACCGAGGGACATGCGCTTGTTGCTCTCTCGGGGCTGAAGCCGACACCCCCACCTCACAGGCTCTCTCAGGAAGGCCTGCTGTCTCAGTGCTCTTTCTCCCTGAACACTCGGTGCCTGATGGACTCAGTGGAGCCCCACAGCCTCAGGCGTGGGACCCACTTTCTTCCACACAAGATGTTGCACCACAGGGAGGCCTGGCCTCTGAGCCTCTCTCCTACTCCAGGAATCCATTTGCACCAATTCCACCTCCTGTGCAAAATTGCATGCGGACAGTTCGAGCCGTGTCCTGGTGAGGGCTCTCCTCTGTGTCACTGTGGCTCAGAGGGCAGCAAGCCTTGTCTGCCAGCCATGGTGAGGGTGGGAGAGCACCCATCTCTCCTCCACCCTCCGCCACCCCCTCCCAAGGCCCCCAAACCTGCTCTTATCCACAGCACCATGACAGACCCTCTCAGGGGCTGGAAGTGCCATAGCAGATGGACTCTCTCAGGAAAGTTTATTTGGTTGGATGTGGGGCTGGTGAAGAAATGCCCAGCTCCCCGCTCCTGGTGGTCTCCTGGGCCCCAGATGCCTTCCCTCAGCCCC
Source organism: Homo sapiens (assembly GCF_000001405.40). NCBI lineage: Eukaryota > Metazoa > Chordata > Mammalia > Primates > Hominidae > Homo > Homo sapiens. Next base: position 29,191,708 of record NC_000016.10, read on the forward strand.
CATCCCGAGTCTGGGTCCAGGGCTCCAGGTGGGGGCTGCCTGTGTGTCATTGTTATATGACCGTGCCATCCTCGCCACTGCTGGGTGCCATGCCCATACAAAGTGCTGGCACCTGGTGAGGATGCCTGGGTCTCTGCTGAATGACCAGGGATCCTGTGTTGGGGTTCATGGGCCCCTCATCCTCTCCTGTCCCGGAGAGGCAGCTCTAAGACCTGGATGACACACGAGGCTCTGAGACTGAGTGCTTTGCTCAAGGCCAAGGCCACCTGGGCCGGCAACGTGGTCAGGTCCTGCTGCGGGGATGCTCCGGGGGTCTGCTCTTGGGGTGTCCGCCACCCCCAGGGGATGCCTTATTGCTTGCCTGAGCCCTATAGACTCAGGGTCCAGGGTGGGACGTGAGAATGTGCATTTCTGGCAAGTCCCCTGGGGGTGCTGCTGCTGGGGCCCCACCTTGAGAACCCTTGTTAGAGGCAGCCTCTGGGCCACACAGCAGGGAGGCGGGAGATGGGAGGTGGGGGCTGGGAGGCCAGGGAGTGGGGGCAGCTGTAACAAAGCCGAGGCTCTGTGCTCTCACTGCTAGAGAGTGGGGTGGGGGCATGGGAAGCCCCCGGGGCAGGCAAGGGTGTCTGGGTTGCAGCCCCACCCACCCCGAGCTGCAAGGCCACATCCTGCCATCTGGGGGTGCTGTGGACCCCATGGGGAGTGTGGGAGAGCTCAGGCTGGGGGCCTCAGACTCTGACAGTGGAAGCACCACCTGCCACACCTTGAACTTGGGCACATGCCTGCCTCTGTGCAGAAGCCTGGCCTCATCTCTGCTGTCCCCGGCAGCCTCTTGGTCAGGACTCAGGGCTGGACAAACTGGCTGAAGCCCACTGTCAGCAGGAGAGGACCATGAGCCTGGAAAACGGAGGGGAAGAGATGGGAGAACGTGGCCACTGCTGCCCCTCTGCTGGGGAGCTCTGCTACTCTCTTCTAAAGTGGATCTGTGGCCTGTGGACAGCAGCTCCTGCCCTCCCTGGCAGGAAGCCAGGCCGAGTCAGAGTGCAGACAGGACTGGGGTCTGGGGGGCACCAGGCAGTGCAGGGGGGCAGAGCTCTGCAGGAAGACTCCTTTCCAGCTCCTGGGGCCCAGAATCAAGTTGTGGTTCCGAACCTACTGGGGCCTTCCGCCATCCTCCTTCCCCAGACCTCGCTGGGGCAGGGACCTCAGCTCCCCAGGTGCGCACGTGCTGGTCCAGTGGGGCTTCCTATGGGGTGGGTCAGTTTGTACAGAACTTGTGGCCTACGATGTCTTATCAGTGCACTGGTCACGGATGCTCATATGGCTGTGTGGACCACTCTCACCGTCCTGGTCACGGATGCTCATATGGCTGTGTGGACCACTCACTGTCCTGGTCACAGATGCTCACAGGGCCGTGCGGACCACTCTCACCATCCTGCTGGGCAGCGTCTGTCTGTGTGAGCTCTTTCCCCTGCACCCTTGGTTTCCTCAAGATTGTCCATATGGTCTCAGGGCACTGCAGATTGTGGAAAAGATCAGGAGTGATTGTGCCTGTGTGTGTCCTGTGCAGTGTGCAGCACCCCAGAGGAGCCGTCTGTACCGTGCCACGGCTCACGGGTCCATCTGATCCCATCTTCTCAGAGTCCTGGGGGACAGGCCATGGCTCTGTGGATCTCGTGTCCATGTGGTGCACAGAAGCGCTTCAGGGATCTGGGAAGGGAAGGCCCGGATGGATGAGTGCGGAGCGCGGCGTACGGAGAGAGGGGTGGGAAGGAGCAGCCCTTCCCCGTGTTCTCGTCTCTAAATCAGCTTCTTGAAGCAAAAACAACAGCTGAGCCTCCTTTTCTGACTTTGAAACAGAGCTGCCTTTCATCAAAGCCTCTAAGTGTTTATATTAATGCTTTTCCTATAATTTAAAATTATTTGCCGCATTCTCGGGGCTGTTTCTCACCTCCCGTTGTGCAACGGCTTTCTCGTCTTCACAGACACATGGGCAGCCATCTCTGTCCCTTGTCACCAGCGGTGGGCGGTGAGGCTGTCATCCCACAAAGCAAGGATGGTCCCTGAGGGATAAGAGAGTGAGGACTGTGAGGCGTCAGCACAGGCTCACGGGAGGATCCTGCAGAAGAGCTGCCTCCCCCGTCTGAACTGGCAGCCTGTCTGATGGCAGAGGGAGGCAGCAGGTATTTGGACCCAAGGCTGCCTGGATCACCTCGGGTAGCTTGTTTTCCCCCTTTCTGACTCAGTTTCCTGAAGTGTGAGTTCTGCCGGCTTTTCTCCTATGCCATATGGATGATCCTACCTACGCAGCTTTCATCAGTCACACAGAACCCACGGAAGGGTGCTGACCCCTGTGCCTTTTTTCCACATCCCGTGATTGCGACAAGGAAGGAGACTGGGTCTGGGGCTAAGGAGCCACGGCTGTCACTTGCCAATCTCCCTTTGGAGCAAAGAGACAGCAAATATCAGGCCTGGAGACTTTGGTGGGCAAGATTATCTCTCTAGAATGTAACAGATTTTTAAACGATTTTATTTTTGAAGTGACCTCCCATTGACAGCAAGAGATGCCGGTTTCCTTGTTAGGGCCGGCATCTGTCTGAGACCGGCATTTTTAACGAGGTGTTGCTGTTGATCACTGCACTGGAACGTGCTTGGGAAGCAAGGGGTGCTGCCTGCGCACTTTGCACTCTGACCTCGTGCTCCTGGCTCCATCGCGGTCTTTTCTGCGGGTGCGGGAGGCATGTGGGCCGTGGGCAGAGGCCTGGCGAGGCCTGAGAGGAGCCACCAGCCCTTTCGCTTTTCTCAACTCTTTTCACAACAACTTAGCTAAAATCTTCCCTCTGGGGATCAGGTGGGTCCAGAACAAGGGGTTGGGGCACCACTGTGCCTCCCACTGTTGGTAGGGTTGAGGCACCGCTGTGCCTCCCATTGGTGGTGGGAGAGGCGTGGCACCTGCTGCCCAGCTCTGACATTGCACCTTTTCCCACCCAGCAGCCTGCGAGATACACTGAGCCACCCAGCCGCCAGCAGGCAGGAACAGTGAGCAGCACAGGAAATCAAAAGGGTTTTAAAGGCCAGGTGCAATGGCTCACACCTGTAATCCCAGCACTTTGGGAAGCCGAGGTGGGCGGATCATTTGACATCAGGAGTTCAAGACCAGCCTGGCCAACATGGCAAAACACTGTCTCTATATTAAAAGTACCAAAATTAGCTGGGCGCTAAAAATATAAAATTTAGTGGCAGGTACCTGTAATCCCAGCTACTCAGGAGGCTGAGGCAGGAGAATCGCTTGAACCCAGGGGGCAGAGCTTGCAGTGAGCCGAGATCGTGCCGTTGCACTCCAGCCTGGGTGACAGAGCGAGACTCCATCTCAAAAAAAAAAGGGTTTTATTAATTCCACTGAAAAGTCCAACCTTAAAGGTACACTGATTTATCTTTACAAATACCAATTCTGGTGGAGCATAATAGCATGGTTAAAACAACGTTCTCCCTAAATGGCGACGATCTACGGGGCGGAAATATGCTTGGAACTGACGGTACTGCCTGCAGGCGTGTGCTCGTCAGAATCTATTCCCAACACAGTAGAAGCGGAGGTTTCAGGAGGTGCAGAGTGACTAGACCACAGCATGTGTGTAAGAAAACTGACACTGAATGAAAACAACACAAAACAAACTTCATCTCAGTCAGTGCTTTCTGTTTGTTGCCTGTCACCACTCAGCGTTTAGAGAAAACGTCCTTGCCTCTGTAAATCAAAGTGGCTCACGAGGGCATTGAAACTTTTCGTATGTGAGTGCTCTATAAATTTTGGTTGCATTTTATTCAGACTTCACTAGAAACTTCCAGTTATTCAATGAATGTTGTGCCAGAAAACATCAGTTTTGTAAGGGAAAAAAAAAAAAGCTAGCTCAAGGAAAGAAAAGAAGCTGAAATAAATGTTTCCCTGCAAAACCGAGGGACAGCCGAGGAAGCCAGATGACGTGAGCTTGCGTGGCTCGTGGACTTGGCATGCAATGTTACAGTTTTACTGTGGAATGTCCTGCACTTGGGCAAGAGTCTTCTGATGGAGTCCACATTTTTAAGTTGGATATATTTATATTCTGGACCCAAATGGAATGCCGTTGAGACAGCCTATGATTTTAGAGCATTTAAATTTAGTGAAACATTGGAAAGAATCACAAATAGAGACAACTTTTTGGAAGAGTTTTGCATGAAGATTTGTCCAGTTTTTTTGTTTATGAAAAGTTCTCTGAATGGAGACAAAAAGATGGTACGTACACAAATAGCCAGGCTGAAAGAGCCACACATCTCCACATGGAAACATGAGAGTTGAGAAAATCCTCCATTTAGCCAACTTGCCCTGAGCTTCCTGGGTCTCTCAGACTCGTAGGAAGGGTATTTTTTCAATAAAATATTTCATACTACAGAGTAGAGTCAAAGCTGTCAACAATTTTTAATTTATCCATCACAAAATTCAACATTGAAAAAAATTGGAGGATATTTTATGAAAAATAAAAGTAATAAATAATGAAAAAAGACATTCTTCAAAAAAAAAAACCACATCAATGACATAGTGTTAGAGCCAGAAATGCTTGAAGACTGAAATGAAGTTTGTAAGTATGTACCAAGAATAATTATTCTGCTTGTTTTTTAAGTGTAATCAATACAAAGGATTTTATAAAAAACATTTTGCTTTAATATACAGATCTATTGAAATAATTTGTTTTTGATAATAGATTTTAGATAGAACTGTTTTATAAGTCTTCCAATAAAAATAAATACACACAAATGTCAGAAAATAAATAGGCATTTCAAAAAAGCATTTATCTTAACAATTCTTTTTAGTGCCCCCCCCACTTTTATTCTCAGTGTCTTGGTTTGCTTGGCAGATTCCCTTGCCACCCTGGCAGTGTGTCATACATCACATTTGTGGAATGATTATTTTGTTCACCTTTCTTGCCCTTTATATAAAGGTACAAGTGATATCTTAATTATTTTTATGTTAATTATTCACTCAATTCAGCTATCCAAAAAATACTTAGTGCCTACTTTAAGCTGGGTATTAGAACTTTGTAAACTCAGCATGTAGCAAGAGTACAGCAACACAAGGCCCTTTAAAGTTGGATGGATGGTGGGGGAGGGAGGGAGTAGGTGTTGGATGGATGGGTGGGTGGATGAATGGGTAGACGGATGTGTGGATTGATGGGTGGCTGGATGAATGGATGTGTGGGTGGGTAGATGGATGGATGGATGGGTTGATGGATGCATGACTGGGTGGGTGGGTGGATGTATGAGTGGCATAAGTGGATGAATAGATGGGTAGATAGGTGGGCAGTTGTGTGGATGGGTAGATGGATGGATGGATAGATAGAAGGATGGATGGGTTGATGGATGCATGACTGGGTGGGTGGGTGGATGTATGAGTGGCATAAGTGGATGAATAAATGGGTAGATAGGTGGGCAGTTGTGTGGATGGGTAGATGGCTGGATGGCTGGATAGATAGATAGAAGGATGGATGGGTTGATGGATGCATGACTGGGTGGGTGGGTGGATGTATGAGTGGCATAAGTGGATGAATAGATGGGTAGATAGGTGGGCAGTTGTGTGGATGGGTAGATGGATGGATGGATAGATAGATAGAAGGATGGACAGAGAAGGATGGATGGATGGATGGATGGATTGGTAAGTGGGCAGATGAGTGGGTAAGTGGATGAATAGTAGGGTAGATGGATGGGCAGATATGTGGATTGGTAGATGGATGGATGGATGGATGGACGGATGGATGGATGGGGATGGATGAATAGTTGGGTAGATGGGTGGGCAGATATATGGGTGGGTAGATGGATGAATGGGTGGGTGGATGTATGACGGATGCGTGAGTGAATGGGTGGGTGGATGTATGATGGATGGGTGAGTGAATGGATGGGTGGATAGATGCATGAGAGGATGGGTAAGTGGATGAATGGATGGGTGGATAGATGCATGAAAGGGTGGGTAAGTTGATGAGTGGATGGGTGGCTGGATGCAGGGATGGTAGAGGTACAGACGGATGAGTGGATGGATAGGTAGGTAAGTGGATGAATGGATGGGTAGATGAATGGAGGGATGGATGGATGGATGAGTGGGTGGATGGATGAATGGCTGGGTGGGTGGCTGGATGAGCGGGGTAAGTGGATGAATGGTTGGGTAGATGGGTGGGTGGATATGTGGATGGGTAGATGGATGAATGGATGGATGGATGAATGGATAAGTGGGTGGATGGATGAATGGATGGGTTGGTGGGTGGGTGGATGAACGGGGTAAGTGGGTGAATAGTTGGGTAGATGGATGGGTAGATGGATGAATGGATGGGTACATAGATGAATGGATGGATGGATGAGTGGGTGGATGGATGAATGGATGGGTGGGTGAGTGGATGGGTGGGATAAGTGGATGAATAGTTGGGTAGATAGGTGGGCAGATATGTCGATGGGTAGATGGATGAATGGATGGGTGGATGGATGCAGGGATGATAGATATACAGATGGATGGGTGGATGTATAAATGGGTAAGTGGACGAATGGATGGGTGGACGGATGCAGGAATGGTAGATGTACAGATGGATGGGTGGATGGATAGGTAGGTAAGTGGATGAATGGATGCGTGGATGGATGGATAGATGGGTGGCCAGATGCATGAATGAGTAGATGGATGTTTGGATGGGCAGATGAATGTGTGGGTGGATGGACAGATGGGGTGGGTATGTTGCCTGAACCTCGTTGTTGATGAGGGCACTGTTGATACTCTGAGTTTTTTCCCTTTCTGTGTTTGGTGTGGATTCTGGTTCATGACAGCACAATGCCTTCACTGGCCAGATGATTTCACAGTGCTTTATGGCTCTGCCAGTGGGGATCACAGGGCCTGGCCATCAGGGCAGTGGTGAGAAAGCAGGATGAGGTCAGAATAAAGCCCTTAAATCTTCACAGGGAAGCAGCTGGGCCTTGGGTTTCTGGGTGGTGGGTCTGCAGTATCCCCTGTGACTGAAGAGTGCATGAGTCCATTGGAGGCAGGACCAGCACGGGACACTTCCCGTGGGGTTGGATCACAGTCTACACTGAGCGTGCTTTCCAGATCGGCTCAGGGCCAGGCGGCAGGTGGTGTGCCCCGCCATGCTATGGTGCCGAGGGAAGGCAGGGCCATCGTGGGCTCGTGTGTCTTTTATCCCCCTGCAGGTGGTGTGCCCCGCCATGCCGATGATCCTGAGGGAGGGGAGGGCCATTGTGGGCGAGTGTGCCTTTCATCCCCTTCGTGGCTTTCAGTTGTGCTCAAACCAGAGTGGCCTCAGCCCGAAGGTAGAGGCAGCAGGGCTCCTGTGTGTGGGCTCAGGGCACCCAGCAGGGCCTGTCTGGCATCATGTGCATTTCACTGGAGTCATCTCCCCAAAAGGCTGCCTGTCACCTCCCCATGGAGAAGCACGTGCTGCCTGCCCTGGCTCCCAATGCCCAGCTCACACCACCCTGGGTAGCTGAGGCTTCTCTGGTGCCTCCCAGTCCCTGTGCCTTCAACCTGGTGTCCCCGATGGCTGTGAAAGGCCATTGAGGGAGGACATTGCTGCGGGGTCTGCTGCTCTCTCCTAGGCACCATTTCAGGAGGGCTCACTTGGGCTCAACTCCCAGAAACTGGGAATGCAGGGCTCTGCTGTCTGAGGCCTTGCTCAGCCTCTGGGCTCCTGGATTCTCGGACGTGAAGCAGCTGGCGAGAATCTCTGGGGACTGCTCGCCCCTCTCTGCAGGCCAGGGCTTCAGCACGCCAACTTTTTTCCAATTTTTAAATCGTGGTAACATAACATAAGACGTACTATCTTAACCACTTTTAAGGTACAGTTTGGTGGGACTCAGTACTTTCTTTATGCTGTGCAACCCTCACCAGCATCCATCTCCAGAACTTATTTGATTCCAAACTGAAACTGTGTCCCCACTACACCCCGACTCCCCGCTTTCCCTGCCCCAGCCCGGCCCCGCCGCCTCCTTTCTGCCTCTGAGTCTGATGCCTCCAGGAACCTCGCGTAAGTGGGATCCTGCGGCATTTGTCTTTTGGTGCCTGGCTTATTTCAGTCAGCACAAAGCCCTCGAGACTCATCCACATGGGGTGTGTCAGAATCTCCTTCCCTTTTAAGGCTGAGTGGTGTTTTTAAACTTTTAAAACCTTGCACAACCCCAGAAGCGGGCACTATTGTCACGCACCCAGGGGCCACTGAGGCCCACGCCAGTGAGGAGGCCGACCCTTGTCCCACGGTCACTGCGTGTGGAGTGAGATTCATGACAGACAGGCTGGCCCAGAGCCTGCGTTCATTCTCTTTTCCAGCATTTTCTTGTGAAGAAGTTCAAACATACAGTAAAGTTGAAATAATTTTGCAGTCAACACCCACACACCCACCACCTAAATTCCATTAACAGTGAACTACACTCACTTTGATCAAATCTCCATTCCTCCCTCCCTCCCTCTTTCCCTCCCTCCATCCATGTTATTTTTGGATCCATTTCAGAAAACAACTGTGGACGCAAGCATGATTCACTCTAAATGGTTTTAGCTCAATTTCATTAGCTAGAGTGCAATCGTTGTTTACGTTTTAAGTGAAATTTCCATGCGGTGAAATGCACAAGTCTTAGATGTACGGTTCGCTGTTTTGGCAAATGTGAGCGCCCCTCAGCACCCTCCCTGATCAAGACATGGAAACCCCAGGAAGTTCCTTCCCCGCTCTTCCCAGCCATCCGTGTCCCTCCTCCACCCCTTGAGGCAACCATTGTCCTGACTGTTTCATCAAAAATAGTTTTTTTAGTCCCAGAACTTCATATAAGCCAGAGTCAGCATTGGAAACCGCCCATCGATAGCACCACTGGGTGAGGCGTTTTTCAAGGGCTGGGTTTCAGAACCGATATGCCTTTCCTACTCCATGGATCAGGGCCCTCCAGAGATTCAGAATCATAAACACACACACACACACACACACACACACACACGCTACATATAAATGTATATAAAATATGTAAATATATAAAAATGTTATATCTAAATCCACCACATTGATAACAGATAGCATTATATCTGTAAAATCATTTCTATGTGTGTGATTTTTAGGAGTTTTCTCTTGCAACTGTAGGGGCTGGCGAGCTCACGGTGTGCGGGTGCTGGCAGGCAGGACTCTCGGGCAGAATCCATGCTGTGGTCTTCCGGTGCAATTCCCTCTTCTCTGGAAAACTGCAGGCTTATTCTTTTTTTTTTTTTGAGAGGGAAATCCCATCTGTCCTCCAGGCTGGAGTGCAGTGGTGTGATCTTGGCTCACTGTAACCTCCGCCTCCCGGGTTCAAGCGATTCTCCTGCCTCAGCCTCCCAAGTAGCTGGGATTACAAGCACCCGCCACCATGCCCGGCTAATTTTTGTATTTTTAGTAGAGATGGGGTTTCACCATGTTGGCCAGAATGGTCTTGAACTCCTGACCTCAGGTGATCCTCCCGCCTCGGCCTCTCAAAGTGCTGGGATTACAGGCGTGAGCCACCATGCCCAGCTTGCAGGTTTGTTCTTCAGGCCTGCCATTGACCAGACGGGTCCCTGCATTGCAAGAAGAATCTCCTTGACTCCGGCAGCTGGTTGCTGACACCGACCACGTCCACCTGGCACCTGCACTGCAGTGTCCAGGCTGCTGCTTGACCGCCACTGCCCCCAGCCAGCTGAGCAACACATTAGATTTCCCTCCTGCACTGGACGCCTGCAAGTTGCCACCTCCTGCCCTGGCCCTGGTTAGGAATGTGGTAGGGAGGTTTCCAAGGTTGGGGGCAGGACCCAGAGACCCAGCCCCGGAGGAAGTCCTGATTCCATCTCAGGAGCCACTCTGCTGCGTTTCCTCATCTCTCTGGTCATGGGGGCGCCCATCCCGGGCAGAGCTGCAAATGGGGGGTGGGTGTGGCCACCAAGCCCCCTCCCCTGGTTGCCGGAAGAGCAGCTGTTGTGTAACAGAGGGATTCTCTGCACCGCTCCCCAGGACAGACCACTCCTTACAGCGGATGATCTGATTAGGTTTTAATGAGAATAATGTTGGCTTCGAGGAAGGAAGAATCCAGCAGTGTTTTGATGTCAGCCAGGCGTCTTGAACACTGCCCCCCCGCCAAACATTTGGAATCTGGCACGACCTGTCATGCAGTTTGGCGGGCGGGTCCCCCTCCACCCGCTTCGCGATGAACCCCATGTGCGTTTCCAGGGAGACGTGAGCCATGTGTCCCTTATTCACTTACACTTCGTTCATCAAAACACAGTTTTGTAAGAGCTAATTGGCACCGGGGTAGCCTTTCAAATCTTCTTTATAAGCCTCTTACCATCTCTCTGGTTTTGAGCCAAGTGTTAACAGAACCTCAACTTCAAAAGACTGAAGTTTGGTCTGAAACTCAGAGTGTGGGTGTCTGAGGGGTACTGAACTTGGCCGAACATTTTCTACTGATTTTAGGCTGAGCAGAGCCAGGCTGTTGGGAAAGATGCTGGAATCCAGGCAAAGTGAACTGGTTTTTTTCCCCACATATTTTCTAGGCTGACAACGGCCTTGAGCTGGGAATTTCATGGCCTCCCTGTCACCTGCCCGCTGTGGGCCTGGGCTGGCTCATGATCTACTGATTTTAGGCTGAGCAGAGCCAGGCTGTTGGGAAAGATGCTGGAATCCAGGCAAAGTGAACTGGTTTTTTTCCCCACATATTTTCTAGGCTGACAACGGCCTTGAGCTGGGAATTCCGTGGCCTCCCTGTCACCTGCCCGCTGTGGGCCTGGGCTGGCTCATGAGTGATTGTGACCTTGTGTCGGGTCGCTCATGTGTGATTGTGATCTTGTGTGGGGTTGCTGGTGTGTGATTGTGACCTTGTGCAGGTTCCAGAGGGGTCCAGGTAACTTCTTTCTTTTTAATAGTCCCTTTTCTCTTGCCAAAGAATGGGGCTTAGATAAGTCATTTTGTCCCCATCTCCTCTCCAGAACAGTTTGTTTATCTGTCCATTCATCCACCGGCTTCTTTAATCATTTGTATTGCACACCTGCCGTTTGGCAAGCACTGGGACGAGGGCTGGGCTTTGAGGATTAGCAAATGGCACCACGGGAGGCCTTCTGCAGAGCAAACTGGGAGCTGACAGCTAAGTAGAAAAATAAGACTCTGAGGCTGGGCTTTGTGGTGGCTGTGCCTGTAATCCCAGAGCTTTCGGAAGCCAAGGCGTGAGGATCGCTTGAGCCTAGGAGTTTGAGACCAGCCTGGACAACATCGTGAGACCCCGCCTCTACAAAAAATAAGAATTAGAATCTGAAAGGGCAGGAGGGGGGCCTCCTCGTGTGTGGTAGGGAGGACGCCATCTGGAAGGATGTGGGGAGGAGGACAGGACGAACATTCACGTTGGGGGACAGAGTGTTAGGGTCCCTGGGACACCAGGGGACAGGCCGGAAGTGTGTGCAGCTGTGGGTGGGAGGGTCGGCTGTGAAGAGGGTGGGGTTGAGGACAGGGCCCAGCTCACGCATGACTGCCATGAGGCAGAGGGATGAGGTGACGTTGGTACAGGAGGATGTACCTGTTGTTGCTGAAGTCAGGTTTGCTGGGATGTAATCTATGTCAGTAAAATCCACACTTTCAATTCCTGCTCTCTGAGTTTCGGCGAATGTGTACGGTTGTGTGAACAACATGGAAACGGAGGTGCAGGATGCTCTGTCACTCCCCCAGACTCCCTTGTGCCCTGGGAGTCAGCCCCTCCCCTGCGCCAGCCCCTGGCAGCCCCCCTCTGATTTCTGTCCTGGAGGTGATTTTGCATGTTCCAGAACGTCATCGAGGTGGAGTTCTCCAGTACGCAACCTTTCACCTACCAGAGTGCGTTTGGCGATCCAGGTTGCAGCCTGTCTCCATCCTTCTTAGTCCTAAGCTGAGTCCGGGGTTTAGAGGCACCAGCTGTGGTGGTCCATCCACCTGCCGAAGGACGTTTGGGCCGATTCCGGGTCTGCCAACTGGACACAGAGCTGCTGTGAGCCTTTGTGCCCAGGTCGGCCTTTGTGCTCACATTGGCCGTCTGCCCCTCAGTCCCAGCACCCAGCCAGTGCTCCAGGAATGTTTGTAAGGGCTTTGGCGTGTGCATGTTGAACAAACCCTTCTCCAGAGCGGCCATGCCACGTTCCCACCAGCGGTGCATGAGGGTTCCCGTGGCTCCTCTGCCTCTGGCACGTGGGCCCACCAGTCTCTCTGGGGTCGGCCCTGCCAATGGGGTGCAGTGGCACCTGGCTGGGGTTTCGAGATGCATTTCCCTAGTGACTAGTGATGTTGCGTGCCTTACATGGACTTCAGCTGCTGTTTTTAGGATGCATTTATGGGGGGCATGGTGCAGGAGCACAGGCTGGAGGAGGACAGAGCACCCGAGTCCCACTTGTGGCTGCTGACTTACTGTGTGACTGTGGGTGAGTCACTTAACCTCTCTCAGCCTCACTTCCTATCACTGTGTTTCTTTTCCACCTTTATCTAAAGAGGTATATTTGACAAATGGAAATTGAATAGAGTTAAGGCATGTAATGTGAAGCTTTGGTGTGCGTATACACTGCCGAATGATTACCACAATCCAGCTAATTGTCACATCCATCGCCCTACAGTGACCTTTGTGTGTGATGAGAATGCTTAGGACCTGCTCTTCTCAAATTTCACATACGCAATCGATTATTCTGAACTAGAGTCACCAGGCTGTGCACTAGATCCCCAGGACGTATTCACTGTACAAGTGAAAGTTCTCACTCTTTGATGGACACCTCTCCATTCCCCCCCTGTTCCCAGCCCCGGCAACCACGGCTCTACTCTCTGCTTCAGTGAGTTCAACTTTTTTAGATGCCACATGTAAGTGAGATCGTGCAGTGTTTGTCTTTCTGCACCTGGCTCATTTCACGTGGCATGACGTCCTCCAGCCTCCTCCACGTCATCACAGATGACAGGACGGCCTTCTTTTTAAAGGCTGTAGCATGCTCTGTCATGTCTATACCACACCCTGCTTGTCTGCTCGTCTGCCAAGCAGCCCTTGGGATGGTTCCTTTCTTGGCTGTTGTGAGCAGGTCCGACACATCTCAATGATGTACTGATTTCCTTTCCTTTGCATAGGTACCCGTTGATGGGGTTGCAGGATCATATGGTAGTTTTATTTTTAATTTTTTGAGGAACCTGCATACTGTCCTCCCCGGAAGCTAACTGACTTTCCCCCCAACTGCGAGCAAGTGTTGCTGCTCCACACCCAGTGCCAGGGGTAGCAGGGGACAGCGGACTTCCCTGAGCTGCCGCGAAGGCCAGGGTCCAGGCACAGGAGGGGAAGTGCATCACAGTTAAACACTCACCCTAGGACAACCTCTAGGAGGTCAGCATTGTAGTAGTACAAATGTCTTTTAAATATACATTTATCTAAATTTAAGAGAGAAGCTAATTTTAAAGAAATACGTTAAATAAATAACAAGGTAGGCATTTTCCAAGGTAGGCATGATGGAGATTTGGCAAAAGTCATGAGGATGCACATGTGAGTGATGTTTGGGAATCCCTGAAATAATGCAAAGGGCCTTGGCCTGTTCTAGCCCCAGCTCCAGCCCAGGTAGCAGTGGCCCATCTGCCACCTGTTCCAGGAGCATGTTGAGAATTCGAAGTGATCACTGTCCCAGGCACTTGCCTAGGAACACCTGGAGTTGTGTGGAGCATGTTTCAGAGACTGCACCCAGGAGCTCAGTGTAAGAACTTGCTCCTGATGGTGCCAGCCCAGGCCCAGCCTGCCCTGCTGTATCTCAGAAAGCTCCTGAAGCAGGAACCCTACCTTTCTGCCAGGATGACACAAGCAAAGAATGTCAGGCTCATAATCTTGGCTTCAGATACACACACATAAAAATAATCACATTCTTAAGTCCTATGATCAGGTACTGTGTCTCCATGATCTCCAATGAATAGTCCCAAATGTTAGCTTATGAAAAATGCACAGACTCTGTGGTTAAATACGGACATTGTAGAGAGTTTATAAACAGGTGGAAGACCCATCGCTGGGTTACCCTGGGGAGAAACGGTCTTTATCCTGAGATCATGTCCTTCCTGCTGTGTGATGGAATGACAGTGACAGTAGAGGGTGATGTATTTGTTGGGGTTAGTCTTTAAAATGTGGGAATAAAAAATGATTTTGTTAAAAAAACTCAAAATTTTACTGCTATTTGGACATCTGGTTCTGACTAATATGGGGTAACAGGAACGGGGATTTACCCTCCTGCTGCTGTAAACTACTAGAAAACTGGATGAAGTGTTCAGAGCATCATGTTCAGACATTGGACAACAGATAGCTCAAGACTGTGATCCCTGTGAGAAAGGACACAAGTGTCCCATGGAGGTGCCAGCTCACTGCCATGAGGGGAGAGGAGATCAAGGTGACCATCTTGCTGAGTAGAGGAGATAGAAACGAGTTCAGGGAGGACAAATAGCAAGAACCAGAGGGCAGAGTACTGGAGAGGAAAGCACTGCCCAAAGAGAGCGCCAGAGGTCTGCAGAGAGGGCCCCTGGGGTTTTGGCTAAGCGTTGATCTGTGTGTGCATGTGAAGAAACAGCTGAAGGCTGGGGAAACACCCACCTGAAAGGAGCAGGCAGAACAATACTTGGAGCTCACACAGGGTGGGGGACAGGGTGGGGGACAGTTTATGTTCCCACCAGCCAGAATGGGAAGACTTTATAATATGAGAATCCTCAGAAGGGTGTTGCCTGAGAAATGGTGGTAAATTAGCCATAGCCTAAGGCTGTTTTGGACCCACCCTGACAACATTTAAAAGCAAGTCTCAGAAAGATCGAACTGATTCCAAATAACTTCATTGCACATAAAGTCCAACGCTATTCAAAGGAGTACAACAAAAGCCAGAAATCAACAATGAATTTTCACGATGTCTGGCATTTGGTCAAAAATAAGAAGATATGCAAAAAATTAAGATCCATAATTGGAGGTGGGAGTGGGGGTGGGAATCAATCATAAGTGACAGATGATGGAATTCACAGACAAGGATGCTAATCAGCTATTAAAAATGTTTTCCATGTGTTCAAGAAGGAGGAAGAAAACAGGGTCATGTAAGGAGAGAAATTAAGCATATAAAAGGTCACAAGCGAAGCTTTTAGAGATAGAAATTTAATACCTGAAATGAAAAATACACTGGATGGGATTCACAGAATAGAGGAAAAGATCATTGAGTCTGAAGCTAGAGAAACTATAGCTATAGCTATAGAAACTGTTCGAATCAAAGCAGAGAAAAAAGTCTTAAAAAACAAAAACAAAAACAGGATACTGGTGACCTGTGGGATAATATCAAAGCATCGTGTCTGTGTGTAAGTGGAGATCTAGAAAGAGAAGAGAGGCAGGGACAGAAAAATGTTTTGAAGAAATAATGGCCAAACGTTTTTTGAATTTGTTGGAAAGTATAAACCCACAGATCTAAGAAGCTTGATAGATCCCATGTAGAATAAATACCAAAAGAGCCACATCAAGGCATGTTATAAACAAATTTCTGAAAGCCAGTGATAAAGAGAAATCTTAGAAGCAGCCAGATAAGAAAAAACATATTATGTATAGAGGAAGAAAATATGAGAGACAGCAGATCTCTTGACAGAAACCATGCAAGCTAGAAGGACATGGGAAGACATCTGTAATATGCTAAGGAGGCAGTAGGTGGGGAGAACCTGCCAAGAATGATTTTTTTAACTCAGTAAAAATATCATTCAAAATTGGAGATAATGACTATTTTATACAAATAAAAACTGATGGAATTCATTGTCAGCAAATCTGTTCTACAAGAAATGTTAAAGGCTTCCTTCAACATTTCTTTATTTTTCTTCTTTCAGCAGAAGAAAAATAATTCCAGATGGAAATTTAGAGTGACACAAATCAGTGAAGAGTAATTACAGAGATAAATGCAAAAGATAGATAAATGCATTTTCCTCAATCATTCACTGTTTAAAACAATTTATTTTGGGGTTTATAGTATATGTGGAAGTAAAATGTATGACAATAATAGCACAAAGAATGAGGGTTGGGGGAATGGAAGTGCACCACTCAGTGATTCCTACCCTCTGTGAAGTGGAACAATATCATTTGAAAGTAGACTGTGATAAGTTAAAATACATATTATAAACTCTAGAACATTCAATAAAAATTAAAAATTAAGGGATAGCTAATAATTCAATAGTAGGATAAAAGAGAATCATTAAAAATAAGACCCTCGATTAATCTAAAAGAAGGCATGAAAGAAGAAAAGAAGAAAGAAAGAACAGATGGGGGAAAATAGAAAACAAATAGCAAGAAGATAAATTTAAATCAAACATAATCAATAATTACATTAAATGTAAATTATCTAACCTCCAAATTATGAACAACAATTGTAAGATACAGTAAAGAAGGAAGACCGAAGTATATGTTGCCTACAAGAAATGCAATTTAAATATGAAGCACAAGTAGGTTAAAAGTAAGAGGGTAGAAAAAAGATATATCATGCTAACACTAATCAATAGAAAGATAGAGTGGCTCTATTAATGGCAAACAAAAGAGATTTGCTAGCAAAGCATATTAGTGGAGATAAAGACAGTTATTTCATAATGATCAAGTTGTCAGTTCATGAAGGGGACACAAAATCCTAAATATGTACATTCTTAAATACAACTTAACTTACATGAAGCAAAACTTGATAGAACTGAACAGAAAAATAGAGAAATTCAAAATTATAGCTGGAGGCTTCAGTACCCCTGTATCAGTTCAGTCAGAGTGTAACCAGAGGAGCAGAATTTGTCTGTCGTCTGTCTGTCTGTCTATCTATCTATCTATCTATCTATCTATCTATCTATCTATCTATCATCTATCTGTAGTTGATCCTTGAACAACATGGGTTTGAACTGCAGGGTCCACTTATAGGTGGATTTCCTCCCACCTCTTCCAGCCCTGATACAGCAAGATTAGTCCCCTCTTCTTCCTCCTCTGCCTCAGCCTACCCAATGTGAAGATAATGAGGATGATGACCTTTACAATGATCTACTTCCACTTTACCAATAGTAAATATATTTCCTCTTCCTTATGGTTATAATATTTTTCTCTAGCTTTATTGTAAGAATACAGTATATAATACACATACAAAATATGTATTAATAACTATTTCTGTTATTGGTAAGGCTACTGGTCAACAGTAGGGTATTCGTAGTTAAGTTTCTGGGGAGTCAAAAGTTATTTGCAGATTTCTAATTGTGCAAAGGTTGGCACCACAACCTCTGCATTATTCTAGGGTCAACCGTGTGTGTGTGTGTGTGTGTGTGTGTGTGTGTAAATGAAATTGGCTAATGTAATTGTGAGGGCTGTCTGCAAGTGTGAACATGGGCTGACATGACACAGACACAAGCTGGAGCTGTTGTTCATAGGAGAAATTTCTTCTTTCCTTTGGGAAAGGCTTACTGAGCTTTTAAGATCTTCTGACTGATTAAGTCAGGCCCTGCCAGGATAATCTCCCCTACTTAACATGGACTGATTATAGACTTTAGTGACACCTGCAAAATCCCTGCACAGTAGCACCTAGAATAGATTTAGATTGGGTAACTGGGACTGTAACCTCACCAACAGACACATCAGAAAGTCATCACAGCCCTCTCTCAACAACTGATAGAATAAGCAGACAGAAAGTCAGTAACATATGGAAGACTTGAAGAACGTTACCAATCAGCTTTCCTTAATTGGCACTTACAGAAAATTCCCTCTAACCACAAAATAAACATGGAACATTCATCAAAGTGGACTATATTCTGGGCCATGAAATAGATACCACTAAATTTAAGAAGATTAAAATCATACAATATATGTTTTCTGACCACAAGAGGATTAATTTAACTAGATATCAGTAACAGAAAGATGTCTGGAGACTACCTAAATATTTGAAATTAAAGAACACACTTCTAAATAACTCATGTTTCAAAGAAGAAATCACTAAGAAAATTAGAAAATATTTGGAACTGCATGAAAACGGAAATGCAATCCATCACACTGTATAGAGTTCAGTTAAAGCCGCACTTCAGAGGGAAATGTATAGCATTCAATGCTTATGTTAGAAGAGAAAAAAGGTCCCAAATCAGTTATCACCTTGAGAAACTAGAGAAAGAAGAGCAAATTAAACTCAACCACCCAGAAAGGAGAAGAGAAAAAAAGGAAGAATCAGTAAAACAGAAACAGAGGAAATCCGTTTCACTGGTCCTTTTAATTCTGGAGTTGGAGGACACTGCCCTGATCTCTATGATGATCTAGGAATTATCCTACCTTAATCTGTATGATTATCCTTCCTAAGTCATAGACGACAAATAGGCTCAGAAACACCAGGTGGCTAGTGTGTGGTGAAGCTGACTCAAACCAGGCCCTCTTGCTTGTAGAAGTTCCCACCTGCCTCCTGCCACCCCAGGGCTACTCCACTCCCAGAGGGCTGGGGGGTCTCAGCCTGATGGCCTGAGGACGTCTGGCACCCTGCACCCACCGAAGCTCATAAAATGCTTCCATTAGATGGGGATCCTGAGTTATTAGTACCAGACTGCACGGAGCTCACAAGTTCCAGCCTTCTGTCCATCATCACGCAGGGCCTCCTGCTCTCCACCCTGGGATGCTTTTGTCTTGGGAGATGCCAGAGTGAGCTGACATCACTGGCGCTGCTCCTTGAGGCCATCCACCCAGAGATGTGCAGTGCAGAGAACATGATGGATTGGACCTGGGCCTGGGGGAGCTGGCTGGGACACCCGTGTGCTTTCCATCAACATTTCAGAGGCGTCAAAGAAGGAGATTTGTTCTGCAGTGCCAAGGAGCTTGGCCAGGCCATGCCTCCAGCCCCTGCCAGGAGCTTCTCCACTAGGGCGTTGGATAGCAGAGAGGCAATGGCGGCCTCCACACACCACCCTCTCTCCCATGAAATTAAAGAGCTGCTACAAGAAGTCTCAATCTTGAAACTCAAAGAAATATGAAAAAAAAATGAAGGTGGGGAAGTTGTTATCATGATGACCATGTGTTTGTCCTTGGCAGGTTGCTAAGCTGCCTGCGGTGGGTCGGCCCGTGGCCTGCCGGCCCACATACAGCCCCAGCCTCTGCCACAACCCCCAACGCCCAGCGCAGCTTCTGGCTCACTCATCTGCTTTGCAGTAAGTTTGGGTCAAAAGAGGCCTTGAGAGGAGAGACAACCCAACCAGAACAGATGCAGCACGGAACACGTACGGGGTCGTAAATGCAGAAACGACAGATTCTTCCATCCCACCTTGAAAGTTTTGGCAAGGCGGGGCGTAGCTCGTGTGTCTGTGGCCGGTCGCAGGGAAGCCTCATCCGGGAATGGGATGGGCTTTTCCCAGGTCATAGAAACCTCGAGGCAAAGGAGAAGGCACCTGTGCACGTCTCTGGTGACTGACAGGTGATAATGTTTGACTGACAGGTGATAATGTTTGTTTGACTGGAGCAGAAACATTTCTGGACTAATTCACCCCTTCGCTCATCTGGATAGAAAAAGAGGGGCATGCCGGGCAGGGAGAGAGTGAGAACATAGAAGCAGATCAAGGGGACCCGAGCTGAACTCATGTGCCAAACTATACACACCGTGGGCCTGACTTTCACTACACAAATGCAAGGTTGAATTAGGCACAGCAAATTCAAATGCTATTTATTGAAGGCTGGAGGTGTCCAGGCTCTTGCAGCTTGTGGAATGGTCCCCTCTTCCCCACCCTGCTCCCCACTCTCCCAGTCCTCACCCCCCACTGGCAAATGAACTTGCGTTTCCTTCCATGCAAGTCCATTGAAATCAGGATATTAGTTATATTTGAAGCGACATATTCTAAAGTTACTCGGAAAGAAAAAGGTATCAGTTTTCCATCAAGGCACTTCCCATCTCACACGTGGTCCTGGCGATGTGCCCCTGACACCGAAACCAGCAGACCCTGCCTGTGGCTCCCCGGCCAAGATCAGGCACAGCCAAGGCTTGGCTTGGCTTTTCTGTTGCATCAGAGTGAAACTCGCTCACCAGATTCCTCCTGCATTTAAACCGGGCCTCGTACTTTTATTTTTTTATCTTTTTGAGGCAGGGTCTCACTCTGTTGCCCAGGCTGGAGTGCAATGGCGCAATCTCGGCTCACTGCAACCTCCACCTCCCGGGTTCAAGTGCTCCCCCTGCCTCAGCCTCCCGAGTAGCTGGATCTACAAGCATGCACCACCACACCTGGCTAATTTTTTTTGTATTTTTAATAGAGACGGGATTTCACCATGTTGGTCAGGCTGGTCTTGAGCTCCTGACCTCAGGTGATCCACCCACCTCAGTCTCCCAAAGTGCTGGGATTAAAGGTGTGAGCCACTGCACCCGGCCGGCCTTGTACTTTTGAGGCGGTGTTGACTCTTGCAATCCATAGCTTTGAGAGCTCCCCATCCGAATCTCAGGCACACTTGACTTTTTCACTCTCGTAGGAGTGATCTCCTTAGTCCATCGATCAAACTGCTGAGAGCAGGCCATGGCCTGCCTGCTGTCATGGCCCGTGAAGCAGAATTGGAGATGAGAGGGGAGGACCTGGGCTGGAGAGTGGGCAGGAGGAGATCCTGCAAACAGGGAACTGAGAGAGGGGAGGGAGGAGGAGGGTTTGAGAGTGGGGAGGGGAGCTGGGGGTGCTCCCTGAAGACCAGGAGGAGAGGAAGGAGGGGAGCTGCAGGCTATGAACGGGGCTGCAGGTTATGAATGGGGCACTCCGGCGTTCTGAGAACTGAGCACTCCGACATTCTGAGAACTGGGCACAGGGGCACCAGGCCCTAAGTGAGTTCTGCTCCGGGGTGGCCGGGCCCGAGAGCACTGACGTCCAACGGGAGTGTCGCTGCCCACCGCCTCCCACAAGAGGACACTTCGATTTGCCAGAGAAGGGCAGAGTGGGAGATGACTTTTTCTCAGCATCTTGCCTCATTTTCCTCTTCCCAGAGGTTTGTTTTTAAGGAAGTTTAAGCTTGCTGCACTGGAAAAGCAAAAAACAATATTTTGTAAAATAAATATTTGTTTTGTGCAGACTTAGGCCTTTCCACATATTGGTTTTTCTTGAAGAGGAGACACAACCACAGCAGGGGTGAGGAGAAGAGAGATGCAGTCACTCACTCATTCAGGAATAATCTTTGAGTTGAAACTGCAGTCTGCTCTTGGCCAAAGGTAGGGTGCTGACCACCTTCACCTGGAGGCCGCCTTCACCTGGAGGCCGCCCACCACCTTCACCTGGAGGCTGCCCTTGCTCTTTCAGGATCCTCTTTCATGGGTTTCTGCAGAGCCACGGGGTCAGAGCACATATGTGGGCCATGAGGACTTTTCCTTTGCACCCCAACACATCTCTACCCGTCCTCCCTGCACCCCCAACCCGAAGACGGGCGTGTGATCCTGTGGGTGGGTGCATGGTCCGTGTGTGTAATTTTGTCCGGAGCAGTAATTCTCGGAGTGGGCCCCAGACCCGCAGTGTAAGCATTGCCTGGTGCTGTGGTTTGGACGTGTGTCCCCTCCACATCTCATGTTGAAATGTATCCCCAGTGTTGGAGTGAGGCCTACGGACAGGGGTTTGGGTCAAGGGTCAGATCCCTCAGGAATGGCTTCCTGCCGACCCCACCTGCCAGTCATGAGCGGGCCCTTGCTCAATTAGTTCCTGCGTGAGCCAGGTGTTAAAAGAGCGTGGCCCCTCCCTCCCTTTGGCTTCCTCTCCCACTGTGCCCTCTGCACACATGGCTCCCCTTCACCCTCCACCCTAAGTGGGAGCAGGCTGAGGCCCCACCAGAAGCAGATTCTGTTGCCAGGCTTCTTGTACAGCCTGCAGAACTGTGAGCCAAAGAGACCACTTTTCTTTAGAAGTTGCCCGGCCCCAGGTGTCCCTTGATAGCCACACAAATGTTCACCTGTGAACTTGCTATAAATTCAGATTCTCAGGCCCCACCCAGACCTGCTGAGTCAGAAACTCCAGCAGGGGCCTGGAAGTCTGCCTTTTACCAGGAACCTGTGTGATTCCCATACAGAGTTTGAGAACCTCTGGTCTCTGGAACTGCATGCTTTAAATGGGTGCATTTTACGTATGTGGATTATATCTTTAAAAAGATATCCAAAGACAAACAAAAAGATAATTGACTACCTGAAGCAAAGACGGGAAAAGTGTATTGTGGGGTTTGTAACATGCAGAAGCAAATCTGTGGTAACAACAGTACCAAGGATGGGAGGCAGGAAGTACAGGCGCTGCTGTCAGGTTACTACATGTATGTGAAGTGGTAGAATATTGTGTAATGGCAGACTGAGAAGCTACAGCTGTAACTTTATCATAAGCCCTATTGCAACCATGAATAGCTACACTAAGAGGTATAACAAGGCAATAGTGAAGATGAAATGAAATAATAAAAAAATACTCAGCAGCCCTGCCTATGGAGTAGCCATTCTTTTATTCCTTTACTTTCTTAATAAATTGGCTTTCACTTTAAAAAAAGTTCTTGATCCAATAGAAGGAAGAAAAAAGGAAAAATTATTTAAAAAGAACAGATGAGACAATACAAAATAAGTGTCAAGGTGGTAGATTTAAATTCAACTTCCCAATAAAAATATCCAGATTTTTAGGTTGGGTAGATATAAAAACAAGATCCAACTCTATGCTGTCTACAAAAGAAAAAAAATAACATAAAAACATAAGTGGATTGAAGGTAAGGGACAGAAATAGTTATATTCTGAACTATTAAAAGAAAGCTGGGGCAGAGATGTTAGTATCAGATAAAATAGACGTCCGAACAAGGAATATTACCAGAGATGAATAGATACATTATATGATCCTGAAAGTGCCATTCTGGCCAGGCACGGTGGCTCACACCTGTAATCCCAGCACTTTGGGAGGCCGAGGTGGGCGGATCACCTGAGGTCAGGAGTTCGAGACCACCCTGGCCAACATGGTGAAACCCTATCTCTACTAAAAATATAAAAAAATTAGCCGGGCGTGGTAGTGGGTGTCTGTAATCCCAGCTACTCAGAAGGCTGAAGCAGGAGAATTGCTTGAACCCAGGAGATGGAAGTTGCAGTGAGCCAACATGGTCCCACTGCACTCCAGCCTGGGTGACAGAGTGAGACTCTGTCTCAAAAAATAAACAAACAAACAAACAAAGTGCCATTCTGTAGGAAAATATAGCAGTTGTAAATATGCTTGCACCTAACAGCAGAATTTCAAAACACATGGATCACAAAGTAAAGAAGAAATAGAAAAATCCCTGAGTATCGTTGGAAACTTCAATACTCCTCCAATACTCCTCTCTGTAAGCTATAGAACAAGTAGACAGGAAACCAGTAAGGATATAGAACCCTGAATCACAATATCATCCAAATTGATTGATTTGACATTTATTAAGCAATACTTTCAATATTAGCAGAATATACACTTTTTTTTTTTTTTTGAGACGCAGTCTCGCTGTCGCCCAGGCTGGAGTGCAGTGGCACGATTTCAGCTCACTGCAAGCTCTGCCTCCCAGCTTCAAGCAATTCTCCTGCCTCAGCCTCCCGAATAGCTGGGACTACAGGTGCCCGCCACCACGCCTGGCTAATTTTTTGTATTTTCAATAGAGACGGGGTTTCACTGTGTTGGCTAGGGTGGTCTTGATCTCCTGACCTCGTGATCCACCCGCCTCGGCCTCCCAAAGTGTTTGGATGACAGGCGTGAGCCACCACTCCTGGCCAGAATACACACTTTTGTACAAATGCACATGGAGCATTCACCAAGATAGACCATATTCCAGGCCATAAAACAGATCTCAACAAATTTTAAAAAGTGAAGTTATGTGAAATATGTGGCCACAACAGAATTAAGCCAGAAATTAATAGTATGTCTCTTCAAATATTTGGAAGTTAAAGAACATATTTTAAAATGACTCATAGATCAAAAAATCCAAAGAGAAATTAGAAAAAAAAATTAATTGAGCAAAAAAGAAAATACATATGACAATTTGTAGGTGCTGGCAAGGCAGTGCTTGGAAGAACATTTATAGCATTAAATGTATATATGTGAAAAGAAGAAAGTTCTCCAATCAGTAATCTAAGCTTCTACCCTTAAAAGCCTAGAAAAGGAAGAGCACAATAAATTCGAAGTAAGGAAAAGAAAGAATATGATAATGATCAAAGCAGAAAGACTGGAAACAAAGTCAGAATGTCACTCTCATCACTCTTATTAACACTGTGCTAGAGGTTCTAGCCACTGAAATAAAGCCAGGAAAAGAAGTGAAAGGCATGCAGATTGGAAATAAGACATAAAATTGCCTTTATATGCACTCAACATGATCATCTATGTAGAAAATCCTAAACAATCTACCAGCAAATGTGTAAGAGCTTATACATTTAGCAAAGTTGCTGGACATAAGGTTAATGTATGAAAACCAATTGTATTTCCGTATACTAGCAGTGGACAATAGGAAATTGAATTTAAAAACAATATTCACCATAACATCACAAACATGAAATACTTAATGATAAATCTTACAAAATATGTGCAAAATTTGTTTACTTAAAACTATAAGATGTTGATGAGAAAAAATACAAGAAGACCTAAATAAATGGAGAGATGTACCATGTTCATGGATTTGAGGACTCAGTATTGTTAAGATGTAAATCCCTGCAAACTGAGCTATAGATCCAATGGAATCACAATCAAAGTCTCATCAGCCTTTTTTTTTTTCTTTTAGAAACTGCAAGCTAATTCTAAACTTATATGAAAATGAAAAGGCACTTAAATAACTCACACAACTTTGAAAGAGAAAATCTTCCAAATCTTCTTTGGAAGATTCACACTTGATTTTTGCAAGAGGTACAATAATGCCACTGTAATCAAAACAGTGTGATATTGTCATAAGGACAAACAAGTCGGTCAACAGAACAAAATAGAGTCTTGGAAATAAACGCATGTATATATGGTCAATAGATCTTTTTCAACAAAGTGCCCACATAACTTGTTGGGATAAAGATACTCTTTCCAACAAATGGTTCTGGAATAGCTGGACATAAGTCTCCAAAAACAGAGAGAAATGAATCTCAACTTATACCTTACATTAAATACAAAATCTAAATCACAATGGTTGTAGACCTAAAGGTAAAATTTAAAACCGTAAAACATCTAGAAGAAAACAAAAAACTGCTTTGTGAGAATTTGATAGTCAAAGATTCTTAGATAGGATACAAAAACATAACCCTAAAAGAAAAAACTGACAAGCTGAACTTTATCCAAATCAAAAGCCTCTGCTCTTTAAAGACATACTTAAGAAAACGAAGAGACAAACCACAGACTAGAAGAAAGTATTTACAAAACACATTTCTGATAGAGGACTTGTACCCACAATATTTAACTCTTAGAACTCAATACTAAGAAGACAAATATAATCCACTAAAAAGTAGGTAAAAGATTTGAAATAACACATGAAATAATACCTAAGATGTTTAATAAGATGTTTAACATCACTAGTCATGAGGGAAATTAACATTTAAAGCATTATGAATCACCACTGCCAGGTGCTGATGAAAATGCAGCGCGCCTGGAGTCGCGGGCGTTGCTGGCGGGGGTGGAAAACGGGGCTGCCATTTGGAAGACAGTTGAGCTGATGAGTTGAACGTACCCTTAACATAGGCTCCAGCAATCCCACTCTCAAAAGAAATGAAACTGCACGTCCCCACCAAACCTGCACGCAAACGTCTGAAGTGGCTTCACTCACAACAGCCCACATGCCCATCCACAGGTGAACCCGTGAGCAACTGTGGTACCTCCACCTGTCCCACAACCTACAACTCAGCAGTACCAAGGGCTGGACGCTGGTGCCACCACACGGGTCCCGCGAAGCCTGCTGCGAAGTGAAGGAAGCCAGACACAAAAGTCTCCATCCTGCGGGAGTCACTCACAGGACAATTCTGGAGGACGCAAAGCTGTAGGAGCGAGGAGAGACAGGTGGTGGTTGGGGGCCGGGAAGGGGCCTGACTGCAGAGGGGCAAAATGTGGGCTGCCTCTGTCGGGGCAGAAGTGCCCCACTCTAGACCCTTACCAAGTCGTCGGCTGTACATCGAAAACGGGTGAGCCTTATGTGTGTACGTGATACCGCAATAAACCTGACTTGTAAAAGCAGCATGTGAGGTCATTAGCCCAGGACCCGGCCACAGGAGGGGGCGCACGGTGAAAAGGAGACCCTGCTGGGCCCACCTTGCCCGGTGGGTGGGACAGGGAAGAGTCCCTGGAGAAGGCGGCCCATGGGCTTGGGGGAGGGAGGTCCTCTAGGGAGTGGGGAGAGCCACTCCCGTCTTCCTGGGGCTCTTCCTTGCCACCCCAGCCCTTTCCCAGCTTTCTGTTCCTACCGGGAAGGAGGAACGCAGAGGTGCCGGAGTCTCCGGCACTTTGAGGCGGGCAGAAGTGGAAGCTTGAAGTGGGCATAGATTTGCCCCTCCCCTGCCCGGGCTGGGATCTGCACTGTGGCCCCCGTGTAAACAGACGAGACGACCCTCACATCCCAGGGAGAGCCTCACGTGGCTGGGACTGATTCTAGAGCCCCTAACTCAGCTCCGTGCTAGGGAAGACCGATCACCACAGGCTGAATTCCGGGGTCACGGCAGCGTGGCACCCAGCCTGGCAGTGTGGGGAGTGGGGCCACCAGAGCCTCCAGGGACAGGAGGGCACAGCAGTACAGCCCCTGCTAACCTTGGCAAGCAGGAGGGCGCCGTGATTAAACGTATGATTTCTGCCACCTCCAAAGCCGCAGCCAATGAGAAGGCTATTTTAGCAAAACTGGAAAGAAAAATGCAATTTTTCTTGGCCACATCGTCTTCGTTTCCTCTGCTCCTGGCGTTCGGTTTGTTTGTCTCTTCTCACTACTGAGAGGCAGTTTTGCCAGCCTGTGCCTCCCGCCGGCTGTGGCTCGAGGTGTGGACGCCCGCGCCACCTTCCCGTTCCCGTTTCAGGGGGGAAGCTGCAGAGTTCTGGAGCTGTGAGTAGCACCGCTGTCACCGCAAAGCAGAACCCCCAGTGATTAGGGACGCTCCACGGACTTCACGGCTGCGCGGCCGGCATCACGGGCTGCTGTTGCTCCAGCGTGTTGGGACGTGCGAGAGGCATTTACGACCTCAGCGACACATTCCCTCAACCTCATCACGCTGCAAGTGCTGCCAGGGTGTGTTCAGGGGACACTCCCTCTCGGGCTGGCTTGTGCGGGGACACGTGCGTGCACACAGACACGGACTCACATAAATGCAATCCACATGCACTCACAATAGGCTCTTATGCACAGACCCTCACACTCATGTGAACACACTCATGCACACGCAAGACTTACATATTCACACTCACACCCGTGGGCACACCCAGACATGGATACACACTCATACAGGCACACACGTATCCAGACACCCACGCACAGACACACTCACACCCACGGGCACACCTAGACATGGATACACACACAGGTAGTCACAAGCACTCACATATCCAGACACCCATGCGCACACTCACACTCACAGGCACACCCAGACATGGATACACAGGCACACACATATTGGGACACCCACGCATAGACACATTCACACACGGGCACACCCAGACTGATGCACACGAACACAGACATGCACTAGTATAGCCAGACACCCAGGCACACTCAAACTCTCACAGTCACACATTCACATACACTCACATGAATACAGTGCATGCACACACAAACACATACCTATACACTTGTGTGTGCAGAGAACACACACTCACACATTTGCACTTATACTCACATGAATACAATAGAAACACATGCATACACACTTGTGTGCCCAGACCCACACACACATTTGCACACTCACATGACTATAATACATGCACACATGCATACATACATGTGACCAGACCCACACCCACTCACATTCGCACTCACACACACGTGAATATAGTACTCGCACACACACGCATACACATGTGCCCAGACCTACAGACACACATTTGCACACTCACACACGTGAATATAGTATATGCACACACTCATGTGCCCAGACCCACAGACACATTCGCACACTCACACACGTGAATATAGTACATGCACACACACGCATACACACTCGTGTGCCCAGACCCACAGACACACACATTCGCACACTCACACATGCGAATATAGTACTCGCACACACACGCATACACGTGCCCAGACCTACAGACACACTCGCATTTGCACACTCACACGTGAATGTAGTATATGCACACACACACTCATGTGCCCAGACCCACAGACACACACATTCACACCCTCACACATGTGAATATACATGCACACACACGCATACACACTCGTGCCCAGACACACACACACTCTCACAGATTCGCACACTCAGAGTGCCCCTCTCCCACTCACAGGCCTTGTCCTGGGGACGAGTCAAGCCGTCAGGTACCTACACTCTGAGCTCCCGGATCACTGGGCCGACACCGGAGGCTGCTGCTGTTCCTGGTCCGTCTTACTGTGGAGTGTATTAGACTGCGGGGGCGTCCACAAGGGGGGTGTGGGTGGGCCCGGAGACCTTTCTTCCGGGAGGCCAAGTTTCCAAACCCAGTCCTTCACGTTCAAGGATGCCCTCTCCCTGCAGGATCCTGGACTTGTCATGGGGTCTGGATTAGGTTATGCTAATGGCATCCACACTTGGCCTTTCCCCTCTTTCCTTATAAATCAGCCAACATTGGGAGGCCATGGGCTTCGCCAGAAGCCTCTGGAGACAGAGCTGCTCCTTTCCAGCAGGCCAGGCTGACCGGGGAGGCTGCAGCCCCATCGTGTGCTGGGGGAAGGTGAGCCAGGCTCCCATCACGTGCCGGGAGCTGATCTTGGCAGGTCGCGTCCTCCCGAAGCCTGCACTTCAGCCCCAGGGTTTTCCGACCGCCTCTGCTCCCAGAGGGGACCCTCAGGGGCGAAGAGGCCGAAGACAGCACCGAGACCTCAGTGTCGGGCGCGGGTGCTCCCAAAGCGCAGCGGGCCCACCTCCCCCGGCAGAGGATCGTGCGGCAGTCAAAGTCGCACACGGGGCTTCTGAGATGTGCGGCCCGGGCCTAAGAGCTGCATGTGTTGAAGCCGCTCCGGGTTGGAAAATGTATGTAAAGTAAAATAAACACGGCTCTCGCTGGGAGGGCTCCGGCATCCAGGGTTCTGGCGGAGCGGGGGGATGCGGTCAGCCAAAGCATTTGAGGAAGCGGCTGTGACTCACGGGGCCTGAGCTGCAGAGGAGCTGGCTGCCGAGATGCAGGACACGCCGGAGACACTGGACCCGGGACGCTCAACACACCCTGCCCCCCACTGCAGAGACGGGCTCCAGGGAGGCACAATGGCAGGCTTTGTCTCGGGAGAAAGTTCTAGCAGCCCTGCAGGTGGGGCGGCTGGGAGGCCCTGGGGTATGAAGACGATGTAGCGGGGCCCTCTGGAAGGCAGGGCTGGTGGGCGTCTGGCCAGCAGGTCAGGACTAGCTGAGGTGTCTGTGGAGACCCCCAGGGTCCAGCTCACCTGGTGGGGGGAGCCCTGAGCGGGTGGCGCAGGTTGGGGACCCTGAAGCAGCTCTTCTTTGCCTGGGGTGGCCTAGGAAAGCCGCCTCCAAGCTAGGCCTCCCAGATCTGACCAGACCCCGCAGAACCTAGCACATGTGGGCCCAGCAGCTGCCCAGGTGTATGACTTCAGTTTCACGGTCAGCATGAGAACACACGTTCTATTAACAGCAAAATTCTCGTTGATAAAAATGCAGATGAAATTGCATGCAGGAAGGAAGACCTCCGGAATGGCTCCTAAATGCAACATCTCACAGGCCCTCTGTAATCAGAACAGTGTGAATTACGCCAATTACACTAGGACAGGGAGGCCCCTTGTGGGAACATGGCACCAGCCGGGACCCCAACAACTGCTCCCCACAGAGGGTATTTAGGTTCTTTTTTTCTTTCTTTTTTATTTTTTTGACTTGAAGAAATCTCTGTAAATTGAATCTCAGAAATGCTGGAAGAATCCCAAATGTGGTTTATAGAAACAGTTGGAAGTAGTCCAACTTAATTCCAGATTGCCTGCATTTTTTTTTTTTTTTTTTACATCTGTGAAATCAAAACCAGACAGAATGCTGTATTAAAATGCGGTGCCTAATGGTGATTTTTCCCATGGCCAATGTAACGAGTCTGAACTCTTAGTTTCCCTGTTTATCTTGGAGTGTCTGAAATCACATTGACTGCCCTCTCCTCCTCCTGCGCTGTTGTCTCTTTTTCCCCAGCAGGGTCTCAGGAAAGGGGCCTGGGAAGAAAAGCGGGTAGGCAGGGGCTTTCCTGGGATGCATCCCGGGCCCTGTCTTTCACACCAGCCTCCTGGCTCCCCTGCTCCCCAGTTCTCCTCCCATAACCCCATCTCCACTTTGGAGCTCAGGGCCTGGCCCTAAGCTGATTCACGCAGTTTCCAAGCAAACAACAAGCTTTGCCACCTCTGTGCCTCTGCCAGTGCCGTGACCCCTGCCTGGGGTGCCCTTCCTTGCTGCCCTGGACAACTCCTCCTTTCCTTCCAAGGTCCAGATCACGTCTCACCTCTCCTGTGACACCCCAACACCTCCTCTCCCCCAGAGCACCACAGGCTGCTCCCTCCCCGGACCGAGCACCCGTGTAACTGTGCATCTCACTTGGGTAGCATCTAGCACATCTTGGGGGACCATCTGCTGTCTCCTTAGTGTCTGTGTAGACCTGGGGTGTCGTACTATCATCCTGGGGGCCTGGACTGCTGCCTGGAGGGTTCTGAGGCTGTGCCTGGCCTAGTGGGGCATGGGCTGCTTAATGACATCTTACAGCATGCAGGAAGGGCGAAGTGCAGCTCCTGGATGGGCTGTTGCCATGGTCTGGCCCCCATGGTGCTCAGACTTGCCAGAGCATCTGAATCTCTGGGAGTCCTGTTCAACCTGGGTCCCCAGGCACCACTGCCAGGGATTCTGAGACAGGAGGTCTGGGATGCCCCAGAACTTGCATATCAAACAAACTCTCAGGGATGGCCAGTGCCACGGGTCTCCAGGCTGGGAACATGGATCCCAGTCCAGGCTAGCTGCCTCTGTAGCCCTCGGGAGCCCATTAGAAATGCAGACCCTCCCCCTGCCCAGATCCACTGCACGAGAATCTACATGTCTACGAGATTCCGGGGGCACCTGTCTGTGGAGTTTGAGGAGCACAGCCTTAGATGCTAGTCCCCGGTGTGGGCACCATGCACCACTCCTTCTGCATTTGTGTCACTACCTGCTTCTGCACGTAGGAGGCACCTCAAATGCCATTTAGAATGGATGCTCAGTAAGCCAAATGTGGCCTCCTTTTTCCCTTTTGGAAAGGAAGGTCCTTCTTTCTCAAACCTTGTGTCTAGAATGTTCCCCAATGAGGGGAGGATGTCTCACTAAAAACACTGAAAGGACATTGCTTATACACTGGCCTTCTGTAGAGAGCCTCTGGAGCCTCGAGGAAGTGTAGCTCCTAACGCAGTCGGCTGCACTGACTCAATTATACATCTATTGGACCTTCGCAAGTGCAGAGCTGCCACTGTCACTTCTGATCGTAACAACCCAAATGCATGTCTCCAGATAGCACCAGAAGTAAGAGCTGGAGGGATAAGGATGGTAATGCTTGGGTGTCAGCCCCACAGAGGAGAAGGGGAGCAAAGGTCTGATGGGGGGATGTGACGGTTCTTCCCAACCGGGGTCTCTGATGGGGGGATGTGATGGTTCTTCCCAGCTGGGGTCTCTCATGGTCTCTCTCTGACTGGAGTTGGGGAAGGATATTTGGACACCTGGACATGCGTGTCTGCATGCCCCTGGGATGTGCTCTCTAGAAAAGCACTAGGCACGTTCATTTATCCACCATTCCACATGCACTTATTGTGCTCCTACTGTATGCCAGGCACGAGGTTGGGTGCTGGGGAAATGCTCCTATGGGGGAATTGTTTTCTGTGCTAATTGTTGCCATAGAAAAAGGCACAGGCTGGGCACAGTGCCTCACACCTGTAATCCCAGCACTTTGGGAGGCCGAGGTGGGTGGATCGCCTGAGGTCAGGAGTTGGAGACCAGCCTGACCAACATGATGAAACTGTCTCTACTAAAAATACAAAAAATTAGCTGGGCATGGTGGCAGGCACCTGTAATCCCAAGTACTTGGGAGGCTGAGGCAGGAGAATCGCTTGAACCCAGGAGGTAGAGGTTGCAGTGAGCCGAGATTGCACCACTGCACTCCAGCCTGGGTGACAGAGTGGGACTGTGTCGGAAAAAAAAAAAAAAAGAAAAGAAAAGGAAAGAAAAGAAAAGAAAAACGCACAGAAATTTTAACCAACCAGGAGGCAACCAGACTCTGGGGAACTTTCAAGATCCTTATCACAATTTCCCACCCCACCCACCCTGTTACTTCCTCTACTTTTCTCTCTCTTGTTGTCTTGTCTTGACCCTTTGTGCTGCAAAATGGGTACCCATACATGGGGCTGGGGGCTTTAGACCAGTGGATGGGTCTCAGTCCACACAAACAGCTAATCTGGATACACGAGGCCAAAACCTTCTCATTTTTCTGGGCAACTTTTTTTCCTGGCCCAAAATGTTTTGATTGTTGTTAACTCACAGGAGTGGGGTAGACCATTAAGGCTAATTTCAGGCCCAATATTGTCATTTTTAGAGGAGAAAAGTGGAAACCCTGGGCACTTGCCTGGGTAGTGGCTGAACCAGAGGTGACACCTTGCTCAGTCCCAGCACAGCCCCACCATGCACCCGGCACCACACCAGGCACTCACCCTCTTATACAACAGGACAGGTGGCGTGTTTGTGAAACTAGTGGAGGTTTGTGTTCAGGAGGTGGAGGAGGGAGGACAGGAAGGAGAGGGAGAAGAGCATGCACTGGAGAAGTAAATCCAGGGATCACACACAGCCACGTCCTCACAATGCATGCTTGAGATCAGTGTTTGTACTAAGGGCAATGGGGAGCTATTGAAGACTCCAGGCTGGAAGCAACACAGGCAAGAGTGTGTCTTAGAAGCATCTCTGTTGCATTTGGTAGGCTGAGATAGAGGCTAAGCTGAGGCTGTTGGAGAACTCAACAGCGGAGGGTGTTGGCTTGAACTAAGGAAGTATGTTGTGTAAACGGGAGTGCTGTGACCTGTTGCAGTCTTACTTTCCCACTGACTTCTATGGAGTATCAGTTTCCTGTTGCCTCTGTAACACACTGCCACAAACTGGACTTTAGAACAATAGATGTTCATCATCGCTCTTCCCAGGAGTGTCCGGAGGGAACCAGCCCCTGCCAACACCTGGACCTTAGGACCTCTGACCTCCAGAACTGGGAGAGACTAGATGTGTGTGGTTGGAAGCCTCTAAGTCAGTGGTCATTTGTTATAGCAGTGCTAGGGGCACTAGGAAACAATTACCAGAGGCAAGAGACAAAGTCTTATTAGCTACCCTCCTCTGAAGGACAGAAAGGAAAATATGAGACCAGGAGGGTGTTGAGAGCCAAGTGGATTGAAGTGAAGGCTTGGGGCTCCTTGTGGATTTTGTTTGTGTGGGTTATTTTGTTCCCAGGAGTCTCAGGCTGTGTAGCCAAATGCAGTCTGCAGTTCTACTCTTTCCTTTCTTTGAAAGCAAACAGCCTCTTTTGGAAGAGTGAAGGGCACCCGAGGTTCCAGCTGGGGCTGGCCCAGGCCACGGAGCTCTCAGAATGCGTACAGCGCAGACAGCACCCTGCAGTTGGGTGGGTGCTGGCTTTGAGGTCTGGAGATCTAGATGCCCACAAGGTGCCCCTGGCAAGTGGGGGCTGCAAAGGCATCACCCACCCCACTGGGCTGGGGCAGAGAAATAGACATGATGCATCTGATGAGCTCGGAAAACATTTCTAATGTATTTATTTTTTGTGGTTCGGCTACAGAAGAGAATAAGAAAGGGCTGAAGGGGATGAATGAACAAGAGCAGGAGAAGGACTGCCCTGAGGGCAGGAGGAAAGGGTGTGAATCGGGATAGAAGTCAGAACCCCACCAGCTTCTTGCCTGGGAACCAATTGCTGGAGCTGCTTCCTTCCTTCGTTCATTCCTGCTTTCTTCACTCCTTCATTCCCTGAACATCAGACATGGTCATAGGCCCTGCTGAGAATTAAAACAGAACAATGAACAAGTCCCACTCTCAGAACGCAGGCAGAGGTGAAATGTTCGGTGGGCTATGGTGATGGCTTTGGAGATTTACTGGTAGCTTCTGTGGGGTTACTCTGGCTGGGGACCCCAGGGGCCTGCTATGGACAGAATTGTCTCCCTCTCAAATTTGTATATTGAAGTCCTAACACCCAGCGTGATGGTATTTGGAGGGGGGGACTTTGGAGGGTGATTGAGTTTAGATGAGGCCATGAAGCTGGGACCCCATGATGGGATTGGTGTCCTTACAAGGAGAGGAAGAGGCTGGAGCTCCTTCTCTCACCTTGTGAGGACACTGTGGGAAGCCACCTGCAAGTCAGGAAGGGCCCTCATCAGAAGCCAAGTCAGCCATACCTTGATCTTGGAATTCCAGCCTCCAGAACTATGAGAAACAAATTCCTCTTGTTGAAACCATGCAGCCTCAGCTGGTGGAAGCGTTCGGGGTGAGCATGGCTCCTGCAGGGAGATGGAGCAGGGACATTGTGTCAGGTCTAAGGCTGCTGGTAGAGCCTCAGCTTCCTTTCCTTGGCACTCACCAGGCCATGCTGGGAAAGAAGTCTGAGCCAGGTAGTTCGGAAAACACCCCCTTGGTAACTCTTTTGGGAAACGGAGACAGACATCAAGGTCTTATCCACTTTGTGCAGGAAGATGACATGCGGTAATAAGGAAAAGAAAATGGGAGGTCCTCTGTCTCATGGAATTTGGGGTCACAAGTGTCTGTACAACACCT
This sequence comes from Homo sapiens, assembly GCF_000001405.40. NCBI lineage: Eukaryota > Metazoa > Chordata > Mammalia > Primates > Hominidae > Homo > Homo sapiens. The sequence goes on from NC_000016.10 coordinate 29,226,620, forward strand.
TACTGGGTCTCAACTCCCAGCTTCTCAGGAACAAGAGACAAAGAATATAGGTCAGCAGAGCAGAGCCCGAGGGGCTGGTCCACAGTCCAAGTCACACATGATGAGGACAGTATTGAGAGTCATCACATGATGATGGCAGTGATGGTGGTAGTGATGATGGTGGTGATGGTGATGATGGTGGTGATAAAGGTGCCACCGGCGTCGCCGCCGGCGTCACTACCGGCGCCATCATCCTCATCATCATCACCATCATCACTATGACCATCATCACCATTACCTCCATCATCACCACCATCACCACATCATCATCATCACCACCACCATCATCACCACCACCATCATCACCATCATTACCATCATTGTCATCACCACCACCACCACCATCACCACCACCACCATCACCACCACCACCACCATCACCACCACCATCACTATCATTACCATCATCATCATCACCACCATCATCACCACCATCATTACCATCATTGTCATCACCACCACGGCCATCATCGTCATCCAGGTCCCGTCATTACTATCATCGTCATCACCACCGTCTTCTCCTGCTTCTTCTCCATCATTATCATTGCTGCTGTCACCACCATGATTATCATCATCATCATCATCTCCATTGTTCTCATCCTTCTTCTCCTCCATGTGCCTCTATGTCTTCCCATACCTTTAACATGGGTTCCATGACTCCTTAGCATGGCTGCCATCATCATGTGGATGTGGATGGTGGTGGTGGTGATGATGGTGGTGATGGTGGTGATGATAAGGATGATGATATTGATTATGAGAGTTGTCTTAGTCCATCTGGGTTGCTTTAACAAAATACTATAAATTGGAGGCCAAGCATGGTGGCTCACACCTGTAATCCCAGCACTTCGGAAGGCTGAGGCTGGAGGATCACTTTAGGCCAGGAGTTCGAGATTAGCCTGGGCACTACACAGGAGGATCCATATCTCTACAGAACATTTTAAAATTAGCTGGGTGTGGTGGTGTGCACCTGCAGTCTCAGTTACTCAGGAGGCTGAAGTAGGAGGATTGCTTGAGCCCAGGAGGTTGAGGCTGCAGTGAGCAATGATCTCACCACTGTGCTCCAGCCTGGGTGGCAGAGCGAGACCCTGTCTCTAAAAAAAACCAAAAAAACCCATAAATTAGGTGGCTTATAAACAACAGAAGTTCCTTTCTCATAGTTCTGGAGGCTGGGAAGTCCAAGATTAACTTATCAGTAGAGTCAGTGTCTGGTGAGGCCCATTTCCTCATAGATGGTTATCTTACTGCGCCCTCACATGGCGGAAGGGGTAAGGGGGCTTTCTAGGGCCTCTTATAAAGCACGAATCCCATTAATGAGGGCTCTGCTTCTTAACTTCATCACCTCTCGAAGGCCCCACCTCCTAATCCCATCACTTTGAGGTTAAGGATTTCAACAAATGAATGTGGAGGGACACAAACACTCAGGCCCCAGCGTGGCCCAGCACCTGCAGAATGTGGCTTGGTGCAATCACTCTTTAAGCTCCCGCCCCTGGTTACTTGGTTTATTCCCCCCTCCGCCACACAAACCTCCAAGGCTGGGCTACTGATCATCCTCTTCCTACAGACGAGAGACTGCAGGCCTGGAGATGACACAGCCTGCTCAGGCCACACGGCCTGCAGGTGGCACTGCACTGCAGCAGCCGGGGACGGGCCCCACGTCCTCAGTGCCCTGTGATGTCATTTCAGTGTCGGAGCAGGGAGGGACCTGCTTGTTTTAGAGAAGGGGGTTCACCTGGGACACCCCTGAGCTTTGTCCCAAGCCTCAACAAGCCACTCACTTCCCACTTGGGAGTAGTTTCTCTGCACGCACCAGGCAGTGGGACCAGGGAAGAAATCGCGTCCACTAAGTGGTGTCGTCTGCCTGCAAGACCTGCACAGCTCCCAGGCCTATGGCTTTGGGCACCAGGTGCTGCGCCAGCGTCTGGAAATGATTAATTCCTGGGCACACCTGCTGTGTGCCCAGCCCTGGGGCTGAGGACGGAGCCCTTTCCTGCCATCATGGAGCCTGCATTGCACGGGGTGAGATGCGTGATAGAAGGACATATCCCACATCACGTGCACTGAAGACAAAGCTGTGAAAGGATAGAGTGTGGGGAGGGGCTTCTGTCTCAGATGTGGAGGTCAGGGACGTCCTCCCCAGCGGGTGACTTTGGAGCAGGGGCCTGAGGGACGTGGGCAGCCCGGCAGACCCCTCATTACATGTGTTAAAGCCTCCTCCGGTGGGGGGCTGGGCAGAGGCTATTGCAGTTGTCCAAACTTCCTGCAATGGCAGAACATTCTAGATCCGCACTGTCCAGTAAGGTGGCCACGAGTCACACGTGACTGTCGAGCTCTGGAAATGCAGCTGGTGCAGCTAAGGAGCTGAATTTTAAATTGTATTTAATTCTTGTCACTTTAAATGTAAATGTCTACCCATGGCTAGCAGTGACAGGGCAGGCCCACCTGGCCTTGGCGAAGCAGGTGAGTGCTGGAGTGTGTACTTTGAGGCTGACGGGTTTCTTGATGGATGGGTGGCGAGCAGAATGGGTTTTTAGCTGGCCAGGCCTTGGAGTTGTGAAACCTGGACTTTGTTTTATGGTGGTTCTGTGGTCTTGGACAGAGTTCACAACCTCACCAACTCTCTGTTTATTAAAAAGAGAGCGATGGCTCTGCTGGTCACGCCGGGACGTTGCAAGGCACAAATGCAGCAGACGTGAGCCTGTGTGTGGCTCACATTGGGTCAGCATTAGCCCCGCAAGCCACCCGAGGCGAGGGCCCCTGGCAACTCCAGGGCGGCTGCTTGACAAGGCGCTGCTGCCGCCTCATGTTCTCTGTTACCTGGCTTGGGGTCTTCTGGGCTCTGCAGGCCATGTTTGAGGTGGGTTGTGACCCAGTGCTCCAGTCTGACCCTCGACCCTCCCCCAAATCCCACCAGGGTTCCCATTCCACCGTGACCTGGCAGGAGATGTCAGACCGCAGCTGAGGGCCCTGCTGGTTTCCTACGAGGAGGCTGCAGATGGGAATGAGGACCTCACGGTCAAGGGCGTGGACACCTCCCGCCTGACAGATGACACATTTGTGAGTGGGTCCCCAGAGGTCTGCCCTGGCACCTGACAACCCCGGGAGGCAGGAACAGGTTAGAGCCAACTGTGGAGCTCATCAGAGAGGTGACTTTCAGTACCAAAAGGGTGTTTTCCAAGGGAAATCCTGCCGCACAGGGCAAATGAAAGCAGGTCAGGGCTCACCAGTCACTGCAGAATCCGCCGGCCCACATGTCCCTGGTCTTCAGAGGTGGGAACAGCCAGCTGGGAAGGAATCCACCTGCCCCCATGGCCTGTGGATCTGAGGACTCCTCTCCCACCTCCTGTGCCAACCATTGTTTGGTGAAGGCGCCCTTGCTCCCAGCCCGCTCTCCTCTGACATTCTTTGGTGAACATCCCATCTCCTTTTCTCCAGAACCAGCCGGCTCAGACCACCCACATATTTTACAGTTACTGGGCTTCTATGTTCCACAGAGGGTGCTTGGCTGGGGGGACAGGGGAGGGGACAGAGCCTCAGGCCAGGTGCAGGGAGGACGGTGCTGGCCATAGGGCTGGGGCAGCCTCAGGTCACACCACCATTCCAGCACTCTCTGTGTGGCTCCAGGGACTCAGCGTCGCCACCTGGGAGTTGGGATGGGGGCTCAGGCAGAGGCGCTGGTTCGTTGTCCCACAGATCAAGCCTCTCTGAGTCCTCGGCTGTCTTGGTGGAGACTCCAAAGGTGAGGCCGGACTGCATGTCCCATGACCCTTCTCCACCGGGCAGGGCCAAGGACCCTGCAGCAAGGGCCCTTCATGCCGGGCTCACCACCCTGTTCCCTCCATGACCTCGCCAAAAGCCTCCCGCTCCCACCCCCGGCTTTGGGACGGTCAAACAGGTGAGGGCTGGGGGTCCTGCCCCGGGGGGAGGATGACAGGCGACGGGAGGAGTGCCTGGCATGGCCGAAGAGAACACGGCAGTGGGGTGTGTGTCAGCAGCAGTGGCACAGCCAAACCCCGGCAGGCTTCATGCAGAAGGCGGCATCTGGGGAGAAGTTAAAAGCTGAGCAGGAGCCAGCGGGTGAAGTGGGAAACGGAGAAAGGGCTATAGCCTGTGCCCAGCTCTCCCTGTCAGCCTGAGATGAGGGACATCTTTTGTGTCCGGGCACTGCCTGGGTTGCTTGGACAGAAGCCTCAGAGCTGGAAGGAGCTGAGAAACCACAAGCTCCAATGCTCACGCCCCATAGGGGACCGAGGAACCGCAGAAGGGACCGCACCTGCCCGGTGGCCAGCAACGGAAGGACGGCAGGGAGCGAACACACTCCAGCCCCTACGGTCTCTCCGCTCTCCCAGCTGAGCTGTCTTCCCCGGAGGCCGGGCTGCAACCCGAGAAGGCGCCGCGCCATCGGCCCTCACCCTGCTCCGCCTAAGCTGCTGCTTTTCCTCTGCAAATGCCCTGGGCTGGACGTCAAACCACAGTCAGGTAGGGGCGGCCCAGACCAGGGACCAGCAGCTGGTTCCCTCTGCCTGGTCTCACTTCTAAAGCCACTGGAAGAGGAAACACATAAAATGTGACTTTGCAGAGGAATTCCAATAAACAAGATGTGTTTCCAAGTCTTCTGAGGCTGCCGAGACTGAGTAGCTGCGTGTGAGCAGCCACAACTCCTCTGTTGTCCTCCTGCAAAGTGTCCCCGCCCTCCCACTCAGGTCGCGTTCCTCCGGCCGCCCCCGGCTGCTCCCGCCACAGGAGACTGGACGGTGGGCTCTGGCCTTGGGGACCTCCGGCCCTGCCTGCAGCAGGCCCCAGTGTGTGTGGGCGAGAGGGCCGGGCCAGCTGACTCCTGTCTTTCTTTGGGACCACGTCATCAAGCGGGCTGGAGCCAGAGGCTGGGCCCCTCTGTGTCCCGGGGATCCTCACCCCCCAGGTCCCCAGTGCTGTCCTTGTCACCACTGAACGGCAGTTTCTCCCCACCCCGTGCTTCAGTTTACCTGTCCGGACCAGGGGTGGCAACCTCTTTTCCAGAACGGGGCAGAAGGTGAATGCAGTTCACTCTAGTTCTCTGCATTGTGTCTTCTTTTTAAAGAAAATAACCCTTTACAAATGAAGGGTTGGCCGGGTGCAGTGGCTCACGCCTGTAATCCCAGCACTTTAAAAAGGTCAAGGCAGGTGGATCACCTGAGGTCAGGAGTTCGAGACCAGCCTGGCCAACATGGTGAAACCCCATCTCTACTACAAATACAAAAATTAGCCAGGCGTGGTGGTAGGCACCTGTAATCCCAGCTACTTGGGAGGCTAAGGCAGGAGAATCACTTGAACCTGGGAGGTGGAGGTTGCAGTGAGCCGAGATTGCGCCACTGCACTCCAGCCTGAGTGAGAGAGTGAGACTCTGCCTCATAAATAAATTAAAGGAAAAAAAAAATGAAAACAAAGGGTTAAAACACCACTCTCAGCGTGGAGGCTGGGCACAGACAGCTGTGGCTGCCGGCAGTCCTGCAGCCCTGGAGTGGACTGTGGGGTGAGGCTGCACCTGCCCAGGGGTCTCCGGGTGTCCCTGCAACTCCATCTTGAGCAGGCCCTTACATGCCAGTGCCTGGCGTTGCTCGTGTTGGCCTGTGGTTTACAGATAAGGAAACTGAGGCTGGGAAGGGCCAGAAGTTCCCTAAGGCGCCGGCTGCTGGCAGGGGTGGGGGAGCTCTGAACCCTATCATTTGTGTGCTCACAATGATAACCCACAGGTGGTGGGGGCCGTGGTGTCTCTTGATGGCCTGGGGCTCCCATGTGGGCCCACCCTGCTGGGTCCAGGGTGTCCTCCTGTTCCTCCTCCCTTTTTGCCTGGAGGAGACTCCTCCACTAACTCTGAGGTTCTAGTGACTTCCTGCCGTGCTCCCCCCAGGAGTAGCCATGTTTCCACAGCCACCCCACGGGCAGTGGCCAGAGTGGCTGGAATGCCAGGTTCAGCATCTGTGGTGTGAGGCATGGACACAGCACCTGCGAATCCGTGTTGGCTGTCATTCCTATTAACCAGTTATAACAAGGATCACACACCTTGTTCCCCACACCAGTCATGTGGTGGCTGCACTGTGAGGCAGACACCAACCTTGCATTTTCCACGTACAGAAGTGGCTGAACACAGCCCAGGAGCTTGCCCAAAGCTGCAGGAGGCTGCTCTGGCTCGGGCTCAGGACCGGGGGTGCTTAGAGTGAGGCTCTGGCTGTCCTGCCCGCCTGTGGGTCCTAAAGTCCTCTCATTGCCATTCCAGGTGCCCCCGTGGATAAGCTGCACCCACCTATCCCCAGGAGCACAGCCAGCACCTCTCAGGTGCGCCCCTGAGGTGTCTGTGGCACCTGTCTCTTATCCATCATCATTCTCCCAGGCAGACCCAGGGCGGGGCAGATGCTGGCTCTGGCACCGCAGGAAGCACATCTGGTCCAAGGCATCTCAGAACCTGAGGCTCCGGGGTGTAGAATGGACTTTGAGTTTCTGGAAGAGACCTTAGGAAACGTTGTGTCTGCATTTCCAGGTGGCCGGTTGGTGGTGGGGGCGCCTCACTCCTCACCCTGTGCAGCATCCTCAGCCTCTGCCTGCATCTCTTGAGTCTGCTCTGGGTCAGCACTGGGGGTGAGGAGGTGATGAGGGGCAGCGGCAGGGGCCGGGGGTCAAGAGCCCCAGAGGGGAGGCCAGGCCAGGTCCCGGCAGCCCAGGTGAGATGAGGGCCTCGTGGTGGCCTTGAGGGCTGGAGGTGAGGGAAGGGCCCTGAGCCGGGTGCCACGGCCGACGCCCTGTCCTTTGCCGTGACAGTCTCTGTGCAGTGCAGGCAGCCCCCACCGAATCCAGGTACAGTGCTCAGTGACAAGCGTAGGGAGAGTGGTCAAATCGGAGCAGGGGCAGGGGACGTGAGTCAGGCTGAAAAGAAGAAGCTCAGAGCAGGAAGGGCAGAGGGGCCGGGAAGGGCAGGTCTGAAGCTCGGAGTGGGAAGGGCAGACGGGCTGGGAAGAGCAGGTCTGAAGCTCGGAGTGGGAGGGGCAGAGGCGGTGAAGGGTGAGTCCGGAGCAGCCTCTAGTTGCCCAGGTGCTCGGAGAGTGAGGAACCCCCCAGGGAGGGAGGAGCCCCCAACCCACAGGGCTGCAGCCTTGGACACGGCCAAGACCCGGGCCTAGGAAGAATGGGGTCCTCAGGGCTCAGGTGGGTTACTCATCCGCCCGCTCTGTGCCCAGGGCCCTCCCCCACCACCGTCAGCGAGTCCGCACACAGGTGCCTGGGGTTGTCACCTGAGGGCCGCGCCTGCCTCCTCTCCTGATCCCACAGCAGCCCAGGAAGCAGGGCCCCGTGTGAGCTCCCGGAGCTGCGGCATCAAAACACTACAAATGACGGTGGGGGCGGGGACGGGGCGGGGGTGGAGGCAGGAGCTGGGGGCCAAAGCCGTGGAACTCACTCCCTCTCAGCCTGGAGACCAAAATCCAGGTGTCTCAGGGCCATGCTGCCTCGGGGGTCTCCCGGGGATCCTTCCTGCCTCTTCCAGCTCCTGGTGGCTCCAGGTGTCCTTGGCTTGTGGCCATGCCACTCCAGTCCCACCTCATCCTCACATGGCCTCTGCTCTGTGTCTCTCCCTGTGTGTGTGTGTATCTCTGTGTCTCTCGCTTTATAAAGACAATGGTCATTGGATTTAGGGCCCACCCTACTCCAGCACGACCTCATCTTGACTAATTACATCTGCAAAGAGCCCATTTCCAACCAAGCGACACTCACACAGGTCGGGGGTAGGACTCGGACACAACTCAATCCATAGCAAGTGTGGGTTTTGAAATAGAATCTTAAAGAAGTCCCTCATAAGCCCCAGAGAGCAGCTGGAGGTGCCCCATGAACCCCACAGAGTGGCCAGAGGTGTCTCATAACCCCATAGAGCAGCCGGAGCTGCCCCATAACCCCATAGAGCAGCAGGAGGTGCCCCGTAACCCCATAGAGCAGCGGGAGGCGCCCCGTAACCCCATAGAGCAGCCGTAGGTGCCCCGTAACCTCATAGAGCAGCTGGAGATGCCCCATAAGCCACATAGAGCTGCTAGGGTGCCCCAGGCCTTGTCTCTGTTTTTCTGGGCATCCTGGGAACTGGGCAGAGTGGGATCGTGACACCCGTGGACCAGGAGAGATTCTGGGAAGCCCCTGCCGTTCTGTTTCCCACTTCTTTCAGGCCACTTGGCCAGCACCGCTAGGCCCTCCTCGTCCCTCTTCGTGGAAAACCATGCAGAGGGAGGCAGGTAGAGAAGAGAAAAGATGTCTGACTTCAAGCTTCTAAAGGATTTTCTCCGACAGGAGGAAGAGATACTTTTCAAAATGGTTGTGAGCCGCCTTGGCCAGAACGCAGGAGGACCCTGTTAAGAGGAAATCAGGCACAAGGCGCCCACACAGCCAGGGTGGGAGGGCATTCCAGGATGGTCACAGCTGTCTCCGCTGTGGTCTCAAATGACTTTGCTTGGCCTTCTGGAATCTAAAGGGTCCTGGAGTGGGGTGTTCACTGGATTTGCTGCCGAGAAGTCTGCAGCTTTTCACTGTCACTCTTGAGACCTGGATCCTTCAGACGTGGAAAAGGGAGTGATTGCTCTGAAAGTTCCAGTTTGGGTGCTGGCGACCGGCCTCCAGGCATCTAGGAAGTCGGAGAGCACAGTGCTGGGGACCTTCCATAGAAACCCAAGTGTGCGCCAGCTGCAGGATTTATAATGTAAAAATCAGTGCTCGCGTTAAGGGGCAGCGCCGAGGGAGCAGAGCCTGCGTCCATCGCCATTGTGTTCCAGGCCTCCTTCTGTGAGGTGCCCCTACCAGCAGCTTGCATTCCCTGTACCCCGATATTTCACTGCAGATGTTACTGGAAGCCCTCTGCCACAGGAATCCTCAGGAGCTGATTATTTTAGGAAAGTAAATGGAGAATGAGGAAAATAATATCCGAACACATGACCTCAATTCGCAACGGAGATGTTTCCCGGCAGAACATCGGCTTCGTAGAACCACCTGATTATGTCCCGGCTTCCTCGAAGGGTTTTTTAGGAGCCTCCTGAGGCACAGCAGGGCTTCGAGGAGGCTCCTAAAGGGTACAGGAGCACTTTGCAGGGCCGTACCCAGAAACCCCGTTCTAGGCAGAGTTCCCCATTTGGGCTGTGTTTTGAGAAGGCATTTTTAAGGATTCTAATCCTGTATTCAAACATCATTAAGAGCCTAACATCAACCTCATAGTTTTTTCCTGAACATTCAGCTTAAGGGGCTGAGCTCCAGCGTGGCAATCCTGAAAGTGGAATGAACAGTCTTGGGGTGATGCTAGAATTCTCTATAAAAACGCACACAAGCAAAGAGAGGGCCTGGGGCTCGTCCGGCAGTAACAGCAGCACAGTACAAGGCACGGATGCGGAACCGGCTCCCAAACCCCGTGCCTCACTGTCCCTGGTGTAGTGACAAGGTGTCAGAGATGCGCGATCATTTCAGACGTTTTCTATGGGGAGGAAGCTGGGTTTTCTGAGCAGTCATGGGGGGTGAGTGATGTGTGTGAGGACTCGCACAGGCCAGAAAAAATGATGGCTTTAACACAGATCTGGAAAGAAATTCTGAAAACCAAAGAAAGTCGGCAATGAGGCCAGCCTGGGAAATGTTCCGAGAGGGTGTGGAGAACTGGGGAGCAGTGGAGGGTTTCGGGGCGGGGGGGGGGCCCAGCCCATGACAGGCCTGAAGAAGGACCCTGAGCCCCCACCCCGGGTGGCACAGGGGTGCCCAGGCCTGCAGCCCCCAGGGAGAGACGCCGTTCCTGGTGAGGGAGGGGGGAGCTGTGCTGACCCCCCGTGTTTTCCATGATCTCTCACTCCATGCTGGGCAGAGGCTTTAGGAAAAGCTGAGCTGTGCCCGGAGACGGCACCCAGGAGTCCAGCCGGGATAGGACTTGTTTTTCTTCAACAGCAGCGCCAGAGGCAGAAGGGCCAGGAATTCACTTGCGTGGTCCCGGCCCCTCTCCTGGGGCCCATCCTGGGTCTTGGCCTGGGCTCAGGGCCCACTGGCTGGACAGACTGGAGACCCGAACTGAGTGCAGGAGGCTGTGGGTCTGGGCGCCTCCCTTGGGACTTCCATTCGTTGCATGGATTTATTTTCACCGCAGATACCTCAGGTGTACTTCCTAAGAGCAAGCAGAGGCCCTTTCATAACCGCAGCTCAATTTCGGAAATGGGAAAACCTCCATGATCGCAATCCTGTTACCAGATCCACGGACCTTGTTCAAAGGCTGCCGATTACCACAATCGTGTTCTTTATGACAAAAAACAAACAAACAAACAAAACCCTACACTTGTTTCTGGTCCAGCCCAGCAGCCAGAGTGGTGCTGGTTTGTCACGACTCGACTCTGGTTCCCTGGAACCCTGCGTCTTTCTTTCTTTTTAAACCTCGATGGCTTTGGAGGGAACAGACCAGTTTGTATGTTGCCCCTCTGCCTGGGTCTGGCGGGCGCTTCCTGGTGAGAGATCCCACTTGGTATCTCTGTGGGAACGGAAGGGAGGTGAGGCCGCGGGAACGGAAGGGAGGAGAGGCCGCGGGAACGGCGGGGAGGCGAGGCCGCGGGAACGGCGGGGAGGCGAGGCCGCGGGAACGGCGGGGAGGTGAGGCCGCGGGAACGGCGGGGAGGTGAGGCTGCGCCTCCTCGTTCCCTGGCTGAGAGGGTAACTCTGACCACCTGGGTGCAGTGGAGCCGCCAGCTGTCCCCCCTGTAAAGGGACTGGCGGCTCTGGGTGCCTGTGGCTGCTCCAACAACGAACCACAAACCGGGAGCTTAAAACTTATTCTCTCCATTCTGAGGCCAGAAATTCAAAATCAGCCTCCCCTAGACATAACCAAGGTGTCGACGGGGCCGCCCTGCACCTGGGAGAGTCTCCCCGGCCCTTCCAGCTTCTGGGGCTGCTGGCTTCCTCGGCTTGTGGCCGCATCGCTCCCGTCTCCACCTTAATGGTTACAGTACCTCCTCTCCTGTCTGAAATCTCCCTCTGGCCCTCTTATAAGGATGCACCTGATAGCAGCTGGGGCGCCCTGGATAAGCCACATCACCTCCACATCTCGATCCCATCTGCAAAGTCCCCTTTCCATATGAAGACGCGGTGACAGGCTCGAGGGTGTCGGGGGTGGATGTGTCTTTGGCGGCCATGATTTAGCCTGCCAGACTTAATAAGTATTTTGTGAGCTGCCTTGGGAATATATAAATGTCCTGTACTTTGTTAAATTTCATGATGACTGAAGAGATTTCCTTTCTCCCCATTTATCTGTGTATTCATTTATATTAGTGTGGACTCGTGGCTTTTTAAAGATTTAATGGGTTATAATCCATTGCCATCATTATGTGTTTGATGCCCACATTGTCCCGGGTTTGGTCAGTGGGAGCCCCTTCAAGCCAATTCCTGTGTCCCCATCATCCTTTAAGTACCTATTTCCTTTGCAGCAGGAAGAGATATCCCAAGCTCATCTGCGCTTTCCCTGTCACGTGCTGCAATTTGGCGCTTTCCCTGTCACGTGCCACAATCTGGAACTTTTCCCATGAAGCCTTCTGTTCATGGCAAAAGGTATCCAGAAACCAAGACGTGGGTGCTAGTGTGCTCATTACTACTGGAGTGCCTCGGTGTCCAGGGTGTTTCAGTGGCTTCAGTGAGGGAGTGTAAGGGGAGGAAAGGAGGGAGGGAGGGAGAGAAAGGGAGGGAGGAGAGGTGGGAGGGAGGGAGAGAGAGAGAGGGAAGAAGGAAGGAGGGAAGGAAGGAGGGAAGGAGAGAGGGAGGGAGAGAAAGGGAGGCAGGGAGGGAGGGAGGAGAAGTGGGAGGGAGAGAGAAGAAGGAAGAAGAGATGGAGGGAGGGAGGGAAGAAGGGAGGAGGGAAGGAAGCACGTACAGATAAGACAAGACAGGACAAGAAAAGACACACACATATATCTGCATCTATAATCTCTCCATAGTAAATGCACACACACACACACACACACACACACACACACACACACTCTCTAACATACATGAGCCACGAGCTCCCACGATGCCTCCAGTTCCAACCTGGAATACCTGCGACTCCTTCCCCAGCAGGGCCAGGTCTGCCCTCTACCATTCTCAGGGTATTTGCTTATTTGCTCAGTCCTAGAATAAACAGAAAATAGTTTCAGCATTGCTAACCCACCCCACTGTGGAAAACACATCTGTTCACCCCACATATTCTTTGCCTGAAATACAGCGAGCTTCTTTTGTTTCTATCTGCAATCCATTTAGAGTCACCTGCCCCCTCTTTTTTTCCTTTCAAGTATGTAAACTTAACCTGGTTCCACAAAACAAAACCCTACACACACACATCTATTCGGAGAAATGTCGCTTCCTAGTCCATCTCCCCAACACTGTCCCTCACCTCCTGTGACATACACCGTCTCATCAGTCTCTGGGTTGTTCTTCCGGTGTTTCTTTTCTTTTCTTTTTTTTTTTTGAGATGGAGTCTTGCTCTGTTGCCCAGGCTGGAGTGCAGTGGCGCGACCTTGACTCACTGCAAGCTCAGCCTCCCGGGTTCATGCCATTCTCCTGTCTCAGCCTCCCGAGTAGCTGGGACTACAGGTACCCGCCACCACACCCAGCTAATTTTTGTGTATTTTTAGTAGAGACGGGGTTTCACTGTGTTAGCCAGGATGGTCTCCATCTCCTGACCTCGTGATCCTCCCACCTCGGCCTCCCAAAGTGCTGGGATTACAGGTGTGAGCCACCGCACCAGGCCCCTGTCTTTCTTTTTACAAAAAATAAGCATTGTTTTATTTCCCCTTTCTTTTACCCAGAAGATGGCATGTTAGAGATAGTCTTTTACGTTTTTTTTCACTTAATAACATATCGTGGAAATGACTCCATATGAGTTCATAGAGGACTTCCTTATTCTTTTTTACAGCTGCATAGTACTCCACTGTTTGGGCGTACCACAGTTCATTCAACCTCTCTCCTGTCTGTGGGCATTCCAATTGTTTCTAATATTTTGCAATTACATGCAATGTTGCAATGAATAAACCTGTGCATCTGTTTTTTTTAATGCATCTTCATACTATTGTAAGAGTATCTTCAGAGTAAATTCTAGTCATGAGATTACTGATGCAAAAGTAAACTCTTCCTCCAAGATGGTTTTACCAATTTGTATTCCCACCAGCAAAGTAAGGAAAGGCCCACTTCTCCAGAGCCTTCTCATGGGAACATGTTCTCAGTGACGCTGCTACATTGTTGCAATCTGAGAGGTGAAAAATGAGACTGCAATGTAGCTCTGATTGACATTTCTGTTTTGAGTGATATTGAGCCATTTGTTCATGTGTTTAAGGCCCATTTATAAACATTTTTGGTAAATTATCTCTTCATGTCTTTTGTTCATTTTCCTATTGGGTCTTTGGTCATTTCTTCCCTCAGTTTTTAATAATGCTTTCTGTATTAGAACTATTTCCCCTATATTTGATGTATGTTATAAATATTTCTCCTAATTTGTCATTTGTCCTTTGGATTTCTTTGCGGTGTTTTTTAACCATGGAAAAGTTGTTCTGTTTTTATATCGTCAAATGCATCCATCTTCTCTAGTGTTGCATTTGGATGTTGAAAAGTGGTTCTGTTTTTATACCATCAAATGTACCCATCTTCTCTTGTGTTGCATTTGGATGCTGAAGTTTAAAAAGCTTTTCTGACATTTCCTTCTAGTATTTGTATGGTTTAATTTTTTACATATAGATCTCTAATCCATTTGGAGTTTATTTTTTATGTATAGTATGAGATATGAATCTAATTCCATCTTTTACTAAACGGCTAACCAGTTGTCCCAGCACCGTTTGTTAAAAAGATCATCTTTGTCCTAGAGACGTGAACGTCACTTTGACCATCTACAAATTATTCAGAGGTCCTCAGGTCTATTTCTGGGTGTTCTTTTCCACCGTTCTGTTTTGTTGTGTGTCGGTCCCACACTTTTTTCTCTCAAGAAGCTTTTTAGTGTGTTTTAATGCCTGGTAAAGCTGGACCTCCTCCTCCACCCCCCCACCAGCCCCCACTGTGCTAACGTGTTTATTTTTCATATAGGTTTTCATATCAACTTAGCATCATTGTAAAAAGCTCATTGGTATTGGGCGGGGTTGCCTTAGCAGTAGGAATTAACTTCAGGAGAACCGATGCCTTCGGCCATTGAGTGGCCTTGGCCAGGAACAGGAGATGCCTTCTCATTTGTCAGTCTACTTGTATGTGTCTCTCAGGAGTATTTTAATGTTTTCCGTAAATAGTTTTTCCCCACATTCTTGATACATTTATCCCTAAATGTTTTTATCTTATTTGGTGCTTTTGTAATGGAGGTTTTCGACCATTAGATCTTCCACCTGGTTATTGTTGATGTACACGGAGGGTATTGATTCTCATGTGTTTGTGATCTATTCTGCTGCCTCTATCAGGTTTGGAGATGCAGAATCACTAGAAGACAGAGGTTAGAAGCCTTAGTACAGGGAGGTGATCGTCTACAATGCAGGCATTAGTTAAATGCCTGGAAGGCCAGTGTCTTCACATCCCATGCTGGGTCACAGACTCTTCAGGGTAGGTGGTTGTCAGGAGGGAAAGTCGATACAAACTGGGGGTCACATTGTAGGTTTCTTTGAATGTCTAGTGATCTTTTATTGTATTCCAAACGTTGTTACTGACACATGGTATAGACCCTGGGTCCTGTAACAAAGACTGGGTTCTGTCATGTTTCTCTGATGTGTACTGATTTCTTGGTGTCTGTTTTAATGGGCAATTCACTTAGCTGAGCAGATACGTGCATACTTCAGGTGTTAGACAAGGATTTGGGCAGAGTTTATATGCAGAACTGTGGGCTCTGTCTGTTTTTATCTTTTTCTGGATTTTTCCTCCAACTGTCCAGCTGCTGTGATCTCCACAAATTCTGTCCTTTGCTTGTTCGAGCCGGTATGCTTGTGAGTTTCCTATTAGAATGGTTGCCACCTGTGTGGTGCCAGCTGGGCCCTGCCCTGATGCAAGGGGCATGAACATGGGAAGTTCACCCACCACCATTCCCTTCACCCATGTGCAGCACCCTCCATTTCATGCTTTTCCATGCTCTCCAATTCCTCCAGATGTTTTAAAAACAATTTGTCCAGTGATTATGTTGGTTATTTGTGGAACAGCTGGTCTTGTAGGGATGACTTCTCCATTCCTGCAAATGGAATTCAGTTGCCTTGCTTTGTTTATTCCTTGATGCTAGGCTAAAATTTATATATATTTTGTCCTTTTAAAGTTGCCTGATATTTTTGTCTGGAGGACCCAAGCATTTTTTTTTTCTTCATCTTTGAGGATTTCTTGCTTTATATGTAATGTCTAATAGTCTCACTGAGCTATGCCTCGGAATCACTTGTTCCAAATGGATTGCCCCAGGTACCTGGTGGATCCTTGCATAGACTGATTCAGGTCTTCTATCTCTGAGAGTTCTCTTGCATTACATTTTTCTTTTCCATGACTTCAGTTATACACAGTGTCTCTTCTCCTGTCTTCTGTTTCAACCACTTTATCTTTGACACTCTTTCTTTTTTACATCATCTCATTTTCATTGCCATGGTTGATTTTCTGCTCTTCTTCAGTGGTATCCCTGAATTTTCATTCAAATCTGTTCTCCTTTGGGTACCTTTTAATTTAGTCTTCATCATTGGTGTGATTTTTGTCATATTCTTCTCTTTCTTTCCTTCTTTCTTCCCTTATTTATTTATTGACATTTATTTATTTTAGACAAGGTCTCACTCTGTCACCCAGGCTGGAGTGAGGTGGTGCCATCTTGACTCACTGCAACCTCTACCTCCTGGGCTCAAGCAATCCTCCCACCTTAGCCTCCCAAGTAGCTAGGACTAAAGGCACACACCACAACACCCAGCTAATTTTTGTAATTTTTTTTGTAGAGACAGGGTTTTGCCATGTTGCCCAGGCTGGTTTTGAACTCCTGGGCTCAAGCAATCCACCTGCATTGGCCTCACAAAGTGCTGGAATTACAGGTGTGAGCCACTGCTCCCTGCCTCTTGTTTCAGTTCCATCAACTTGTACCTTGTTTCTTCCCATTTTTTGGTCCATCTATATCCTTAGTTTTAAATTTTACATCACAAGGTGATTTTTATATACTCAAATGCTTAAGAATATTTAATTTATGTTATGCTACTGTTTTCTTCTGCTTTGTGTTGATACTGGGGGTGGTAATTTTTAGTCACTTGAAATGTTTTGATTCCGTATTCTGTTTGCTTTTTTTTTTTCTTTGAGATAGAGTCTCGCTCTGTTGCCCAGGCTGGAGTGCAGTGGCACCATCTTGGCTCACCGCAAGCTCTGCCTCCCGGGTTCACGCCATTCTCCTGCCTCAGCCTCCCGAGTAGCTGGGACTACAGGCGCCCGCCACCACACCCAGCTAATGTTTTTGTATTTTTAGTAGACACAGGGTTTCACTGTGTTAGCCAGGATGTTCTCGATCTCCTGACCTCGTAATCCGCTCGCCTCGGCCTCCCAAAGTGCTGGGATTACAGGCGTGAGCCACCGCTCCCGGCCTCTGTTTGCTTTTAATAGTAGTTTTTTTATAGAAGAAGACTTCTTACATATTTGCACTTAATGAACAGGGTTGGCAAGTTGGAGTTGTTTACAAGATTTCAAGAGCATTGTCTTTTGTTAGCATAGCAAAAAGTCTTTGGGGTGAGCACGGAGAAGGACGTGTGTGCTCATCCACATGTTTGTGTCTTCAGAGAGTCTAAATTTCTCTCCTCATCCTTCTCATCACGATGCCATTTCCAAAGGGTGCCTCCTCGTCCTCCCCCAAAAGGGTTGCCTTTCTGAGATCAGCTCCTCACTCTCGTGTGTCCTTCTAAGAGCTTTTCCGGGAGTCAGGGCTCTTTTCCCAGTATTTCCACACTTACTGTGGCCTTGCTCTTTCTGGGGGTTCTTTTAGCTCAGTCTCCTCTTCTGTTTTCTGGGTGGCTTTTCCACCCCTTCCCTTTGCTCCCAGCTTTCCACAGAGGCTTACGATGAGAGCTCAAGAAATACTTCTGTTTGAAACTGGTGTTTGTTTTCCTATTTGCAGATCATTTAACATTTATATTATTCTCTGTCATGCAGACATGCTGAAAGCGTGGAATTTGTGTGATTTTGTTCTTGCTGATCTGTGTGATTTTTAGAGGATGTTTGGAAAGATTCAGATTTGGGTGGTTACTCTTGTCTTGGCTGCAGAAGTCACAACCCCTGTCCTCTCTCCGCTTAACAGGGAACTGTGCGTGTCTTGACCTGAGTGACCCCAGGGAAGCATGGAGGCACATGAATTAATACAAGGGAAAGCTACTCTATTCCATAAAGAGGATAGGATACCCCTGGAAGGATTCACTGATAGCCTCTTGATGAGAGCACGCCCAGGGGTTTTCCAGTGATGACCCCATCTGCAGTTTGCTCACAGCAAGGATTTCCTATAAAGAAGATGTTCTCCATGTGAGGGCTGGTTAGCTTTCTGCTTAGATTTTCCAGAAGCTAGAGTTTCCATATGAGGGGAGTCAGGGTGACTCTGGGCATTTGAAGAGGGGTGTTAATGTCCCCACTCTGATTGTAGATTTGTCTACCTCTCCTTTTAGTTCTTTTGACTTTTTTTTTTTAGAAGGTATGGCTTTATTTTAGTTCTTTATTATTATACTTTAAATTCTGGGGTACAGTGCAGAACATGCAGTTTTGTTATGTAGGTATACACGTGCCATGGTGGTTTGCTGCACCCATCAACCCATCATCTACATTAGGTATTTCTCCTAATGTTATCCCTCCCCTAACCCTCACCCCCCGACAGGCCTCGGTGTGTGATGTTCCCCTCCCTGTGTCCATGCATTCTCATTGTTCACCTCCCACCTATGAGTGAGAACATGCTGTGTTTGGTTTTCTGTTCTTGTGTTAGTTTGCTGAGAATGATGGTTTCCAGCTTCATCCACGTCCCTGCAAAGGACATGAACTCATCCTTTTTTATGGCTTCATAATATTGCATGGTGTGTATGTGCCACATTTTCT
Source organism: Homo sapiens (assembly GCF_000001405.40). Taxonomy (NCBI): domain Eukaryota; kingdom Metazoa; phylum Chordata; class Mammalia; order Primates; family Hominidae; genus Homo; species Homo sapiens. The sequence goes on from NC_000016.10 coordinate 29,244,692, forward strand.
CTTGATTTTTTATTGAATAAATACAGACTTAGGATTCAAGTATTTTTCTGGTGGATTGACCACTTTATCTGCAGAAAATGTCCCTCTTTGTCTCTGATGATGCTCCTTGCTTTATAGCTTTAACTAATATTAGACTAGTTCTTTTGGTTACTGTTTGAATAATCTTTAATTCCATATTTTTATCTTTCAAATTTTCTGTCCTATAATTCTGTCAGGCATGTCTATTGTAATCAGCATACGGACAGATTTTTTTTTTAACCTAGTCTCCAATAATTGTAGTCATTAAATTGGAGTAGTCTATTTGCATTTAATGTAATTACTGAAATACTTGCATTTATATCTACCATGCTTTCTTTCTATTTGAGCCATCTCTTTTATATCTTCCTTCTTTCATATCTTGCCTTTTAATTTTTTTTTTTTTTTTTTTTGAGACTCTTTTCACCTAGGCTGGAGTGCAGTGGCATGACCTGGGCTTGTTGCAACCTCCGCCTCCAGGGTTCAAGCGATTCTCCTGCCTCAGCCTCCCAAGTAGCTGGGATTACAGGCACCCACCACCACGCCCAGCTAATTTTTGTATTTTTAGTAGAGACAGTGTTTCACCATGCTGGCCAGTCTGGTCTCAAACTCCTGACCTCAGGTGATCTGCCCACCTCGGCCTCCCAAAGTCCTGGGATTATAGGCGTGAGCCACTACACCTGGCCAGCCTTTTTTTTTAAATCAATAAAAAAATATTATTCCATTATTTCCCTTTATTAACTTTTGCTAGTCTTTTAGTAGTTACCTTAGCGATTAAAACAGGTACTTGAAATGTTGCCTCTGCTACTCCTGGATAATGCCAGAATCTTAACCGCTATGACTTTTGTGTTTTTGTGGTCTTGCATTATTAATTCTATGTATACTTTAAACCCCACAATCCATTCCTATCATTACTTTGTACAGCTAATATTCAGTAAATATTCCTTCATATTTGTCCACAGATTTACTTTCTATTTGCTTCCTATTCCATTCTGCAATTTCATGTTTTCCTCTGGGGTCATTTTCCTTTTGCCCTAAGAACTCTCTTCCATATTTTTTTTTGGTACAGATTTTCAGACAACAAAGTCTCTCAGTTTTTACTTGTCTGAACATGTCTTTATTTCACCTTCATTTTTAAGATGATTTTCACTAGGCATGTAATTCTAGGTTGGCAGATACCATCTTTCAGCACTTTAAAGATATTATTTCAAGCCAGGTGCAGTGGCTCATGCCTGTAATCTCAGCACTTTGGGAGGCCGAAGCGGGTGGATCACGAGGTCAGGAGATCGAGAACATCCTGGCTAACACGATGAAACCCCGTCTCTACTAAAAATACAAAAATTAGCCGGGCGCGGTGGCGGGTGCCTGTAGTCCCAGCTACTTGGGAGGCTGAGGCAGGAGAATCGCATGAACCCGGGAGGCAGAGCTTTCAGTGAGCCGAGATCACGCCACTGCACTCCAGTCTGGGCAACAGAGTGAGACTCCGTCTCAAAAAAAAAAAAAAGATATTATTCCATTGCCTCTGCACTTCCTTAATTTCTGTTGAGAAGTTGGCTGTCAGTCTTATTGTTGATTCTTGGAAGACACAGAGTCTCTGACTGCATCTAAGATTTTATCTCTGGTTTTGGAAGTCTTCATATGATGTACCTAGGTGTGCCTTTGTCTTTATCATGCTTCTGATTGAAAGGGTTTTGGAAGCTATCTTTTCAAATATTGCTGCCTTTTTCATTCCTTACCTCTTCTCCAGAGATACTGATTACTGGTTGTTAACCTTTTAACTATGTCCCATTTGTCTCTAACATATTTTTCTATATTTTTTATTATTTTTTTCCTGTTGCTTCAGTTTGCTTATGTTCTATTAAACTGTTTTCCAGTTTACCAAGTCTGTCTTCTTCTTTGTCTAATCTGTGTTCTTCCTTTTAGTTTTTTTTTCTTCATAGAATTCTAAAATTCCCTCTGGTGAATTTCTTCATCTGTTCCTCTATTTTCCTGAGCTATGGTTCTTGAAACAAGGTTATTTGAAAGTTGTTGCTTGCAAAATCTGTTATCTGGATCATCTCTGTAGCTGCTTCTAAGATCTGTATTTTCTCTTGGTTTTTGGTCGTGTGGTCCTGCCTTTGGTCATGACATGTGATTTTTGATCGAATACTAAACACGGTGAATAAAATGCATCGTGGAGGCTCCAGCTGATGCTATTTTCCCACACAGAGGGTTTACCCTTCCTTGTGCTAGGATGAGACAGTAGTAACTCCTCTCCTTAATCCAGCCAGGTACTCTGCTGAGTCAAGTGGGGCTGCAGCCTGGCAAACTCTATCTCCTTTGAGCTTTCTGATCCTTTAGAGTTTTCTGTGGAAAGCATGATGTGTTCCTTGGGGCCCCAGTCTTTCATGGGTCCTGAAGTCTAAACATTGCCTTGTGACTCTGCTGAAATTTCAACCTACTTCCCTGGGGCCTTCCATGTATCCCATTTCCACATGACCCCAGTTTTCATCATGTGACTTGTGGGGAAACCTGGCCAGGTCCTTCAGGCACCCCAAGTCTCCACCAAGAGCTCAGCTCTTTCCTCTGTCCCCAGAAGTGGCCCTCCGTGGGTACAGCTCAAGATTCTCAGCCTCCTGCCTGTGCCCACAACTGGCAGATGCCCCTAGAGAGAAGGCACCTGAGACGTTGCTCCCCTTCCTGGTTCTCCCCTAGAGAGAAAGCATCTGTAGACGTTTGCTCACCTTCCTGGTTCTCCCCTCTCCAGAGTCCTCCAATACTTGACATGACCTCAGCAGCCTCATGATGCCTTCCAAAGACAATTTTGTGTCCAGTAGAGTTTTTCTAGCTGTTCTCAGTGAGCCATGGCCCCATGGTGGCCTCATTCCCACCCAGAACCTGCTACTGGGGTCCTGAAGCAGAGGGCACTGCAGGCTCCCTCGTGTGAGCGCATCCTTCAGCGAGATTGGAAAATGCCCAGTGTGCAGCCGGTGTCACGCCCACCCTGCTATAAAACCTGGAGAATTGTTTGTAAATGGAGGAAGTCATGGAGGCCTCAGATCTGCTGAGATGATTTGGGGATGATTTGCCGGGATTCCCACCGTATGAGAGCAGTGCCAGAGCTTTCTTGCCTGGATGAAGTGTGCTGCAAGCAGATGGCAGCCAGGTTACAGAATGCCACAGTGTGACCCATGACAGGAAGGGGGTGAACCGGGTGCTCTCATCCAACACTTACTGAGCCCCTGGAGCAAACTGATTCTCGTGATTTATCTCATTTAATCCTCATGACACTGTGAACTAATCACAGTTATGGTCCCATTTCACAGCTGAGGAAGATGAGGGAGAGGTCGCACTGTCCAGGTCATGTCACTTTAAGTAGCAGAGCCCAAACAGGAACCTGAGTCTGTGGCTCCAGGGCCTGAGCTCTGAGCCACCGTATAGCACAGACCTTGGTGCAGCCATGGGGCCCCTACACCCTTGAACATTCCCCCACAAGGGGATCCTTCCTGGCCTGGCTCCCAAATTAACTCTGGGCGTTTTTCCAACACATTGTTCAGTTTGGCTCCCACTTGCCACTTGCTCTCCGGGTCTCAAAATGCTGCCATCCACCTGCCCTGCACAGGGAGCCTCACTCATCCACTCACTGCCACCAGTAAGCACCACCCTACACCCAGCACTGGTCCCTGAATGGCCAGAGGGAAGACCACCCAGAACACTGGTGAAGGCATTAATCAGGGACCCAGTTCAAGCCAGGCCCTTCTGCTGCTCCCGCTCGGTGTCACTGTGAGGCACTGGGAGTGCCCAGGACACAGTGACCCAGGCCTGGACCTGCTGGCACGTCCTGGATAGAGCAGGACTCACACCAGAGAGATGAGGGCTTCGGGTAAGGACAGACCCGGGCTGGCTGGGCCGCAGAATGTCATCTCCTGCTAGCCGTGGCTTCCTCATCACCAGATCTATAAAAACAACTTCCCACGGCCGTGAGGGCTCGAGTGAGATAGCACAGAGGAAATGCTTCCCCACTTGTAAAACTCTCTCTGTGGGCCACTATCGTGCCTGGCTGCCACACTTCCTCTCCGCTCCAACTAAGGCCTCGCTGTTCACATGCAGGCAGCTCCCCGAGGAGGTTGTGGGGCCAGGATACAGGGCCTTGTAGACGAGCAAGAATGCATGGTCTCAGGGGGATGGGAAGCCTTCTGAGCGCTTCCTCCAGACAGTGCCGGAGAAGGGGCCTGGCTGCTCCTTGCCCCGGCTGCGGGCCAGCGTCCAGTCTGCTATGTCTCTAGCATGTGCCCCTCTGAGATCAGTGAGAGCCCCAGTCATGCATCCCCAGGGGTCCTGTAACAGAGGACCACACACCGGGGGGCTTCAAACAACAGAAATGCATCCTTGCACACTTCCAGAGGCCAGGAGTCCTAAGGCATCGGCAGGGCTGACTCCTTCTGGGGTCTCCGAGGGAGAATTCCACTCCATCCGCTCCCAGCTGCTGCTGGCCCCGGCTCTTCTCTGCTTATGGACACTTCAGTCCACTCTGCCTCTGCTGTCCCATGGATTTTCTCTTCTAAGAACACTTGTCATTGAATTCACAGCCCTCCCTACTTCAGAACAATCTCATCGCAACATCCTTAACTGAATCACACCTACAAAGACCCTTTTTCCAGATGAGGCCACTCTCACAGTCTCTGGGCCGTGGGCTTATTTTTTGGGGCTGCCATTCAACCCCCCTCATCACACTCTCACACTTTCTGAGCTGAGATCCACAGTAAGGAATACACTGTTTCATCTTCGCCCTAGGCACATACTCTCATCCGCAGCTGAAATGCAGTTTCAGAATGTGAATCCTTATTTCACGTTCTGTGTGGTGATGTTTTCTGTTTTCTCTCTTGCCTCCTCCTCAGCATTGGCTACACACCCACTAATTGATTCCCAGAGCTCACAGCCTGGATCAAAGTTGTTTCTTTGTTTTGTTTGTTTGTTTGTTTGTTTGTTTAGAGACAGAGTCTTGCTCAGTTGCCCAGGCTGGAATGCAGTGGTGCAATCACAGCTCACTGCAGCCTCAACCTCCTGGGCTCAAGTGATCCTCTTGCCTCGGCCTCCCGAGTAGCTGGGACTACAAGTGCATGCCATCATACTTGGCTAATATTTTCAAAATTTTCCTAAGGCTGGGCGCGGTGGCTCACGCCTGTAATCCCAGCACTTTGGGAGGCCGAGGCAGGTGGATCACCTGAGGTCGGGAGTTTGAGTCCAGCCTGACCAACATGGAGAAACCCCATCTCTACTAAAAATACAAAATTAGCTGGGCATGGTGGCACATGCCTGTAATCCCAGCTACTAGGGAGGCTGAGGCAGGAGAATCACTTGAACCTGGGAGGCAGAGGTTGTGGTGAGCCGAGATCGTGCCATTGCACCCCAGCCTGGGCAACAAGAGCGAAACTCCATCTCGAAAAAAAAAAAAAAAACATTCTAGAGACATGCTCTTGCTATATTGCCCAAGCAGCTCTTGAACTCCTGGCCTCAAACGATCCTTCCACCTTGGCCTCCCAAAGTGCTGGGATTATAGACATGGGCCACCACAATCATCCCAAAGTATTATTTTTGCAAAGCGTCAGCCTCTCCCTACAGCACCCAGCACCTGGGTTCCATGCTAGAGGAAGTCATCCTGATTTGTAAAAGAGGGTTGAAACCAGTTGCCTAAAACCTGCCACACAAGGGTAAAACCCTTAAGCATGATGATGTCCCAGCAGTGGTATTTGTGAGAGGGAAGAACTGGAAACAACCCAGGTGTCCCCTAATAGGGGAGTGATATGGTTTGGCTGTGTCCCCACCCAAATCTCACCTTGAATTATAGTGTCCATAATTCCCATGGGTTGTGGGAGGGACCCAGTGGGAGAAAACTGAACCATGGGGGCAGTTTCCTCTATTCTGTTCTCGTGGCAGTGAATAAGTCTCATGCGATCTGCGGGTTTTATAAGGGGAAACCCCTTTCTCTTGGTTCTCATTCTCTCTTGGCTGCCACCATGTAAGACATGCCTTTTGCCTTCCCTCCCCAGACACATGGAACTGTGAGTCCATTAAACCTCTTTTTCTTTATAAATGACCCAGTCTTGGGTATCTCTTAATCAGCAGCATGAAGAAGAACTAATACAGAGAGGCTGAGTAAACACCATGTGGGGTGTTTGCATCACTGAGTATCACACAGCCTTTTCACTCATGGTTAGAGACGGAGCAGAAAGGTGGACAGACACCCCAGCACAAAGCCGAGTGAAGAACTCTGAGGAAGGATGCGTGCTTGGGAATGATGCCTCGACCCTGGTGCCTGAAGCCGTGCCTGGTGCGTGGGGCGTCCCTGTTTGCTGAAGGAATGTGGGGACAGAGCACAGGAGCAAAGACTGGCTGGGACCGTGTGAAAGCAGCTCTCTGCTGCCTCTCATCCAGCCCGCTGTGTCCTTCCACAGCACTCATCTCAATTTGTGGTTATTTGACTTTTCTCCTGTCCCTCTGGGCCGTCCGCCCCCTTCGTTAGAATGTAAACTGTGTGGAGTGCAGGCCTCGCCTGTGTTACTGTGCCCTCATCTCAAGCTCAGCACCGCGTCCTGCCCTGGGGGCCCCCATGAACATGTGCCGAATGAACGAGCGGAGGAATGGGGGTTGGGGCATTTTTATTAGTTTTCCATTCGCCCAATCATTTCTAATGTGGATCATTTTCTTTCAAATGATAAGAGCGATGTTTACTTTTCTATGTTTGAAAATAAGATAAAATAAAACAAAAGACGCCTGTTGTTTTCTCGGGCAGGGATCTGAAGGGAGCCGAGCTCCTTCTGCAGAAGGGCGCTGAGAAGGGAGCTGGAAGGAAAAGAAGGAAACATTCCTTCCTCAACTGGAGGAAGACACGCGGCCACACACAGAACCAGCGGCCCCAGGACCGTCACCCTGCGTGCCCGGGCCTGTCCCTCCTGACCCCAGGATTATAGTGGCGAGGCAGGGTGTTAGCCAAGCGGATTGAGCCAGGACACAACACCGCGGAGCCCTGCAGGCGGTGAGTGATTTCTTCCTGGTTTTTAATGTCACTGTTGGCGCGGATGAGGTGTGAATCTGGGTCTTGCGTCTGTAACGTGCGCCGGAGGAAAGGGCCTTCTTTCTGTTTCATGGTCCCCAGCAAATACTTGGGCAGTACAGGAATGTGGGCGGGGTTGGGGGCTGGCCTGGGTGTGGCCTGCAGCGTGGCACTTAGTGGTAAACCCGTCAGCTTCTCTGATGAGGAGACTGAGGTGCAGAGAGGCAGAGCAGCCTGGCAAGCAGCAAGAGGGCGTCTGGGCTGCACCTCAATCCAGGCTCGCAGGGTCGGAGCCCAGCAAGGCCGCGAGCTCTGCCCGTGTGTGTCTCTGTGTGTGTGTCCATGTGTGTCTCTGTGTAAGTACGTACATATGTAAGTGTGCACGTGTGTGTCTGTGTGTAAGCATGTACACGTGTCTCTGTGTGTGCACACACATGTGCCCTGGGCCCACAGCCTTTTTACTGCTTATCTGTGAAGCGCCCAGTGGGTCCCCAGCGGCTCAGGGTGTTGAGGGGCTCAGGATCTGCTGTGCTCTGGGGAGTGGAGGTGCCCCAGCCTCACTGCTGGGCTCACGTGGCTCAGCCCCATGGTGGGATGGTGGGGCCCCAACGCTAATCCTAACCCTAACCTCCGCCTCTGACCATGCAGGATGTGAGCGTGGGCTGCTCCGCTCCCCACTCTACATCCTCCTCACTGGCCCCTCTGCCCCTTCCCCTCAGTGCCTACGGGCGCCTGGCGCAGGGATCACCCGACCCTCTCAGCAGTTTGGACTCCGCCGAACCTCCGTTCCCCACTGGCTTCCTCAGGCCACCTGCCCTCAGCCAGCCATAAATGACTGGCTATCTTTGAGTTTCCTCAAATATTCTAAAAATCACACTTGTGGCACCCACTGGGAGTTGGGTTCTGATTTCCCGATGTGGCTGAATTCTGGCTGAATCCCTGCATTGACTCGATTCAGAGTCCCTGAGGTTTAAACTTGAGACACAGTCTCCACTGCTTATCCCAAAATCTTGTATAGTGCGAGGCATTTTGAAGGAGGCTTTAGATCAAAGCCCCCCTTTCTAATCGCCAGAAGGGAATTCGGTGGGCAGGGATTGGGGAGACCCTTCAAAGGGAAGGTGAGGGGCAGGGAGGGTGGAGGGCTTTGCCTTTTTCGGGGAGAAGATGAATGCAAAGGGGGTGAAGGAGGAGCCGCCCATGCCCTCTGCTGCAGCCTGTGTCTGTGGCCCCCAAATGTGTGTGTTGAAACCCCACCCCCAAGGCCATGGTGTTGGGAGCTGGAGGACATGAGGATGTGGCCTCGTGGATGGGATTGGTGTCCTTACAAAGAGGCCCTGGAGAGATCCCTGCCCTTCCCATCACATGAGGACACACAGGAAACACTGCCTATGAACCAGGAAGGGGCCTCCCCAGACACGGACCTGCCAGCATCTTCATCCTGGGCTTCTAGCTCCAGAGCTGCCAGCAGGAAATGTCAGCTGTTTGCAAATTGCTTAGTCTCGGGTGTTTTGTTATAGCAGCATGTATGTACTAAGACAGCCTCCCTGACAAGTCCTGAGGTCTCTGGCAGCTGGACCTTCCTGGCTGTCTCGGGACACCCTGGCTCCCTGCACATGGCAGAAGGGCTTTCTCTGCAGCCCCAGGATGGTGGCCCCCCACCTCCCCAGGCTGCAGAGTGCCTGTCACAGTGGCCCCGCTGGTGTCTGGGGACCTTGGTCCATGGTCACTCATGAAACCGAGCCAGAGATTTTTCGCAGGCATCTGTGCTGGGGATGGAGGGTGCTAAACGTCTTCCACCTTGTTAAAGTCCTGAATCTTTTTGGACAGTTGTTTTGGGTTAAATTGTGTCCCCCCAAAAGGCATGTTAAGGCTTCACCCCCAGCACGCAGGATGTGAGCTTGTGAAAATGGGCCTCTGCAGATGTGAGGAGGGTGAGGTGAGGTCGTTAGGGTGGGTCCTTAGGAGGCTGGGAGAAGAGAGGCGTAGGGGAGAGGCCACGTGCAGCGGGAGGCAGAGGCTGGCATTGTGCAGCTGCCCACTGAGGACCCCCAGGATCGTCAGGGCCTCCTACAGCTGGGGTGGGAAGGGAGCAGACCCTTCCCAGCGCCTCCAGAAGGAGCTGGCCCTGCCCTCACCTTGATGTTGGGCTGTGACCTCCGGAGCTGGGAGAGAGGAGTTCCTGAAGCTTTGCAGCACCCTAGTCTGTGGCCCTTCCTTATGGCTGCTCAAGAGACCAGTGCGGCCCTCCTTCTGGAAAGCAAGTGTCACCCTCCAGACACCGATGGTGCTGGGTGATGCTCCAGATGCTCGCCCAGACCTCGAATGTCCCCTGGCAGACAAGGCTCAGGAGGGCCAGAAACAGGCCCTGCCCGCCCCCCAACCCCCACCTCCAGCTCCATTTCCTCCTCCCTTCCTGCCTTTAGTGGTTTCACCGTCTTATTTGCAACCTGCGTACTTCACCTCTGAGTTAAGAAGTGTGGGTTCCAAAGCAAAGGGCGTGTGGGAAATCACGCACCACAGTCTGCACGTTTAAATTCTAGCCCCCTGTGTTCCACCCGGGAAGGATTCCCAAGATATGCCCTGCACGTTTCCACCCGTGCCTCCTCCACGCCAGGGCCTGCGCGTTTCCACCCGTGCCTCCTCCACGCCGGGGCCTGCGCGTTTCCACCCGTGCCTCCTCCACGCCGGGGCCTCCATACTTTGCAGCCACTGCAGGGATCCCTGCGGCCAGAGCTTGCTGCCTCTGTGTCTGAAAGCCCCTTGCCCGTCGTGGGGATACATAAGGGCGGGCACCTGACTAGTCTTGTTCCCACTGTCTCCCCAGGGCCGGGAACAATTCTAACACAGGAAGAGAGAGGAAGCGGGGAAGGGGGAGGAAGGAGGATGGAAGGAGGCCGGGAGGACCCGTCAACCGCCACTCAGCCGTGCCTGGCCTCAGGCTGCCCCCACCCCTTCTCTCTGTCTCCTGGCTCCTAGCCTGGGAGGCCGACACCGGCCTCCAGTCCCTCCCTCAGCTTCTCCCTGTCTCCCCGTCTCCCTGTCTCCCTGTCTCCCCATCTCCCCATCTCCCCATCTCCCCGTCTCCCCTTCTCCCTGTCTCCCGGCCCCCGGCCTGGCCCCCGCCCCTTCTCCCTCCCTCGAGTCTCCCCACTGCCCCGTCTCCCTGTGTCCCCATCTCCCCTTCTCCCTCCCAAGGGTGCCTGCCTTGATGTGTATTTTCCATATTTTCGTCTCTGTGGTGACGTCCCCAACAATGATGGAGATGTTGTTTCCCGTCACCGCTGTAACAAATGCCACACACCGGAGGCTTAAAACAACAGAAACGTATCCCCCACAGCCCTGAAAGCAGAGGGCTGGCATCAAGGAGCCTGCCCGGGGGTGCCAGCCATCCTCGGCGTTCCCCGGTACGCCGGTGCACCCCGCCAGGCTCTGCCTCCGTCCTTAGGGGACCTTGGCTCACAGGTGCACCCCGCCAGGCTCCGCCTCCATCGTTACAGGGCGTTCTTCCTTCCATGTCTTCATGTGGCTCCTCCTTTTCTTATGGGGACACCCACCGTTGCATTTAGGGCCCCTGATCCAGTATGACCTCGTCTAAGCTGAACTGATCACGCCTGCAAAGACCCTCTTTCCAAATAAACCCACCTTCTGAGGTCGCAGGAAGACGTGGCTTTGGAGGACACTGTTTGGCTCACTGGGAGGGTGTGGGCTGTGGAGCAGGGGGACCCTGCCTCGCTCCTTGGTGCTGCCTGCCAGCTTCACAGGCTCCGAGCAACGGGATGAGGGCCCCACTGCGCAGGTCGCCCTGTGGGTCCCGTGAGACAGCACACACGGCGCCTGGCATGGGCGCTGGGTCTGGGCCCTGGGGTGTGTGTTCTGGGGCCTTGCCTTACAATGGCACCTGCCCCGCAGGACTACTGCGGGATTCCTGAGATAAGCCCGATAGCAGCCCTGTCAGAGCAGAGGAGAGGGCACGGCAATGGTGGTTTACTCTCTACTCTCAGACAAGCTGATTAAAGCAGAGACGCACCCCTAGGGAGGAGAATATTTTCTGTAACTGATTTTGAAAGCTCATCCTGAGTGTCCAAACCTGGCAACTTCTGTTTTTTTGCAAAATATTCTCATTATGAGAAATTTGGAAAACACATAAAAGTAGATAAAGGACCAAAAAGACACCAAAGCCAGCTCTTACTCATCTTCTGGAGAGTTTCCTTCCGGCCTTGCTTTGCTCCCCCTGTGAATTGTTTCAATAGTTGGGATTGACCTGGAAAACAATTTTCATACAACTCCTGGGAGGCTTGCCTGTGTCAGATGTCATAAATGGGTTTTATTTTTAATGCAAGACACACCAGTTTGGCCATGGGCTCCCAGTGTCTGGGTGGACGGGGTCTGGTGAGGCAATTCGGGGGCTCAGCAGCAGCATCAGGCAGAAGCCAGGCAGGGAGGGAGGCACAGCAGCCGGGCGCCCATGTCTGCCGTCCTCACCGTCCTTGTCAAGGTAAGAGCTGAGCCATCTGCAGTCCACAGTCAACAAACAGCATTTAACCCATCACCTCCCTGGGACTGCAGACTTTTCCAAAACTTCAAACATGAGAATTTATTTTGCACTTCACTAAAAATGAATCAACTTAAAGGAGAATAAAAAAGTCAAACCAAGATAAAGAGATAAAATCGATGTAAATATTTTCACCAATTTTCCAATATTTTTCTCGAGAAAAAAAACAACCGGAGAGACTCTAGTGAAGGTCTCGACAAGACATGGCGTTTGTGCTGGCTCCAGCCTCCTCCGCGAGCAGCCTGTCAGGCGGCAGGAACCTGCCACTCCTGGGAGCAAAAAGCTGCTCTCGGGAACCCTCCTGCTTCTCGGGCACACCAGCCCTGGGAGGACTTAGCGATGATCTGGAGGAAAAAGAGGCTGCACGAGGTTGGAGGCAGCTTGTTTTCCGTTCCCGCCAAGACCCTCTGTGGTCATTCCGTGCGGTTCTTGTGCTAGTCCTGTCTGAATGATGAGTGTGTGTGCGTGTGTGCTGTCACAAGTGTGGATGTCATGCGTGTGTGCTGATGTCACATGTGTGGATGGCACACGTGTGCTGATGTCACGCGTGTGGATGTCACACGTGTGTGCTGATGTCATGTGCGTGGATGTCACGTGTGTGCTGGTGTCACGCATGTGGGTGTCACGCGTGTGGATGTCACGCGTGTGTGCTGATTTCACGCGTGTGGATGTCACACGTGTGGATGTCATGCAGGACCGCAGCTCCCTCCTCACCAACAAACTGCTTCCCACAACAATGGTGCCTCTGTGCACACCTCCTCCTCCACTCTGCCCCGCTGTGGTCCAGGAGCCCAGGGAGGGTGAACAGCAGGGACACCCCAGCAGGTGCAGCAGGGCCGGTGGCTCTCCCGGGGGCACGCTCTGTTCTGGAGGACTCTGTGCCACTCTGGTTGGGTCTGGGATCCAGGGCAGCAGCCTACTTTCTCAGGGCCCTTTCTCTCCGGTCCTCATCCACTCTCCATCGGGAAGGCTTAGACTGTTTCCAAAGTCCGGTGTCCCTTTCCCTCCGGTCCTCATCCGCTCTCCATCAGGAAGGCTCAGACTGTTTCCAAGGTCCAGGTGTCTTTGGCTTTCATTGACGATGGAATGAAGATTTTGGGTTCTAGTCCCGCTCGTGGTTTTCCCAGAAATTCCAAGGAAGAGAACACAGCAGAACCACCCTTCCACCTTCAGCTGGAGCCTGGAAACAGCCAGAAAGGGCTGATCCAAGGCTGCCATCTGCTGTCTGCTTCAGGATTGCTGAGGCGGCCTCTGGCCTCTGGGCCTGGGCCCCCAGAGGCAGGCCTTGGGAGCAAGATTTGGGGGTGACCCCAGGCAGCCCTGGGGAGTGGGCAAGTCAGGCAGGGAAGGAGCTGTTAAGGGCTGATGAGCAGGGGTCACTGTGGGTAACTGGGCTCTGAGCCTCTGGGGACTCCCCTAGAGGAGCGGAACATGGAACGCACCAAGGAGTGGGCAAGTTGGGTGGGAAAGGAGCTGATGAGGGCTGATGAGCAGGTGTCGCTGTGGGTAACTGGGCTCTGAGCCTCCGGGGACGCCCCCAGAGGAGTGGAACATGGAACGTACCAAGGAGTGGGCATCTGTCCCGCAGTCCCCACACGCTGCTGAAGCAGCTGCTCCCATGGCCTCCCTCCCTGGCCCCGTGGCCTCTCCTGTGGACAGGGAGCAAGCTGCCTGGCAGAGGCCCCGACTCTCACAGCGGGAGCTGTCAGCATGCTGGGGACGGTGAGTGCCAGGTGCCATGGGCCAGAGCCTTTGGTGTAGGCTCTGGCGAAGGGACCCAGGACACATGCCTGGAACTCTAAAAGTCCTGGGAATCTGACATTTCACACGGGAGAAAACCTCAGACCAGCCGCACGTGCCCTCCCCTCCCCCAACACACACAAGCCCTTCCCGGGCTGGAGAGATGGTGGCTCCTGGTGGTCATGCCAGTTGGTTCATGCTCATCAGAACCCATGGATGGAATTGCCTGGGGGACTTCCAGGGTAGCAGGGGAAGGCAACACTGTTGCCCAAACAGGAGGAACAGGACCACATTGGTCAGAGCCCAGCAGGAGGGAGACAGCACCTGGAGGAGGGCTTCACAGTGCTGAAAAGGTTTGGGCGGGGCTCAGGGAACCTGTGTGAAGGGACCGAGGACCCTGTGAAAGAGAAGCCCCATCGCCCTAAGCCTGAAGGCTGGGGTGGGACTGGGGTGGTGTCCTTTCTTGGAATCCAAAGAGGACAGGTGTGTCAGTGCCATGGGGCTGCGACGAGATGACCACAGGCTCACAGCTCTGTCAGCTCTGGAGGTCAGAAGTCTGGCACACACCTCGCTGGGCTAAAATCAGGGTGTGTGAGGGCCGGTTCCTCCTGGGACCTCCAGGGGAGGGTCCTTTTCTTACCTTTGTGGCCTCTGAGGCCGTTGCACTCCTCGGCTCATGGCCCTTCCTCCACCTTCCAGGCCAGCAGCGCAGCCTCTTTCCATTTCTCTCTGACTCTGTGTTCCTTCTCACACCTGCTCCTGCGGTGACTCTCCCTGCCTCCCTCTTCAAGGACCCTGGGATGACACTGAGCCACCAGGACAACCCAGGGCCACTCCCATCTCAAGAGCCTTCACTTACTCACCTGCTCAGTCACGTCTGCATGTAAATATCACCAGGGAACATATTCCCAGGATCTGGGATTAGGATGTGGGCATCTTTGGGGGCTATTATTGAGCCAATAACAGTAAAGTCTGAAGGTGCCGTGATGGGCTTTTTGGGGTGCAGCCAAGCCGCAGGAGCCAGAGAATGAACACCCGGCCCCAATCTCCCTGCTGCCACCCTCTGCATGGACCTAGGCATGGTGGACCCTCCGGGCAGCCTCCTGGACCTGGAGCCTGGAGGGAAGGCAGGGCGGGCGCGAGGAGGGTGTCTGGCCCTCAGACCTCGACCACGCAAAGGCTGGGCACTGCCAACGTTGACGGCAAGGTCCCTGCTGAGGCTGCAACAGTTCCCAGGTTCAAGAAAACTAGAGCATGAAATCACGCTGAGTCCTGCCACTTCTTTCCCAGCCTCAATCTGAGGGCAGGATGAACGGATTGCCCTGCACAGCCATCGGGCTGTTTCAGTGATTACCTGGATGTTTAGAACACAGATTTTAAGAACCTCCCCCACCCAATACGGCTGGTCAATGAGAGAGACACCACTTTGGGAGGTGGCGTCAACAGCTCCCCTCCCACCACCACCACGCCTCCCAATTCCCTGGGACAGCTGGACCAGGCCTGGGACTTTCGGGGGTGTCCAGGCACTGGCCACTGCAATCTCTGGAAAAAGCAGAGAAACCCCAACATCTTTCCTCCATCCTGATTAGGCCTGGCCTTTGCGGAAATCATTCCTGTCCCAGTTAACGCTGTCCTTGTTTTGAGAAGAGGTGCCCTGGGTGCAGTGATGCATGGGTAGCAGGCTGTCCGGGAGCTCTCTGCCTGACAGAGGGTTAGCCTGCGGCAAGAGGGTAGCTGCAGAGTGAACAGGCCACGGCGGCTTCTGCTGGCCCTGAGAACGCCCTGCCTGGGGCTGGGTCGGGTCTGTTTGGCAGCATTGCCCAGATTGCAACTCATGTGTCCTTGAACAAAGTCAATGTGTTTTTCCTCTCCAGAGCCCAGCAACTATCTGACATTCGGAGCTGCTCTTCAGGGTTCTGGGCACGTCGCATATTGCGCCCCAGCCTTCTCAGCAGCCAGGAGCTGGGAGGTGGAGGGGCCTGTGGTCTGGCCGCCACCTAGCAGGCCTGCATGGCCACCTCCAGCCGGGTGCAGGCTGGCTGGGGTGGGGCTGCCCTTGACCTTGGGCTCTCCCTCCTCCGCCAGATCCTCAGGCGCTGGCTCAGCCTCCCACGGCCTGGGGGAGCCTCTGTCTGCTCCTTCCAGCCGTTCAAGGACGAGGCTTCCGAAAGACTCACTGTTCCTGTGTGGGGAACTGAGGCTGTGTGAAGGCTGGATGAACCGCTGCTGTGGCCTGGTGAGAAAGAGGCTGTGGGCACCCACAGTGCCAGAGAGCCGTCCCCGCCGGGTTCTTTGTGTGTGTAGCCTCGTTTCTGCTTCTGTTTTCATTGTGGGGCTTGGGAGGAAATCGCCAACCTTCAGCACTGGGGCAGCCCCACCATGGCCAGTGGTTTGTCAATCCCTTTTGTCCCTGCCTGTGTCCAAAGTCTGGGGGCCGCCTGGGAACCTGAACATCATTGCCGTCTTCCTGGCCTGGGCCGTGGGCTCACTTTGTTATTCCTCTTGGAAATTTGGCCAGGCCACCTTGGATGGGCCCCAGGCAGCAGGGGGCTACTGGATGCCGTGTTCTGGAGGTTTCTGCGGGAGGGAAGGCGCCCAAATGTATAGCAGCTGGCCTTGACTGGGTTCGGTTTTGGTGAGGGAGTTTGATTAGGCTTAGGGCCGCCTGGGCATGAAACAGGATCCCAAAACCTCAGCCCCATGACTCTCCCACTCTCCCACCAGGGGAAGGCAGATGTTTTGGGGCCGTGATGGGCTGGCCTGGCGGTGCCGAGGTGCCTGGAGGCAGGACTGTTTCAGGACCCCGATGGGGACGTAGAGGATGCGGGAAGCCCATGAGTGCCTCCTGTGCGCGAGCGCTTTGGTGAGCGCCGTGCAGCCGCCTTCTTGGTTGCTGGTGGACGTTCAGCCCTAATACCCTGCTCTCTCGCCCGCAGCCCCATCTGAAGCCCCTGAAATTTGAACCTTGGTTTAGGGATTTGGCCTGTTTGTCAGTGGGTTTTCCACATGTGGTTTCCACAGGAACTTTTGCTGTTTAAGTGCTTTTTTAAACGATGAAGTTATCTTTTTCCTATTGGGATGAGCTCACTGGCTTTTGTGTGGGCTGCAGGCGCTGGGTGATTGGAAGGGCCATGGACTTCTGAACCCAGAGGAGAAGCCCTGTGTACAAAAGCCGCTGGGTCTCAGCAGTCCCCGAGGAGGTGGTTGTGAACGTAGCACCAACTTCTTTGATCTTCTGAGATCGCTGCGTTTTTCTAGTAAAGCCCCCATGGAAAGCTTAGCATGCAGGCAGGTGGGTCGTGGCCTCCCTCTTGAGTGAGCTGAAGGATTTAAGAACTGTCAGCTTCCTATATTATAGATGGGATGGGGTTTAACGTCTGCAGCAGCCAGACTTCGTAAGGGCCAAGAAACTTGTGTGACCTTGTGTGATCTTGAGGGGCAGGGAGAAGACCTTTAGCTCAGAACGGCGCAAAGAATTAACGCTGAGGATGAAGCCAGGGAGGGGAACCAGAGCCGGAGCCGGGCTAAGCCAGTTCCCACCTCCCATCTTGCAGCGCGGACCAGGGCTGACCGTGGCACAGCCTGTGGATCATCCACCAGGAGTGCCTGAGGGGACCAGCTTGGACGCAGCCCGTGGGGAGCTGGGCGCGCTCTTCTGGAGCTGGACGGCCTCCAGGGTCCCCTCAGAGTGTCTCCGATGGGGAGGCTGGACACAGCGTCCCTGCACCAAGGGGGCAGTGCTCTCGTCACAGAGCAGAGGGCCGCACCGCCCGTGTTTGTCTTTCCCATTGCAGCTTCTCAGGCCCTAGGCCAGGCCTCGTTCCCATCAGATAAAGCCTGGGGCGGCCGGACGCAGTGCAAGCAATCGTGCCTGACTCACAGGAAGGGAGGAAAACAGGAATTCACGCAGAAGCTGTAATGTTCCCCCTTGGCCCTGGGAAGGGTGTGAAGGGATGTGCGGGGGGGCGGCTCTGCCCTTCCTCGCCCCCTTCCAGGTGCCTAGACTTGGGAAGGAGAGGGATGCCGCCAAGCTCGGGTCCTGCAGGGCCCCGGCCTTCTGGTGTGGGATCTGACTTGGGAAGGCCCGGCGCTGGGGCTGCTGCTGAAATTCTTGAGACTGGTTGACAAGGGATCCCGTGGTTTCATTTTGCACCGGGCCCCTCCAGGGATGGAGAGGGTCCTGACTGGCAGTGTCGAAGCCCCGGGGTCTCTCCTTGGTCCCTGGCTCCCCTCACAGCCCTCCCTGCCCATGGAGCTCCGGGCTTCCACACACATTTCTCTCCTTTTTAACGGCTCATTTCTTTGGGTTCAGCAGTACCTGGGTCCCCAGTGCCCTCCTTCTGAGGCTCTCTCCTTTGAGTGGCCACCCTCCCCCCACACACTTGGAGCCCGGAACCGGGAGTGCCGTGGACACCAGCCCTCCCTGGCCCAGACCCTCTGCCTCTCCTGGGCCTCCCAAGAGTAAAACCTCTCCACGCCAGACCAGGCTGCAAACCTGGATTTGAAACCAGCGCTGTCGCACTCCTTGAACTGTATCAGGGGTTTTCAGTAGCGGGACCGGAACCAGAACCCAAAAGAGGCTCCTTCCTTGTCTTGAATTCCTCCCACCTGAGTTAGCATCTTGGAGGTCAACGTTTCAAGGAATTCAGTATCTGAGAAGAGAAAGACACCAAACCGTAGTTCCCCATGAGGACTTGTTGCTGGAAAAAACATCTAACTCCATACAATGTTTGAAGAGAGTTATTCTGAGCCAAATGTGAGAAGCATGACCGGTGACACAGCTCCAGGGGGTCCTGAGGACATGTGCCGCAGGGGGTTGGGCCACAGCCCGAGCTCATACACTACGGGGACAGGAGGTTCAGGCAGAGTCAGTCAATACTTGACAGATGTACGTTGGCTCTGCCCAGAAAGGCGGGACGACTTCAAGGTGAGGAGGGGCTTCCTGGTCACAGGTGGGTTCAAAGACTTTCTGATTAGCAATTGGTTGAGAGAGTTAAGTTATTATCTGATCACCTGGACTCAATAGAAAGGAGTGTCTGGATTAAGATAAGGGGCTGTGGAGACCAAAGTTCTTATTCTGTAGAAGAAATCTCATAGGGGGCTGCCCTTCGAGGCAATAGATGGCAAATGTCTCCTATTGAGACCTTTGAAATGTGCTAGACGCTAAGCCCATCTCTCCAGCATCAGAAAAAGCCCTGGAAAGGGAAGAGGATTCTCTACAGAATGTGGATTTTCCCCACAAGAGACAGCTTTGCGGGGCCGTTTAAAATTATGTCAAACACTCTATTCCTTCCAGGACCTGCTCCCTGTCATGTGATGTTATACTAGACTCGGGTTGGAATTTGGTGTCTTATTGCTACAAACAGCCTGTGCTGTCAGTCTTAAACTCTCGGTTTTAATGTGAGTGCTGGTCAGCTGGGCCTGAATTCCATAGGGAGGGGGGTATAAAGAGACGTGTCCGACCCCCACTTCCCATCACAGCCTGAACTTGTTTTTTAGGTTTACTTTGGAATCCTCTTGGCTGAGAAGAGGGTTCCATTCAGTTGGTTGGGGAGCTTAGAGTTTTATTTTTGGGCTGGGCACGGTATCTCACGCCTGTAATCCCAGCACTTTGGGAGGCCGAGGCAGGTGGATCACCTGAGGTCAGGAGTTCAAGACCAGCCTGGCCAGCGTGGCAAAACCCCATCTCTACTAAAAATACAAAAATTAGCCAGGCGTGGTGGTGGGTGCCTGTAAGCTCAGCTACTCGGGAGGCTGAGGCAAGAGAATCGCTTGAACCTGGGAGGCGGAGGTTGCTGTGAGCCGAGCTAGTGCCACTGTAGACACAGCGAGACTCTGTCTCAAAAAAAAAAAAAATTATTTTTGGTTCACAGACTTAAAAGAATCAGTGCTCTGCCAAGCAAGCCAGCATCCCTCTAATTTTTTCTTAATTAATAAACTATTTTTAAGAGCAGCTTTAGGTTTCAGAAAATAGAACAGATAACAATTACCATATCCCTTCTCTCCATCCTCCCTTGCCCTCCAGTTCCACTACTGAGAACATTCTGTGGGTGCTGACAGATGAATCATGGCACACGATCCCCATTACAGTATCACAGAGCAGCTTCCTGGGCCCCTAAATCCTCCATGCTCCTGCCACGCACCCTCCCTGCCCTCCTTGCTCCTGCCATGCACCCTCCCTGCCCTCCGTGCTCCTGCCACTCACCCTCCCTGCCCTCTGTGCTCCTGCCACTCACCCTCCCTGCCCTCCGTGCTCCTGCCATGCACCCTCCCTGCCCTCCTTGCTCCTGCCACTCACCCTTCCTGCACTCTGTGCTCCTGCCAGTCACCCTCTGCCCAGCCCCGGCAGCTGCTGATCTTTCTTGTTTTCATGGTTTTGCCTTTTCCTGAATGTCATGGAGTTGGAATCACACAGTATCCAGCCTTTTCCAATGGGCTTCTTCACCTAGCAGCATCTAAGATTCCTCCCTGCCTTTTCACAGCCTGGCAGTTCCTTTCTTTTTAGCACTGAAAAATATTCCATTGTCTGGAGGGACCCCAGCTTATCCGTTCACCTATGAAGGTATCTTGGTTTCTCCTAAGTTTCTGGAGATGATGAAATCCACCCTCTAATTTTCACCTGTTTCTCTGTGCTCCGCCCCTCCCAACTGGGAGCTCTGACAGGGAGGGGGATGCCCACGCTGCCATGTGGCCCGCAGCACCCACTCACCCTGTGTCTGCTGAACTGCATGGTAGGGAACAGAAGGGAGGCTGGAAGTTCCCCGTGGGAAGGGAGAGAGGAATGAGCCCTTTTGTCCCTCTGTCGGGTGGAGAGCCGCACAAGTGACACACAGGGGTCCCTCCCTGATGCTGCTGGGAAGGAGGCAGGAGGAAGGGATGTCCCAAAGTGGGGCGCACAGACCCTAGATAGATAGACCCTAGATAGACCCTAAATAGACCCTAGATAGACCCTAAATAGATAGATCCTAGATACATAGACCCCAGATAGACTCTAGATAGACCCGAGGTAGACTGCCCGGGTCTGTCCAGGCCAACTTGAGGGCTTCCCTTAGGAGGCAACTGTCCAGGTCCTCTCTGGGTTGGAGACTGGGGTTTGCCAATCACCACTTAATTTAAACTCTTTAAAATGTATATATCTGAGAACATTCAGGACCAGAAGGCAGTGAAGTTGATAGCTTCCTATCAACCCTCTTAAAACCATGGAGATCCCAGCCTTCTCTGCAGGGAAGGGGGCAGAGCCCGGAGCCTGACCCTGGGGCAGCCATGCCCTGTGATAATCCACCAGAGCCCAGGAGCCCACTGTCCTTGTTGAGAAGAGCAGGCGCCTCTGCTTTGTAGTGGAATCACTGCATACAGAACATGCTTCTGAAAGTTCCTGCCCCTCAGCCCTGTGGAGATCCGGCCTCCCTCCCTCCATGGCCTTGGCTGTCTGCCCGGCTTCAGGAGATACAGTCCAGCCTCCTTGGTGACTGTGTGAGGCTGGGTGAGTCACTGCCCCCTTTCTGACCTTGTCTGATTCATGGTAAAACGGGCTATGAGTAACTGGTTTAATCTTGCACATGAACTGGGATTGACTGGTAATGGCTGTCTGGAGTCTGGGTCTAGCTCTGTGTAGATTAGACATGTCTGCCATGGTGCGGGTGAGGGAGGTGGGGTTGTGCCGAAGTCTCTGCCATCGGCTATTCTCTGGGGTTTTTCTACTGGTCCTACTCGTTTTTGTTCATTTTACAATCCAGAGTTGTGAGTTGGGTAGATCAGCTGGGAAAAAATGGAAAAGTAGTTGTTTTAATTATTTCCCCTTTATGTGGTTAAAAAGAAGATGAAGAAGATTCTTTAAGTTCTAGCATTGACTGTTGAAAGCCACTTGTATAAAAGGTGCCAAGAACTACAGGATTCTTTCATCTACTGCTTTGCTTCAGGTGAGACTTGGAATATGATGGGATCAGGAATGGGTCTGAGTGCGAATTTTCATGATGGTCTCTTTTTTTTTTTTTTTTTGAGACGGAGTCTCGCTCTGTCACCAGGCTGGGGTGCAGTGGCATGATCTCGGCTCACTGCAAGCTCCGCCTCCCAGGTTCACGCCATTCTCCTGCCTCAGCCTCCCGAGTAGCTGGGACTACAGGCACTTGCCACCACGCCCAGCTTATTTTTTTTTTGTATATACATATATATATATATTTTTTTTTTTAGTAGAGACAGGGTTTCACCGTGTTAGCCAGGATGGTCTCAATCTCCTGACCTCGTGATCCACCCGCCTCGGCCTCCCAAAGTGCTAGGATTACAGGTGTGAGCCACCATGCCTGGCTAACAATCACTGTGGTCTCTTAATGACAGTGTTATCTTGCATGCCCAGAAATTTACATTATTTCCAGCTTGAAATTGCCCAGCTAGGTAGGTATTACAATCTGATGGTGGAAAAGCTCAGGCAGACCTGCCCAGGCCCCATTGGCGGTGGAGGGGCTGCTGCTCTGGCCTGTGCTCGGGGCCATCGATCCTCCTGCCCAGAGAAGAGCCAAACACCCATGCCCATTGGTGACTGACCCTGAGCCGGCGATGCTGGCTGCCTATGATGATTTAAGGGGGTGATTCTCAAAGCCTGCTCTGTCCTGCCAGCCCCAATCAGCAGTGGGAGGTGCTCCCGGTCATTTCTGGAGGTCAGGATGTGTCTTCTCACACGGGTTTCTTTCACTTAGCCACAGTGTGGCCTGACCTTCAGAAGTGAGTCACTTGAGGAGGAGTGGGAGGAAGTCCAGTCATTCCTCTAATAATCGTGTGATGGGGGAAGAGAGAGAGATTTGGAGGGAGGGAAGGAGAGAGGCAGAGAAAGAGCATGTTGGGAGAGAGGCCACAGCTAGCAGCTGACAGTTGCCCAGGGCTGCGTGGGGAGGCTGACCTTTCTGTATGGGATCGGTCACGGGCATGCTGACCGCCTGGCCTCAACACTGTGCCCACCAGGTGCAAGAATTGAAAAGGGAATGTACTAATATGCAGAACGTGGGGTCCACAGAGACGCAGATGCATCAACCAGAGAGCGAGAGAAGCGTCTCTGGAGCTGGGATAGGCCACTGTGTAAGATGCAAGGCTGGAGAGTGGGTATCTGCCAACCCCAGAGCCCTCAACATAGGGGAAATTAACCGCTCCAGGCGGAAGGCAACTTAGGGACGTTTTTGGAGACAGGCACATCACCACTGTCACCTGCAGCCACGGGCAACCGTGAGTTGGTTTGAAGGATGGTTGAAAAGAAAAGCCCCTTGTGCTGGAAAAGTCCTTCCCAGCCCACTTCCCCACCCCTGCTGACGCCAGGGACCCTCAGTGTGCCCCAGGCCGCACCGCCAGCCCTCTCTCAGTGGGGGTAAGAGACACACAAGCTGCCTGCCACCGAGGCCCACCCCAGGGGCTGGGCAGAAACCCCATCTTCCTGCAGGCCCTGGCTGCCAGGAGGGCCACCCACACCATGTCAGACGCTGCCTGGCAGGGCTCTGCCATTGTCCCTGCTTGGTCACGGAGCAGCATGGGTTAAAAGTGCTATTGTTAGGCCAGGCGCAGTGGCTCACGCCTGTAATCCCAGGACTTGGGAGGCTGAGGCGGGCAGATCACTTGAGGTCAGGAGTTTGAGACCAGCCTGAGCAACATGACAAAACCCTGTCTCTACTAAAATTAGCTAAGCGTCATGGCACGCACCTGTAATCCCAGCTACCCAGGAGGTTGAGGCAGGTGAATTGCTTGAACTCGGGAGGTGGAGGTTGCAGTGAGCCAAGATCACGCCACTGCACTCTAGCCTGGGCGGCAGGGTGAGACTCCCTCTAAAAAAAAAAAAAAAGCCCTATTGTCACATGAAAAGTTTATTTGTTGGGGACCTGTAAGGCTCAAGAGAATGAACCCAGACTTGGTGGCAGCTCTGTTGGTGGCTGAGCTCTAGGGACAGTGCCCTCACTGGGGTGGGCTCAGGTGTCACCAGGGCCCAGGCGACAACTGGGGAGCCAGCACTGAACCAGACACGGTGGTTGTCCCTCCCTTGCACTCATGACAGGCTCAGGGTCCTGGCAGGCACTTGCAGAGCCCACTGGCAGGGAGTGTTGACATCTGGTCCCCAGCCATCCCGATCACACCACTGATGTCATCACCTTGTACCCCTGGGATGCTCCATGGCCTCTCCACCATGCACACTGGAACATGGGGAGAAGGATGCCGTGTCTGAGGTGGTATGAGATGACAAGGAGCATGCTTGGGGCCGGTGGAACAACGTGCTCCCAGCTGCCCCTGCCCTTCAGGGTGAGGGACCTGCTCCAGCAAGTTCAGGGCCCCGTGGAGACTCAGCCTGGAGAGGAGAGGCTCAAGGGCTCCTCCCGGAGTTCTGGGAATGTGTGGGAGTTGGAGGCACCCTGCGGCTAGAAGGCACTGTTTCCCGCTGCTGTGCAGACAGGACGGGAGGAAGGGGGTTCATGCCGTACCCAGGGGATTTGGCGAGACAGTTAAAGGCTGAGCAAGGAGCTCATGAGGCTTTGGTGGGGCTGGCATGGGTCCCCCAACCCTGGAAGTCGCAGAGAGCACCACCTGCAGGTGGCCCAAGCCATCCTTCAGGAAAGGCACTCAGAGCCCGGCACTCTGCAACCGGCTCTAGTGGTCAAGGGTGAGGAGCCTGGAGCCCCACGCTGGGCCCGAAGGTTCAAGGGCTTCTCATCAGCGGCTTCTCATCCGTCTCACCCTGGTCTGCGGCTTCTTCTCTAAATGCATTTTCAAAATTCAAAATGCATTCAAAATTCTTCAACAATGCATTTCCGCACAGCTCTGGAGGCCAGAGTCCAAGTCAGGGTGCCGGCAAGGCTGGCTCTTCTGAGGCCTCTCCCTGGCTTGTCGAGGCCGCCTTCTCCCTGTGACCTCACATGGCCATCCCTCTGTGCATCTATGTCCTAATCTTCTCCTAGAAGGACACCAGGCAGATTGGACTGGGGCCCACCCAGATGACCTCATGCTACCTTAGTCACCTCTCTAAGCCTGTCTCCAAATACAGTCACATTCTTAGGCCCTGGGGGTTAGGACTTCTACATGTGCACTTTGGGAGGACCTAGTTCTGCCCAGAGCAGATGGGAGGGAGCTCCAGCCTGACCACCGCCCCCTTTCCCAGGCAGGGTCTTAGGCAGCAGCGGGTTGAGGGTCAGCCTGGTTCCCACAGCAAGGATGCTAGCCATTGCCTGAAAGCATGAGGCATCTCCGGCACATGGGGCTTGGCACTGTCTCTAAAGCCCAGGGTGTTTACACATTCCTGTCATGGAGGGGAAAACCCAAGGAGCAGCAGCCTGGAGCACGCATTCACCCCTGCCTGCCGGGGCTTCGGAAGGAGCTAGCTGGGAAACCATGAGTCAAGGAAAATCCTTTATGGAATGAACAAAAACAAAAGGAACAGAAGCCTTTGACTCAGCTCACCGAACCCCACAGGGAGACACTGACGCGGTGGGGAATGTCTACCCGCCTTGTGTCCCCAAACTCACTGCTGGCCAGCCCTGGTATTCTGCATCCCCTGGGTCCACTTTCTGCTGCTTTATCATCACTGCTCATGACAGGGCTCAGCAAATGGCTCACGAGGCTGGAAGACAGTGAATTGTCCTTGGCTGGTGGCCAGCTCATAAGCTCCTCACGTGACCACCATAGAGTGGCACCCACCTGAGATAGTCAGTGTTGGTCCATTGGTCACCAGTGCTGAGAGATCCATTTACAGCCTGACAGCACTCACTCTAAGCCTGCTCAGTCATGGATGCCTGTCCCACTGAGCTCTTCCATGGTCATACCAGTAGGATCCAGTCCCTGTCTACAAGAGGGTTCTGGCCACAGTTGGGATATAAGATGTACCCACCCCTTCTGGAAGTTTCCTCAGATTCTCCAGGCACAGAGCGTCCATCAGTTGTGTTCACATTTGACACTTGTCCCCTCCTCTGTAGTCATCTGCTGATGGACCTCCCCAAGACTGCATTTCTCAAAGACAAGTGAACTTGGGTTCCCAGGCGAGCAGAGGGAGTAGAGCATCTCCTTCAACCCCATGGTCCCTGCATGTACATTAGCAGGTGGCCCAGAGGAGATGCCTCCTCTGTGCTGTTTGGATGGATTGGTGGGTGGGTGGATGGGTAGATGGATGGGTAGATGGGTGGACAGATGGGTGGATGGATGGATAAATGGGTGGATGGGTGGATAGATGGGTGGATGGAAGGGTGGATGAATAGATGGATGGATGCAAGGATGAGTGGATGGATGGATGCATGCATGGATGGATGCATGGATGGATGGATGGATGGATAAAGGAATTGGTGGGTGAATAGATGAATAGGTGGATGCATTGATGGAAGGATGGATGGGTGCATGGATGGATGGTTGGATGCATGGGTGGATGAGTGGATAGGTGAACTGATGGAGACTGGCTGGATGCATATATATATATATATATATATATATATATATATAAAAATGTATGTGTGGATGGATGGATGAGTCAATGGGTGAATGGATGGATGTACATATGGGTGAGTGCATGGATCATGGGTGGATGGGTGAATGGATGGATGGATAGGTAGATGGCTGAATGGGTGGGTGGGTGGATGGATGGATGGATGGGTGCATGCGTGGATGGGTGGATGTGTGGATGAACAGACAGATAGGTGGGTAGGTGGATGGATGGGTGGATACATGCATTTATGCATGCATGGATGGGTGGGTGGGGGTTTGGGAGGGTGAATGCATGGATGGATGGGTGAATGGATGGATGGATGAATGACTGGATGGGTGGGTGGATGGATGGATGGGTGGATGAGTGGGTGAGTGGATGGGTGAATGGGTGGATGGATGGATGGGTGGATGGGTGAAAGCATGGGTGGATGGATGGATGGATGGATGGATGGATGGATGGATGGATAGGTGGATAGATGGATGGATGGGTGGAAGGATGGGTGGGTGGATACATTGATGAGTGGGTGGATGCATGTATTCATGGATGGTTGGATCAGTGAATTGATGGATGGGCAGGTGCATGGCTGGATGGGTGGATGGATGCATGGATGGATGGATGGATGGATGTGTGGGTGTCTAGGTAGATGGATGTATAAGTGAAAGGATGGGTGAGTAGATGCATGAATGCATGGATTAGTAGATGGGTGGGTAAATGGGTTTATGGATGGATAGATGAATTGATGGGTGGATGGGTAAGTGGATGAGTGGGTGAATGGATGGTTGGATGGATGAGTGGGTGGATGGGTAGCTAAACAGAGGGATGGCTGGGTAAGCATAAAACAGTCACCTAAGTTTGACAACTGGTGCATATTATATGCCCAGTGGCATGGCTCAGAAAGTTTATGATTTAGGAAAGCAGAAAAACTTATGGTCCCCAGGAGATGTGGAACTTGGTGCCAATGACTAGAAGAGACCCTCTGAAGTAGTGCACAACCCTGGGACACCAATATATCACTGCTAAAAGGAAGACCATGAACTGATCAGAAGACCCATCAGAAGACTAGGCCTTGTCCTACAGCCCCAGCACTCCTGAGCAGCAGGACACACCCGTAGGGCAAAGGAATTTTGTTTCCGAGGGAAAGAGCATTTGGTCTCTGTGGACCCTTCATCAAGGGTCATGTTGCTATGAGGGAGGGGAGAAAAGAAGGGGTGTGTTCTGAGGGGATTGAGTCCTTCCTGATGAAGATGTCTCAGCAGAGGTACAGTCATGTGAGCCTGGTGCAGCCTTGCTGCAGCATGAGGAACTTAGGGCAGATGTAGTAAGGACTTCGGGCTATGAGGATGATTAAGTAGAGGAGGAGGCTGTGACTCAGTCCTGCAGGCTGTGGGAGCAGAGCTGTTTCTCATGGTCTGCTGCTTGCTGGAGTCTGGCTCCGGAACAGTTGGAGAGAGGATGCGTAGGCTCTTGGCCTCTCCCTCATGGACCGTCCTCCCGCACCGTCCTCCCGCAGCCCCTGTGAGACTCAGCAGGGCTGAAGTTCACTGCTGTCATCTCCCTCTATGGGTCCTGGAGATGAGCCCTGAGGCTGGGAGGTCAGCTGCCCAGGAGAAATCCAAGGCTGACAGGCAATAGTCGCCTCTGAGCTTTCCCAGATGAGTCACCACATGACGGTCACCTTCCTCATCCTCCACAAGCCCAAATCCCGAAGAGGGGAATTCTCATCCCCAAGTGTCCTTCTCCCCCTTGCCTACAGAGCTCATGAGTCAAGACTCCCCGGCCTATTTTTAGGCCATTTCTTCAGATCACACGGTGGGCAGAGTTTGTTTACTCTGGATCAGAGCTGCTCTGGGAACTCTCCATGCAGCCACCAGACACTAGAACAAAGACCAGTGAGGAAGGATGACTGAAGTCCAGACATTGAGCGTGTCTGGTGTGTGTCCCGGTGACAAAGGCAGCCGAACAGACCACAGGGACTGGGGCTAGAGCAGTACATAGCCCTGGGACATCCTCCTGCCTGGCTCAGCAGCTGGAATGATTGCTTTGGCTCATCCAACAAAAGCAGAGAGGACGCATCGCCTGGGCGCCATGCAAAGATTATTGGACACAGGAAGGTCAGCCAGTGCTCAAAGGTCCCTCGTGCAGCCATCAGCTCTGGCCCCAAGCCCCTGGAGGGCCTCATTCATTTCTTCTTTGCTCCCCATGATGTTCTGAGAGCAAGCCAAGGGCAGGAGCTCCGCCTTGCCCATGTTCATAACCCAACTCTACCACCAGAAAAGACTCAGTAAAGTCTGTGTTCATTCACTTACTCATGTTTTCATTCATTAACTCATCCCTTCTTTATTTAACATTTGCTGTGCACCTGATGTGTCAGGTACCAGTTCCATCTTCAGGAAACTTTCCCCAGGAGACTGGCAGAAACAGGTGTGATGAGCATCATAGTGGGGGAGCAAAGGAGCTGGGGGACCAGGAACCCCATCTCAGAGCAAGCCAAGTAAGGATTCCCGGATGAGGGGAGAATTTGTTGAAGGACCTGTAGGCATCAATCAGGCATGGAGACGGGTGGTAGGAGGCTGTCTTGGCACAGTGGTTCTCACACTTCAGCCTGCATTAGAATCGCCAAGAGGGCTTGCTAAAACACAGATCACTGGCACCAACCCAGAATTTTTGATTCGTAGGTCAAAGTGAAGCCCAGGAATTTACATTTTCAACAAGTTTTAGTGATGCTGATCTGCAGGTCCAGGGACCACACTTTGAGAACCACTGCTTTAGGGAGCAGGAGCAGCAAGGGCAAAGGTAAAGAGGTGACTGTGAGTGAGTGAATGAGTGAGTGAATCAGTGAGTGAATGAGTGAGGGAATAAGTGAGTGAATGAGGGAGTGAATGGTGAATGAGTGAGTGAATGAGTGAAGGAACAAGTGAAAGAGTGAGTAAATGAGTGAGCGAGTGAATGAGTGAGTGAGTGAATGAGTGAGTAAATGAGTGAGTGAATGGTGAATGAGTGAGTGAATGAGCGAATGAGTGAGTGAATGAATGAGTGAGTGAATGAGTGAATGAGTGAGTGAGTGAATGAGTAAGTGAATGAATGAATGAGTGAATAAGTGAGTGAGTGAATGAATGAATGAGTGAATGAGTGAATGAATCAATGAGTGAGGGAATGAGTGAGTGAATGAGTGAATGAATGAGTGAGTGACTGAGTGAGTGAATGACTGAGTGAATGAGTGAGTGAGTGAATGAATGATTGAGAGCGAATGAGTGGATGAGTGAGTGAGTGAATGAGTGAATCGTGAATGACTGAGTGAATGAGTGAGTGAGTCAATGAGTGAGTGAGTCAGTGAGCGAGTGAGTGAGTCAATGAGTGAGTGAATGAGTCAGTGAGTGAATGAGTCAGTGAATGAGGGAGTGAGTAAATGAGTGAATGAGTGAGTGAGTGAATGAGTGAGTGAGTGAGTGTATGAATGAGTGACTGCTTGGGTGAACCCAGCTCCCATGGTTGGGTCATGTCCAGATTTGAGTCTTCCCAGCTGAGCCGCCAGACTTCCAAATTCCTGACCCTCGGAACGTATAAGCATTGTTCAGTGGTCGTCCCAAGCTGTGACGCGGCTGGACGGAAGGCTATCAGAGCAGCCAGCCTCAACCAAGTGGGAGGCCACCCACACAGGGCTGCTCCAGTGGGGTTGGAGAGACAGGCCACAGCCAGGTCAGAGACAGATGAGAGCCAGAGAACCAGTCTCTGACTTTGGGGGCTTGTGAACCAACCAGTGGGATACACAAGGAGAGAAATAGAATTGGCCATTTTTAAGGGAACGGAGAAAGCACTCTTAGGGTGAGAGAGCTTGCCTTCAACGTAGAAGGGCATTTAGTAACCACTGTGAAAATTATCAAGAAAAGTTCACAGCTGAACCAGGCCTCATAGGACCAAGCGTGAAAAAGGCGGTCAAATGGATCTGTGTCTTTGATAAAAGCTGTGAGCAGACATTCTGGGACTGAAATATTGGTCCAGTTTCTCTCTCAGAGTTGCAACACTCTCTAAAAATTCCCCCCAGCTGCCAGGCACAGTGGCTCATGCTTGTAATCCCAGCACTTTGGGAGGCCAAGGCAGGAGGATCACTTGAGACCAGCCTGGGCAAGATAGTGAGACCCCTGTCTCAAAAAAACAATTCCCCCCAACTAATTTTAACTTGTGTAGAATGTATAAAACTTGAGTGTATGCTATAATAGTACCATGAGAGAGGAAGATGGGCTAGTTATAACATTAAATAAAAGAGAGAGTGTTATAACATGTTTATGAACTCAGCATCATGGAACTTTGGAGTTAGAAACCTTTGCATTTATTCATCTAGACTCCCCCACATTGCAGATAAGGAGACGGGTACAGGGAGGTCCAGCCACTCATTTCAACAGATCAGCCAGTGGTAGCAGAGCGGGGATCAGAAGCCAGCTGTCGGGCTGAGGCAGGTGCCCTTTCTCCACTTCAAAGCTTTTCCTTTGTCTGGCAGGGATGATCTCTCTGTGTGCGCACCATGGTCTCAGCCTCAGTCTTTCCCTCCCCTCTGTGTCCCTCGGCCTCTCTGTCCACCTTCCTCAGTGTGTCTGTCTCCCTCTGTGACTGTGTGTCCGTGTGTCTTGGCCCCTGGCTGTCTCACTCTCACGCTGCACACACGTCTATGCGCTCTTTTTAACCCCACATCCATTGCTGATGCCCCAAATGAAATAGCCACAGGGATTATCCAGTATCCCATGTCCCAGGTGCCCTGAGCCACTGCTGGATAGTAGCTCCACTCCTTTTATGGGTAAGATAACAATATGCCATCAATACCCACAGACAGCTTCTGTTTAAAAAAAAAAAGAAAGAAATGGGGTCTCAGGCTGTTGCTCAGGCTGGAGTGCAGGGCCACAATCATACCTCACTGTAGTCTTGAACTCCTGGGCTCAAGCCATCCTCCCACATTAGCCTCCCAAGCAGGACTCCCAAGATGGGACTACACCACAACTACCAATTTTTTTTTTCTTTTTCTTTTTCTTTCTTTCTTTTCTTTTTTTTTTTTTTGAGTTGGAATCTTGCTCTGTCACCCAGGCTGGAGTGCAGTGGCGCCATCTCGGCTCACTGCAAGCTCCACCTCCCTGGTTCACGCCATTCTCCTGCCTCAGCCTCCAAAGTAGCTGGGACTACAGGTGCCTGCCACCACGCCGGGCCATTTTTTTGTATTTTTAGTAGAGACGGGATTTCACCGTGTTAGCCAGGATGGTCTCGATCTCCTGACCTTGTGATCCGCCTGCCTCAGCCTCCCAAAGTGCTGGGATTACAGGCGTGAGCCACTGCGCCCGGCCAATTTTTAAATTTTTTTATAGAGACAGGGTCTTGCTATTTTGCCCTGGCTGGTCTGGACTCAAGTGATTCTCCCTGCTTGGCCTCCCACATTGCTGGGATCACAGGTGTGAGCCCCTGCACCCAGCCCCCATGACCTGCTTCTAGATCATGTGTGACTCCTCCTCACCCCAAGGCCCCTGTGCCAAGTGCTCCTCCCTGACCTTCAGCATAGCTGGTTCCTTCTCGACCTCCAGGATTTGGGTTGAAGTTGGCTCCTCAAATGAAAACGTCGCTTACCTCTCATTATTCTCTGTCTATCCCTTTTTAAAATTAAAAACATTCTTACTTTGCAATTCAAGTATAATGTATGTGCAGAAAAGCAAAGTTGTATATATCTAATGCAAAGCGTCTTCACAAAACAAAGCCACCAATCAGATCAGGAAACGGAACAAGACCAACACCCCAGAGATGCTCCTACTGCACCTCCGTGGGACTTCCCTCTCCTCTTCACTAAAGGCGCTGCCATTTTCACCTCTATCACCTTGAGTTAGTCTCGCCTATTTGAACTTTATATGAGTGGAATCATATCACGTTATTCCTGTGCATTAGGCTTCTTTTGTTCAATATATTTTTTGTGAAGAGTTATTCATTCTGTTACATGTAGCTCTAGTTTATAATTTTTATTGCTGAATAGTATCTCATTTTGTGAATATAAAACAGTTCGTTTATCCATTCTGTTGTCGACGGATTTGTTTATACTGCCCGGGCTTCACTGAGATTCTTAGAACTGTAAATTTATGTTTTGCACCAAATCTGGGAAGTTTTATGTCATTTCTTCACATATTTTTCCAGTGACTTTCCCTCTCATGCCTCTGGAATTCCATTTCCACATAGGCTGCACTGCTGGCGGTTTTTGCATAGGTTTCTGGTTCTATTCCTTTCTTTTCAATAATGTTTACTCCATTTTTCAAATTAAGTAATTTGTTTTCACTTATTTTCAAGTTCTCTGATTCTTTCTTCTTCCAACCCCAATCTGTTTAAAAACTAGCAAGTTTTTAAAATCTCAGTCATGGTACTTTTGAGCTCCAGATTTATCACGTGTCTGTTGTAGTTTCTGTTACTTTGTTGAGGCTTCCTACCTGTTTGGGGTTTTTCCATTTTTGGGTTTTTTTGTTTTGAGATGGGGTATTGCTCTGTCCCACAGGCTGGAGCACAGCGGCATGATCTCGGCTCACTGCAAACTCTGCCTCCCGGGTTCAAGCGATTCTCCTGCCTCAGCCTCCCGAGTAGCTGGGACTATAGGCACCTGCCACCACACCCAGCTCATTTTTGTATTTGCAGTAGAGACGGGGTTTCGCCTTATTGGCCAGGCTGGTCTCAAACTCCTGACCTCAGGTGATCCACCTGCCTCAGCCTCCCAAAGTGCTGGGATTACAGGCATGAGCCACCGTGCCCGGCCTGTTTGGTTTTTGATAGCACATTTTCCTTCAGCTCTCTGAACACATTTATGACATCTCATTTCAACTCTCTCTGTGAAATCCATTATCTGGATTAACTGGGAATCATTTGTTCTTGAGCACGAGTCACACTTCCCTGTTTTGTTGAATGTCATTTAACATTTGAACATTGCATGTGTCATGTCTACATGCACGTGTCAGGTAATCTACATGTAGAATGTAGATGCTATGTCAGCAGCAGCTCTGGAATCTGTTGTGTTCTTCTGAAGATTGTTGCTTTTTTTGTTCTAACAGCTGTCATGTGCTGGATTCTAAGGACAAACATTGCCATCTCTGTGGTAAGCAGCTAATGTCCCTGCTGTCTTTTTTTTTTTTTTTTTTTTTTGAGATGGAGCCTTGCTGTGTCGCTCAGGTTAGAATGCAGTGGCGTGATCTCGGCTCACTGCAACCTCCACCTCCCGGGTTCAAGCAATTCTCCTGTCTCAGCCTTCTGAGTAGCTGGGACTATCAGTGCATACCACCACACCTGGCTAATTTTCGTATTTTGAGTAAAGACAGGTTTTCACCTTGTTGGCCAGGCTGGTCTCAAACTCCTGACCTTAAGTGATCCACCTGCCTCAGCCTCCCAAAGTGCTGGGATTACATGTGTGAGTCACCGCGCCGGGCCCCTGCTCTCTTCTTATGGCTGCAGCTGCTGATTTTTAAGCCTGAATCCTGGAGATTTTCCCTGCACCTGTGCAACGGGGCAGGCAGCCATGGATCTGGGCTAAGGCTATGCTCAGATTTAGGGTCTCAATGTCTCAGTGGCTTCCTTGCTTCCAGTGAGTACTCCTGAATTTCCACAGCTCTGCCAGCTTTGGGCTCTGTCCTCTTCAAGCATCTACGGCTTCAGGTGTCTGCCTCTTGAGCTGCACACAGCTGGGGCATGCACTCATTTAAAAAGGCAGCAGCACACAGACCTTGCCCTGTGCAACTCCATCTTTCAAGAAGTGCCTCCACTCTGGCGTTTCCCTGCTTATTGGTGGCTGCCTGGGACTCCCTCTGCATATGCACAGTCTAATTGTCAGCCAGGGATTTGGGCAGAGCTCACCCTGGATGTGGAGTTTCAAGCCAACTTTTCTCACTGCCAAGATCTCCCCTGTATGTATATACTCCACACCCAGGCAGTCTTGCCCCTCATCTCTGGCACCTGGAGTCTGTCGGGCTGTGATTTCCACCAAGGCTGTGCCGTCAAGACAGAAAGCTGCAAACTCACAGCTCCTAACACTTCCATTTGCAGTTGACAGTCACCTCTCCTCTGGCTTCTCTTGGCTTCTCATCTCTTTATAGAGTATTTAAATCATCACTGTTTACATTTTATGAAGTGTTTGGAGTTGTTATCTGCGGGAAGGTTCACATAACCACTCAGCTCTCATGCCATTCCCGGAAGTTCTTTTCTAAATACTTAAGTATGTTGATATCTATAGAGACTATGACTTCATTTGAATGAAGTATATATACACACATGTGTATGCGTGTATTACTGAAGCATAACTTACAGTAATAAGCACATATGTTAAGTGTGTGATTTGATGAGTTTTGACAAATGTATAGCCTATATAATCAACACTCATATGAAGACATAGAACGTTTTTCACCCCAGAAATTTCTCTCATCTCTTTTCCAGTCAGTTCCACCAACATCTCCCAGAGGCAGCCACTCTTTGAATCTCTATAGCCTGCGTTACTTCTGCCTTTTCTTGAACTTCCTTTAAGCAGAATCCTATAGCTTATGTTCCTTTGTATCTGCCGGTTTTTTGCTTCACATGGTGTTTTTGAGATTAATTTATGCTGTTGTGTATTTCAGTGGCTCATTCCTTTTTATCACTGAGCAAGAGCCCATGGGATGAATGAATTATCACCGTTTCAGGTCACTTACTTGTTAACATTTGAATAGATCTTTGGAATGTTAGAGGGGTTTTGACTGTCACGAATAAAGTTGCTGTCAGCATTCTTATCCATGCCTTCTTGTGGCCACGTTTCACTTCTCTTATGTGCCTACCTAGGAATTGAAATGAGGGGTCACTGAGCAGAAGACATTTTGCCTATTAGAAACCCTCGCAGAGATTTCCACAGTAACTCCCTGACGATCAGTGAGGGACCTGGTTGTCCTGCTTCATTACCTACACTTGGGCTTGTCTTGTTTTTTCCTTTTAGCTCTTTTAGTGAGCGTGAGGCTGCATCTCACTGTGGGATTTGCATTTCTAGTTCCCTGATGACTGATGATGTGGACCCCCTTTTACTGAGCTTAGGGACCATTTGTGGATTTTCTTGCATAAGGTTGTGTTCAAATCTTTTGTCCATTTTTTGTTGTTGTTGTTTTTGTTTTTGGAGATGGAGTCTCATTCTGTTGCCCAGGCTGCAGTGTAATGGAGTGATCTCGGCTCACTGCAAACTCTGCCTCCAGGGTTCAAACAATTCTTCTGCCTCAGCCTCCTGAGTAGCTGGGATCACAGGCGCCAGCCACCATGCCTTGGCTAATTTTTGTATTTTTAGTAGAGACAGGGTTTCACCATGTTGGTCAGGGTAGTCTCGAACTCCTGACCTTAAGCAATCCTCCCACCTCGGCCTCCCAAAGTGCTGGGATTACAGGCGTGCGCCACCGCGCCCAGCCCTTTTGTCCATTTTTAGCAGGTGGTTTGTCTTGTTCTTACTGGTTTGAAGCAGTTCTTTATATTATTTGATGATCAGTTCCATGCCAAATCTACACTGTGAATATTTTCTCCTAGTCTGTAGCTTGTTTTTTTTCCCATTTCCTAATAGTGTTATTTAATGAGCAGAAATTATCAATTTTGATAAAGCCAAATTTAACTTTTTTCTTTTCTGGTTAGTACTTTTGGCTTCTGTCTGATAAATACTTGCCTATCCCAACATCACAAAGATATTCTCTAGTGTTTTCTTCTGTAAACATTATTGCTCTAGGTTCTATGTTTAGGCAACAATGCATTGCGAATTCATATTTGTGCACAGATTGAGATAGAGGTAGAGATTTATTTCCTTCCACGTGATCACCAATTGTCCCTGCACCATTTATTAAAAAGTCTTCCCTTTTCCAAGTGAGTTGCCATGATGTCTTTACTAAAAGTCAGTTGTATATATGGGGTCTATGTCTAGATTCTCTAATTTTATTGAACTATTTGTCCATTCATACACCAATATAATACTTTGTTGATTATTGTATATTTATAGTAAGTCTTAAAGTCAGATAGTATAGCTCCTCTAATTGTGTTGTTCTTTTTAGAGATCATCTGGCAGCCAGCATGGTGGATCACGCCTGTAATCCCAGCACTTGGGGAGGCCGAGGTGGGCAGATCACTCGAGGTCAGGAGTTCAAGACTAGCCTGGCCAATATGATGAAACCCCGTCTCTACTAAAAGTACAAAAATTAGCCGGGCATGGTGGCACATGCCTGTAATCCCAGCTACTCAGGAGGCTGAGGCAGGAGAATTGCTTGATCCTGGGAGGCGGAGGTTGCAGTGAGCCAAGATTGCATCATTGCACTCCAGCCTGGGTGACAAGAGTAAAACTCTGTCTCAATAAATAAATAAATACATAGGCTATTCTAGATCCCTTTGCATCTCTGTATAACTTTTAGAAACAGCTTATCAACTTCCACCAAAAAAAAAATCAGCTAGAGTTTTGATTGCAAATACTTTGAGATTACAGATAAATTTTGGGGAAGATTAACATTGTAATGGTATTGAGTGTTTGAATCCATGAACATGGTATACTTCTCCATTTATTTAGGTCTTATTTAATTTCTCTCAATAATGTTTTGACATTTTCAGTGTAAAATTGTTCAGTAGCTTCTTTCCTTAATATACAACCATGTCATACATAGACATGTACGATATGGGCTGTGCTCTCAAATTGCTTAGGGTCCGATAGCTGGGAGAAATAAAAAATCTTGGACAATGAGCCCAAGTAATTTAAGACATTCACAGTTGGGCTGTGGGTTGCTCTTGCCAATGTGCAGATGCAGGCTGCATATGTTGCAGGGTCCTCCTCATTCATTCCTCAAACATTTATCAAGCATCAGTGATATGCCCAAACGCTTAGAATATAGTGCTAAGCCAGATGGGTTCTATGGGAAAGGAAACTCAATAGTAATGATAATTATGTGCCAGGCATTTTCTACATGCTTTCCCTGTGTTATCTCATATCATCCCAACACAGCTATAAAGAAAGTGCTATTTTTAATAAACTTCATTTTTAGAGCAAAGTCTAAACCTCTGTTTTAAGTTCACAGCAACATTGAGCAGAAGGTACAGAGATTTCCCATATATCCTCTGCCCCCACACAGGCATTGCCTCTCTCATTATCAACAACCCTCACTAGAGTGGTACATTCATTCCAGCTTGTAAACCTACACTGACACATTATTATCAACCAAAGTCCATGGTTTACGTTGTAAGAGTTAAAGAAAGAGGAAAGAATCATGAAAAGTGGCTCAACAGTCCAAGATAGGTTTATTTTGGAGAATAAACCTGAGAGGAGCTTCTGGCCAATTTCAGTCAGGAGTGCTCTGTCTTACAGACTAAGAGTATGGAAGGGTTCAGGGCGAGAGAGCTTATCACAGCCTTAGGATGTTTCTGTGTGGAGGAGAAGTTTATTACAGGGTTGGAATGTCTCTGGTTGGAGGGAAGGTTACCTCTGGGCTGGCATGTCTCTGGTTACGGAGGGGTTTATCTTAGGGTTGGCATGTTTCTGGTTGGAGATGTCATTTGTGATTTATGGTCATGCTGACATTAGCCATTAGGCTGATGCCCCTTGGGTTGGATTTAGGCCGTTTTTGGTCATGGGGAACTTTAAAACAGTGGTACTTGTCCAAAATGGCGATGCTCCTGCTCTGTCATACATCAGGGTTCATTCCTGGTGGTGTACATTCTGTGGGTTTGGAAAAATTTCTAACAATATCTATCCACCATTATGGTATCATACAAAGTAGTTTCACCGCCCTAAAAATCCTCTCTGTCTTGCCTGTTCATCTCATCCTCCTGCCAGCCCCGGGCAACACTCATCTTTTGATGGCTCTCACAGTTTTGCCTTTTCCAGGATGTCACACAGTTGGAAGCACACACTACGTAGCCTTTTAAGACTGTCTTCTTTGACTTAGTAATATGCACTTACGTTTCCTCCACATCCTTTCATGGTTTGCAGCTCATTTCTGTTTAGTGCTGAATAATGCTCCACTGTCTGGATGGACCACAGTTTATTATCCATTCACTTATGGAGGGCTATCTTGGGTGCTCCCACATTTTGGCCACAGTGAATAAAGCTGCTATAAACATCTGTGTGTAGGTTCTTATGTGAATATAAGTTTCCAACTCCTTTGGGTAAATATCAAGGAGTGTAATTACTGGGTGGTATGGTAAGAGCATGTTTAGCTTTCTAAGAAGCTACCAAACTGTCTTCCACAGTGGCCACACCATTTTGCATTCCCATCAGCAATGAGTGAGAGTTCCTGTTGCTCCACATCCTCGCCCAGCATTTGGTGTTGTCGGAGTTCTGGGTTTTAGCCATGCTGTTAGGTGAGAGGCGATATCTTATGCTTATTTTAATTTGCATTTCCCTGATGACATGTGTGATGAGGAGCCTCTTTTCTTCCTTCCTTCCTTCCTTCCTTTTTCCTTCCTTCCTTCCTTTCTTTCTTTCTTTCTCTCTTTCTTTCTTTTCTTTCCTTGATGGAGTTTCACTCTTGTTGCCCATGCTGGACTGCAGTGGCACAATCTCAGCTCACTGCAACCTCCGCCTCCTAGGTTCAAGTGATTCTCCTGCCTCAGCCTCCTGAGTAGCTGGGATTACAGGCATGCACCACCATACCCCACTAATTTTTTTTTTTTTTTGTATTTTTAGTAGAGAAAGCGTTTTGCCATGTTGGCCAGGCTGGTCTCCAACTCCTGACCTCAGGTGATCTGCCTGCCTTGGCCTCCCAAAGTGCTGGGATTACGGGCGTGAGCCACCGTGCCCAGCCGGGAGCATCTTTTCGTATGCTTATTTGCCATCTGTGTATCTTCTTTGGTGAGGCATCATTTAAGATCTTTGGCCCACTTTTTAAATTGGGTTGTTTATTTTCAAATTGTTGAGTTTTAGGAATTCTTTGTATATTTTGGATAACAAGCCTCTCTTCTCAGATATTTCCATCAAAAATATTTTCT
The DNA here is from genome assembly GCF_000001405.40 of Homo sapiens. Taxonomy (NCBI): domain Eukaryota; kingdom Metazoa; phylum Chordata; class Mammalia; order Primates; family Hominidae; genus Homo; species Homo sapiens. Next base: position 29,283,428 of record NC_000016.10, read on the forward strand.
CCCAGTCTGTGGCTTGTCTTTTCATTTTCTTGGCAGCATCTTTCACAGAGCAGAAGTTTTCATTTTAATGAAGTCTAGCTTATCAATTATTTCTTTCCTGGACCCTGCCTTTGGTGCTGGATCTAAAAAGTCATTGCCAAACCCTAGGTCATCTAGATCTTCTTTTATGTTATCTTCTAGGAGTTTTATAGTTTTTCATTTTTCATTTAGGCCTGGGATCCATTTTGAGTTATTTCTTTGTGAAGGTCCATGTCTAGATTCATTGTTTGCAAGTGCTCTTTTTAAGTGCATTGATGAGGTTTGGGAAGGTCAATAACTTGGACAAAGTACACACCCTGGTCAGCAAAGGAACCCCAGACCATGCTTCTATCCATAGGGCTGAGCTGGGGCACAGCTTTGTGGAAACTGAGTTATGTATGAGACCCCACAAAAGGCTTAGAATCACTTCCCTTTTCCCCTCTCACTTCCTTGGCTCCAGAATGAGAATAGAATGCACGTCCAGAAGCTCCTTTCAGTCTGCATCCTCTGACCCGTGTGCCCACATGCTGCAAGGGCTCTGGTGCCCTCTATGAAGTACAAGGAAACACTCATAAAATAGCTAAATGTGCAGTTTTGCCCCAACCAGAGGTGATTGCAATAGAACCTGGTACAGACCAGTAGAAGCAGGCATTGACAATTCAAAGAAGAAATAATAGACAAACATAACAGAGAAAGAAACATAATTGAGAAACAGAAAAATTATGGGAGACACATAACAGAGAAAGGGTGTGTGTGTGTGTGTGTGTTAGGGAACAGCCACTATGTTCTAACTTTGGGGAAACATCATTAAGATCTCTGAATTACTGGGTCACAGAGGAAGGGATTTCAAGACCACCTGCTGACATTTGACGATTTTGCTCAAGGAAGGTTCCTGGAAGGGTGGGGCCACTCCCATGAGACAGCACAGCTCAGCAGAGCTGAACGGCTCACCCCCCACCCCCCCCCCAGCTTACCCCCTACATTGCCGATGGCCTTCTGTGCCAGGGATAGGGGCCCTGGAGCCATCGGCTAAAGGAGGCCCAGCACAAAAGGTGCCCAAGTTTATTGAGGGTTCTGGGCTAGAAGTTTAAGGCAGTAATACTGGAGAGAACCTTCTTCGTGGTGACTCTAGCTTTGGGGACGCTAAGCATGGTAGCATTTGGCACAGACCCATGAGTTTAGACACTTGGAGATTTGAGCGTTTGGGTGAGGGTGACGATGATGGTGGTGGTGGTCCTTGTGGTCCTGATGAACTCGGCTAACATTTTAGAGGGTTTGCAGCAATGGAGAAAACACAGCCCCAGACTCATGGAACTTGCGTTCTGGCAGTGGGAGGTGTACAAACAGCATCCCTCACAGTAATCCTTCTACACAGATGTTATGCTTATTCTACACTCAAGGAACCGAAGCTCAGAGATGCGCACATCTTGCCCAACCCACACAGCAGGTGGTGGTGAGCCTGGATTTGAACTGCCTTGTCCGTGGGGTGGTAGAGATTTGAGCTGAGAAGACACAAGTGCCTCACCAAAACTCGTGGGAGTATTTTGTTCTCAGGGGTGACTGAGCAAGCCATTTCCTCTTGACCCAGCTTAGCTCAACCCTTCAAAGGACCAGAGAATGGTATGTGTGTCTCTTTCTCTTTAAGCAAACTTTCCTTAGGGGAAAAGAAAAAGCCATGCCACAAGGCAGAAGAAAGTCGCAGGAATGAGGCTGTGCGGCCAGGCCTCGCGGCCACCCACCGGCTTGTGAGTGGGAAGCAGTGGGATTTCCTCCCGGGCAAACCGACCCACCCCCCACCCCCCCGAAGCGGGCCAGAGAGGTGTCCTCCGTGGGTCAGGAAGGGTCGACGCCCCCTCCTTCCCTCAGCCGCCTCCCTGCAGCATCCGGCGCCCCCATCCCCCTGCCCGCCAGATTCTGCGGAGTCTGCGAAACAAAACCGCCATTGTTTCCAGCCGGGCTGCTCAGGAAAAACAACAGGTTTTTCCACTTTGGGGCCTTTGTAGATGTGGATGCTCCGCATGCTTCTCCTCCGCTGCAGAAGGCTGTGGTCTTCTGTTCATTTCGTCAGGAAATACTCTGGGAACTCTCCAGGGCCACGGCAGCTGGGGGCCCTTCCAGCCTCCAAACTTAGGGGTTCCCTGGGACCCCAGAATCCCTATGAGCCCCAGGATCTCCCAACCTGACAGCCACCCCCAGGCACCGCGCTCTTTCTCCTCCCAAGATGCCTCTCCTCTGCGTCTCACCCCCACCTGCACTCACACGAATGTCCCAGGGTCTCCACACACCGTGGCCCCCAAGCGGCCTCCCCAAAGTCCAGGCGCTGATCCCTCCTTCCAGGGAGAGACCCCTGACCCTGGGGTGGGGGGCTCCAGGCTCCGCCGAAGACCCTCCTGGACATCTGAGCAGCAGAGCTGATGTCTTACTCCTAGAACACAAGCCCCATCAGGACATTTACAGATTTACATATTTTTTCTGTAAATCTAAAACTGTTTTAGAATAAAAAGTCACTTTTTTTGTTTTTTTTGTTTTTTTTTTTGTTTTTTTGTTTCGAGACGGAGTCTCACTCTGTCACCCAGGCTGGAGTGCAGTGGTAAGATCTTGGCTCACTGAAACCTCCGCCTCCCGGGTTCACGTGATTTTCCTGCCTCAGCCTCCTGAGTGGCTGGGATTACAGGCGCACACCACCATGCCCTGCTAGTTTTTTTTTTTTGTATTTTAGTAGAGACAGGGTTTTACCATATTGGTCAGGCTGGTCTCACACTCCTGACCTCAAATGATCCTCCCACCTCGGCCTCCCAAAGTGCTGGGATGACAGGCGTGAGCCACCGTGCCCGGCCAAAAAGTCGCTTTAAAAAGCATTTGGCTGAATGAGGGAACGAGTGTTTCCACAATATGACACGATGTCAGGCTCAGCCTAAGGCCTTGGACTGAGCAGGTTTTGATGAGCTCTGGGCCCCTGGCCACGGTTGCATCTCCGGCCGTCAGGCCTAAGCCTCGCTCTGGGGACTGTCTAGAGTGGTAGGTGCCGGTCTGGGTGCACACACGTGTCCCTTGTGTTTGCTGCTGGGAGGACGCCGCTCTCACAAATTTTGAGAAATTGGCTGGGTTTAGGAGAGTGGAGAGGCCTTACTCTTTTACAAAACTGCTTGATTTTTGACGTTCTTCTCAGTCATGCTCAGCGGCTCCCTGTTGACTAGGATATAGAGCTAAATGCCGTCATTTCTTTTCTCCATGATCAAATCTCAAACCCATCTGTACTGGCCCCAGAGATATCAGATCCTAATCCCTGGGACCTGTGAATGCTACTTTACACGGAAAAAAAGGGTCTCTGCAGATGTGATTGAACTGAGGATCTTGAGATGGAAAGATTGTTCTGAACCATGGTGGGGCGGCGTCTGATGTCATCAGGAGGTCCCGATAAGAGGGAACAGAAAGAAGTTTAAGACACGGAGAAAAGGAGGAGGCTGCGTGGCCACGGACGCAGACACTGGTGTGATGCAGCCATGACCAAAATGCCTGCAGCCCCAGGAAGACAGAAACACGGCGGGGAGGATCAAGTGAAAATGGGGAGCCCGGGCCAGCGTCTGGGGGTCTTGGAGCCTGACGGGGGCTTCCTGGTTGACAGCTGGGATGGGGTCCAGAGAGGCTCGAGCATGCTGCGACTACCCCAGGAGGCAATCAGCGATCTCACGCATGGTGCGCGGGACACAGGTGGGCCCTTCTGGGGCCTCAGCTGCTGATGCGGGTGGGAGAGGAAGGAGCCCGCCTTTGAGGGAGGCAAAGTGTGCAGAGAGAAACACTTCGAGGTTCCTTTTCCTTGTGAGAAAAGCCCTGGGTGCCACCGCCCCTCACACGGCACCACCTGCCCCTCCCTGTGGCAGAGGCTGTCCCCATTCCATTTTGGGCTGGGGGAGGCTTGTGGTCCAAGGCTAAGGGGTAAGTACATGTGCCCCAGCCCTGGAATGCACAGTAGGTCATGCCCCCCGCTGAGGAATTGCCAGAGGCAGGGGACTTGTCTGATGTCACAGCTGGCCTCACCCAGTTCTGCTGACGGATGGGCAGCCACAGGACCCCAAGTCCTGAAGCTTTGGGAAGTATGAGCCTGTCCTCTAGAAGGGCAGGTCCTGGCCTTTGTAAAGAGCTCATTTTGGTGGATTGAGAACCTGTAGAAGTGAAATTAATGAGCTGAAAGTGACACCTGCCTTTGACACAGAAAGTCCACCAGCCGCTCCTCCCCCAGCCCTACCACAGGGCAAGTTCTTGGCCCTGTGCAGGTCTGTCTCGGGTGGGGGCTGCCTCGGTTAACTCCCCTTCCCGTGGCTGTGGGGAGAGGCAGGGAGCAGCTGTAGAAACCAAGAATTCCGTCTGGATCTTCAGGGTGAAGGCTGTTTGCTGGCTGTTCCCTGCTGGTGGCACAGAGGGCTTCTGTGGATGAGGACTCGGAGGCCCCCTCTCTGAGCCCAAGGAAGGCCTCACACCCCAGTGAACCACAGAACAGGGGCCACGGCACTGCACTGGCTGAAGCTCCGGCCTCCTCTCCCTCCCACCATCTGTGCGGGATGGCTGGCTCATCCCAAATCAACTTCCTGGAGCTTTCCGAGGCCGATCTGTGAGTGACAACCAGGTGAGCTGCAGGCTGCACCGACATTTCCACCTCACTCAGCCTTCTGGATTGTAGAGACTATGTCTGCACTCAGCATTAGCGAAGGAATTGGATTCTTGGGATTGGGGGAATCGGAGGGAAGAGGCCTTTTCCATCCCGGTGGTAGCAGAAGTGGAAATCTGTGCTGGAAATAAAACACCCTGAAATAACAGAAGAACTGGACATACTCCAGAGGGTTTTGAAGAAACCATCCCAGAGCAAGAAGGCAGGCTGGCTGCTCAAAGAGCCAAGGGGTGGGGCATTTGAACTGCAGTTCAGTGACTGGAGAGGGGCCATTTGGGGCAGTGGCTTCCAAACCAAGTGGCTGGGCTTTGGTGGATGGGGAGCAGTCCATCATAAGCTACAGTTTGCAGGTCACGGATGGCTGCAAATTTCCTCCACGGCCGGAGGAAGATGGGCCCTTCCATGGGGCTGTCTAGGGCTCCGGGGCAGCTCTGGAAAAGACAGCCATGAACTTGGCCACGGGCAGGAGCCTGCAGAGTCCCAGCAGAGACCCCACCACCTGGGGGGCAGAGGCTCCCTATTGGGGTCCCCTCCTGGGGTCCTGGATCCCCACAGACCAAGCACAGGCCGACAATTTCCCTGCCCTCACGCATCTTGGAAGGCTTGGTGCTGGGCAGGGCCAGGGATGCTTCAGTGAGTTCTAAACATTCTCAGTGGATCAAAGATTCTCATAAACAGAGGCCTAAGTGCTTACATGGAAATTCCCAGTGGTTTATCTTGGGAATTAGTTAAGTGCAATAAAACAGGCTTCTGGCAGATCTGCGTCCTGTGGTGGCGTGACCCCCACACAGCCTCCTACGGACGAGCTCTGACCCACTTGAGTGGGGCTGGGCTCCCTCTCAGTGGAGGAGCACGTTTCATTAGGGACAGCTGGGGATCGTTCGCAGAAATGCAGGCGTGGCCCCCGGGAGAAGCAGACCTGTGAAAATCCGGACTTTGAACATGGAAGTAAAAAACAAGCTCTGTATGAGAACTAGGAGTCTCCAGGGATTCGTGTCTGAGTTCCTCTCTGCGAAGGAGCTTGCTGGCACTGGTCTGTCCGACCCCGGGGTTTACAGAGACTCAGGTTCCCAGACGATACTGCGTCTCCATGGCGTCCAGCGAAATGCCTCCCCCACCCCACCCAGTGGTTGGGCCTGTGGGGTAGAAAACGAACTGGGGGATTGGGATTCACTGGTGTACTCAACAGATGCATACGAGGCCCCTGTTGCAGGCTGGGCTCTGCCAGGCCGCTGTAGTACGCCGAGGTGAGTCCTCTGTGAATCGGGAATGCCCGCTCCCAGTGTCTGCCCAGAAAGCTGCACTTGTCCTGGGCCGCTCGCGGGAAGAGGTCACCCAGCAGGGAGATGTTCTGTGCCAACGTGTGCGGGGCCCCAAGGAGACAGAGGGAGGGGCAGGCGTGTGGGCCATGGTGGGGTTGGTTGGCTGAGGGCATGGGGTGCCCATGTGGGCAAGTCCCTGGGACCTCCTGAGGAGGGTGGATTGGGACTTTGCCGAGAGGCTCAGAAGGGGTCAAGGGTGCAGTGGGCAGCTCAAGCCTCCCTTTTCCGAGGGGTTCAGAGTCGCCAGAGGACCCGTAGCCCCTTGCAGCAGCAGCAGTGGCAGATGGACAGACTTTGTGGGAAGGGCCCTGCAGACACCGCCTCTCCCATCCCAGAGGTGCCTGTGAGGCAGAGGAGGAGAGGAGGCCTGCTGAGAACAAACCCTGGGTCCCCCACCTCCGAGACTGATGCACCGGGCAGAGGCCACCTTCCTGCCTCCTTGCTGGGGCATCTTCCCCTTCCTGCTGACCTGTGTGGCCATGAGACCCCGGGCTGGGCTGACCAGAGCCCTGGAACAAGCTCACAGAAAGCGCTTCTCCACTTCCCAGGGAGCCTCCTGCCCACACCAGCCTCCCTGTGGCAGGCCCAGTGTCCACGCCACATGCACTCATGGAGCTCGGCCCCTGGGAGACTTACTCCCCACCCCCCAGGACCTGCTCCTGGCACCAAGCTGGCCACAGGGGCCACGTCCTCTGCATGTAGCAGGCCTCAGGGACGGCCCTGCCCACAAGGTCACTCTGCTCCTGGGTCCTCAGGCCCCTTTGCTTCCAGGAGGAGCTTGTCCTTCCTCCTCCCACACCAAAACCCACAGAGAGGAGCGGACGCCCCGTGGCTCCTGCCCTGCCCTAGGCTGGCCACCCCTCATGCAGCTCAACTCCCACGTATTCCTGGGGCCGGGGCAGGCCAGCCCTGATGCCCACCTTCCTCTCTCCCATGGCCCCCTTTGAGGTGAGCCAGCCCTGTCTCCAAGCCTGGGGTGCTGTAGAGATGCCTCCTCCTGTCTGCTGGCTCCAGGACTGTCCCCTGCTCTGCCCCCGCCCCAGCCTCCCCACCTATGCATGTTCACAGCCCCATGGCACCTCCCAATACCTGCTGAGCTCAGCCCTGGCCCCTCATCCCAGCCCCATCTTCCTCCCACATCGTCCTCCCCAGCACCACCGCCTGACCCCTGCATGGCCAGAGGAAACACACCTTTGTCCGGCCTCCCAGCCCAGCCACAACTCAAGCTCAGCACAGGTCGCCGCTCCCCCGAGCCCCTCCCAGTCTGGTCCTGCTCGTCCCATACCTGCTGGGCTTTGGCGCAACCCTAGGCTGCCTGGCCACACGGCCCCCCGCCTTGCACCCTCACACCAGGCACAGGCAGTACTTCTCAGATGCTCACTGGGCTGCTTTCCAGTGGGTCTGGGGGCTCCTGAGGGTGACTGTGGCCTCTCCCCCACGTCCTTCCTGTCCTCATCCAGGGAGCGGGCACACAGGACTGACTGCGGTTCTGTGCTCAGCAAGGGAGACGCCCATTTTCTTCGAGGATTTCCTCTGGCGCTGACCTACTAGATGCGTGAGGTCAAGGGACGGGGGCAGGGCAGAGGAGTTCAGGTTTCAGCAGCTGCCACTCCACCCTCGTCCTGTCAGGGACACCTCGGGCCAAGGCGCTGTCTGGATTTTAGCCAGCAATGGGGAGTCCCGCTCTGCCCTGGCCACCGCCCACTGTCTCGTGTGAGTGAGTCACCGGCTGCTTCAGCTCCCTCCTCCTCCAGGGGTGACTTCACCCAGTCGGCTCTCACTGACCAAGAAAGGGATCCAAGAAATCAGGGGTGTGGAGGCAGGAGGCCAGGGGCCTTCCTGGGACCCCTCAGGAGGTTCCCCTAGCACCACTCGCAGGCAGAACAGCCCAGCCTCACCCCGAGGGCTGCGGGAGGTGCTGCTAGAAAATCACTTGGGGCTTCCTTTTGGCCTCCCAGTGAGTCATGAGGGCTGCGGCACAGAGGGGCAGGGGGACATCCAGGAGGGCTGGGTGCTCCTGCTGCTGTCCTGGGAGGGGGCACGTCAGTGTCCAGCGGGGCCGGGTGCATCCAGTAAAGGAGTGCGTGCAGCGTGTGGCATCTGAGCAAAGCTGGAGTCACACCGTGTGGCTGGGGACCGCAAACTCCTCACTCAGCTCCCCCCAGCCTCAATGTTCCCGTCTGTGAAGTGGGGCACAGGAAACCCGCCCATCCTGGGTCACAGGGTGCTGGAGGAGCAGACGGGAGTGGGTTGTGCCCTGCGAAACTCTGCACCTCGGGAGGTGGCACGTCTCTCCCGCAGCCTCACTGGGGTGTGTGTGGCCCAACCTGGGGATCCCCGCCGGCTTCTCCACTCCCTTGGCTGCTTCCAGGCTCAGCAGAGGTGGTTTCTGTCCTTCGGTTTGGATGAAGGTGGTTGGCTCAGCGGAGACCATCTTTCTCTGGTAAATGGGAACAGAGGCCCAGAGGGGATGGGATTGGCCCAAAGTCGCACATGACGGGCCCTGACTGCCCGGCCAGCTCCCCACCCCCAACAAGCTTGAGCTGCCACCCCTAAGTGCCAGGCTTCCTGGAGGGCCCCTGCCCAGGCAGCAGGCCTGAGCTCCATGGGGATGGTGGCCTGTGCCCTCCGACAGACACGGGGTTGGCCACTACTGAGGGTCAGCAGCGTGTGAGGCTGGCTGGTCACTGTGAGGCTCAGGAGGGCAGGGGGCCCAGGCCTCCATGGAATACAGGGCCACTGGGAGGCCGGGTTCACGCTGCAGGGACAGCAGTACTGGAGCTATGGGGGGACTTGGGGCCACTGGGAGGCCAGGTCCACGCTGACCACAGGGATGGCACTGCTGGAGCTACAGGGAGGTTGCTGGGGCCGCTCTGGCTGAGCTCCCAGGTGCCAGGCCCCAGGCTCCAGGAGACAGCACGGCCTGTTGTGCACACGAAGGAACCAGGAGCAGGGAAGGTCACTCGTGTCCTCGGGGTCTCACGGTTGCTGGGGTATGTTCAAGTCAAAATAAAAATGTAGAGGCGAATTTCCAAGTTTAACGTTTTATTTGGGAAGAAAGGATTGCATCTTGGGGCATATGTGCCGACCAGGTAAATGGTGGAGGTTGGAGAAGCAGTAGAAGGTTGGTGGTTTTACAAGAAAGGAGAAGGTTACCTATTGCTCTTTGAGAAAGTTCACTGGCGCTGGGAAAGTTCTGAGGACCTGGGACGTGCTGGTCAGTGTGACAGCTGTGAGCAGAATTCCTTCTGGAGTTGGAGCAAGTGACCTCAGCAGCTGTGGATAAAACTGGTCCCAGGTGACAAAAGGCAGTTTCAGCAGCTGGACTTGCAGAGAATTCCATTCTTGGAGCAGTGTTGTGCCCTGAGTACTTTTCCCCTGCCTTCCGAAGGCAGTTTTAGTTGGTGTGACAAGAATGACACACTTTGTATGATCAGTGTTTATAGGTGTGAGCTTGGTGGTGGGGGCATCCTCTGCAAACTCATCCCAGCCATAACCAGGGGGTCCTGGAGCAGCAGCCCCCGCCAAGGCCTCGGGAACTGGATTCCAGGCGCTCCGGGTGCCCGGCAAGAGGACCTGGGTGTCCGTGGGTCAGGACTCTGGAGCTCACTCTATCTGCCTTCTCCCTGCGGCTCACACTGGCCGGTGGCACCCTCCATTGGCGCCCTCACTCTCTGCATGTGGTCTGTCCGTGTCACTCATCTGCCCCTGTCACTTTGGCTTATTTATACCTTGCTGCCGAGGGCTTGCTCCTGACCGTGGCTGCCATGGAGCCCCACCTCCACCCGTCACCACATCGATTCTTTCCCTGTGGCCCCGTTTAAGTGCCCCAGGGAGGAATCTGGCCCAGTGCCTTCTTGCCCAGCCTCATTTCAGTGCCAGTCGCGAAAGCCCAGGGATTGTCTGCCCGGGAGCCCGGCGCACACCCCTGGACACAGAAGTGCTGTCCGTTCAGACGTGGTAAGGAGGGGTCCGGGGGCCAGCTCTGCTCATCTCCTCATGCCCAGGGCTGGCCCACCATGGGCACAGAGCAGCGCATGGTCAGTGAGGCTGGAAATAAAGAGCCTACTTTTCCCGGCTGAGCTGAGTCCCTTTTGGTTCCAAATGGATTCTGTGTTCCTCCCTCTGGGGCAGGCTGGCCTGGCAGGAGGTCACCACACAGGGCCCCCAGGTGTGGAGTGGGTCCCTGGGGGATAAGGGCTGAGTGGAAATGGAGGGGAGGGTGCACCTGTTGGGGGATTGACTTACCCAAGTCCAGGAGGAGGCTGTGCTGGAGGCACGGGGTCAGCAGGGACACCGTGGCTGTTTGCAGGTCGGGCTGTTTGGGATAATGCAGCGATGAGTGTCCGGTATGTTTCACTTCACTCACATAGATTCCTTGGGGTGGCACTGCCAGGTCCTGAGTAAGCCGACCTTTCACCTTTTAACAGCACCAGCTGGCTTTCCAAAGCGGCTGAGCCATTTCCCATGCCCCCCGGCAGCAAGGGAACCGATTTCTCCACATTCTTACCGGCTCCTGCCATCCTCTGGGTTTTGATCAGGGTTATTCCAGCAGGTGTGCAGTGGGCTTCGATGCGCTTTTCCCCTCTTCATGGAGGTTGAGCTCCTTTGGATGTGTTTATTTGCCATTGACATGTCGTCTTTGGTGAAATGTCTATTCAAGTCTTTTCCCTATATTTTAAACATAAACTTTTTACTTTGGAAGAATTTTCTATTTCTAGGACAGTTGTGGCATGAGCCCTGCGTTCCCATGCCCCGTTGTCAGTCTCCCCCTCGCTGGTGTCTTAAGTCTCCATGGTGCATTTGGCTACCCTGAGAAGATGACGTTGGTCTGTACGTCAACAACATTGACTGACTACAAACAAATGTCAGACTTGGTTCTGATTTCAGTCATTTTTTCACCAACATCTCTGTTCTGTCCCAGGACCCCGTGTGACACTCCATCCCCAGGGCCTCCTCTCAACTGAGACCATTTCTCAGAATTTCCCTATTTTTGAGGACCTTGACAGTTTTGAAGAGGACCGGCTGAGTATTTTGTGGACTGTCCCTCAATTTGAGTTCTCCTGGCGTTTTTCTCCTGGGTAGAGCGAGATCCTGGGTTTTCAGGAAGAACATGCAGGGGTCAAGTGCTTGGTGCCTCACATCCCCGCAGGGGTTGGCACCGCCAGCAGGACGTGTGGCTGTCGACACTGACCTGGGCCGCTGGGCTGAGGTCACGCTTGTCACACTGCTCTACTCTGTTCTTTGGAAGCAAGTCACTAAGCCCGGGCCACCATAACATTTTTATTGAGGTAAGCCTGGGAGGGTGCCCCAGACACTCGCTTGAAGTACATCAAATGTTTTCTGTGTGGAAAATGCCCAGCCCGGCCCCCATGAGCTGTGGGATACCAGGCAGGTCACCTCCCCTCTGTGAGCCTCCCCTGAAGAGGGAGGGGATCCTTGGACATATAGAGCCCTGGGCCTGGGCAGTGACATCACATTTAGGCCCTTGGAAGGGCATGGAAGGTCACGGGCTGCCGGGAGGAGAGATGGTATTTCAGTTGACCTAGGAGGGCCTGGGCCATGCAGGGGCTGGGTGAGGGCTGGGTGTGCTGGGTCCCTCTGCTCAGCCCTCCCCTTTCTCACAGCCCAGTCTTTCCATGAGGAGCAGGTGAAGGCGGGGCAGGCAGGGCAGGCAGGAGCTGGGCTCCACACCAGTGGAACTGGGTTTGAGTCTTTCCACTTTCCACGGCCGGCTGGGGCAAGCTGCATAATTTCTCTGCGCCTTAGCTTCTTTCCCTGCAAAATAGGGATAAAAACTGCACCCAGGCGGCCTGGCCTGTGACAGGTGGGTGCACCCGGGCAGCCGGGCCTATGACAGGTGGGTGCACCCGGACGGCCGGGCCTACAGCAGGTGGGTGCACCCTGGTGGCCGGGCCTACAGCAGGTGGGTGCACCCTGGCGGCCGGGCCTGTGGCAGGTGGGTAGAACTGGTGTTTCCCACAGGAGATGAATATCACCCTGCAGCACATTCTTTTTCTTTTTCTTTTCTTTTTCCCAATCCTCATCTTTATTTTTATCTTTTGTCAACATCTTACTATGTGACTTTCCAAACACACGGACCTCTTAAGACCCCTGCACACACTGTGGGCCCCGCCTCCACCTGGGCTGCCCTGCTTCCTCCCACCATGTCTGTGTGGCATCCTCCCGCCCATCCTTACCGGGACGCTTGTTTAAATCACGTCTTTTGCACCTGCTGGTTGGTATTCTGCTCTCGGGAACTGCTGACCAATCCCCCCAGCACACAGTTGCTGGTTTTTCTGTCACCAGGATGGCCTTGTGAGTTGCTACTCTATTCCATGAGTTACAACCTCAGTGGCTTCTGATGGCTCCTGAGGTGGTCAGGAGTGTCCCCACCTTTTCTGAGTGTGTCTGACTTCCCGGCATAGATGCTCCAGGTGCACCCAGTCATTCTCCTGCCCACGCCCTGGACTCAGCCACTTCTCCATGGAGCCCCGGCTCCTTTAGAGCAGAGTGTTTTCTAGAAACCACCATCCAGGATCTAGGTTCGCGTCCTGCATTTCTAGGTGGTTGTGACATCAGCACTGCCTCCTGTAGACAGGGCAAGCCATCATCAGCTGGAGACTGGCATTCGTTAGTAGCTTTTTTTCTTCTTGGAGGTAAATTGCGCCTGCAGTGAAATGCCAAATCTTCATGGACCGGAATTCTGGCATGCATCCTCCTGGATGACCCCAAGCCCATGTGGGTAGAGAGAGGGTCTGGCCAGGGCCCTGCTCCCCACCCTGGGCCCAGGGGACTCCAGTTCCCTGACCTTCAGCCTCCCAGCCCTGCCACCCATCCTTCCCAAGGACGTTGAGGGTGAAGGGGAGGAGATCTGGTTGGCTGCTCACAAACCAGCTGGGCCTTTCAGCACCGTGAGCTGATGGCTGTGTGTGTCCATGTGGCCGGCCAGCTCGCCACGGTCCTGGACGCTCGCACCTGCTGCCTGGAGGGTATGGAAAATGGGGACAGTCAGAAGCTCAGGACAAGGCCGGACTCCACGTGGCTGCTCAGGGCCTGCTTATCATGCAGACTCCCTGGGCATTTGTGTGCATGCTTCTGTGCCTGAGCTTCCTGGACAGTGACGTTCCATCCGTCTGCAGCATACAAAACCAAAGGCTTTTACCATACTCGATGCTTCGCAGACTGTGCCCAGATTCCAAGTATCCAAAGCAATCATGCTCACTCCACGGGAAGATTCTCCAGGCTGCTTTCCTCTGCCTCTTGTTTTTCTCTTGGCTTTTGCCTTCTTCTCATTCCTCCTCTCCAGGAAGGAAAAGTCCGTCGCTGAACACTTCTGTGTGGTGTTCAAGGCTTTCTGTGGAGGGCTAACCGCCGAGAACTTCTGGGCTTTGAGATCAGTGCCGTTGGCTTGAGCCTCCACCCATTTATTCTATCATTTATTCATTCATTCATTCTTGTTTCCAGTTCAGGAACAGACAGTTCAGGTGTGGGTCCCCCGTCTCGGGGCTGGCATCCAGGCTGAGGATTCATGGCCGGTCCACATCCCAGCTCTGGAATCAGACAGGCCTGGGTTGGGATTCAGCTCAGTTGTTCACTGTGTGACTTGGAGTGAGTCACATTCCCTCTCTGAGCCTCAGGGGTCCTCCTCTATAAGAGGGGGATGGTAACAGAACCTGCCTTATAGGGTTGTTGAAAGGATTCAGTGAGATTCTGCACAGAATGTTCGAGCCCAGGCCTGGCTTCCGGGAGAGCATGGTGACGTTAGTCACCGTCATCATCTTTGTTGGTAATAACAGACCCTGCGGAAAAGCTATTGTGCAGAATTTGGACAAAGTACGTGGGAATGTGGCAACATGTGCAGCTGCTCTTCCCCAGGGAGGGGGTTAGGGCCGGGGCCGGGGCCAGAGGCAGCTTCGCAGACTATGAGGGTGATTTGTGAGAAGGTGGCCTAGGCTAGAACAGCCCAGACAGAGGCATGAAGTGTGGGGAGCCGTGTGAGTTCACAGTGGGCGGACTGGCTTCCAGGGCTGGGCTGCAAAGGTCTCAAAGGCCTCAGTAGGACGGCATGTGTGGCACGTGGAAAGGAAGCCGCCTGATGACGCTGCTTGCTCCCAACAGGGTCTGAGACTAGAGCATCCAGGGGGCCAGGCCCCAACAGCAGGAATCCCCACGGAGCTCAGAGCAGAGCTGCATGCAGGAATCAACAAAGGGTCAGAGCGAAGGTGAGGCAGGGGAGCTGAGTCACCACAGCAGGCAGGTCCAATGGAGACTAAGTAGGAACTGACCATCAAGAACTCAACAGACTTGGGAACAGACAGGGCTGGGGCACAGTGTCAGATTCTAGACATGGCAGGGCTCTCAGGGTGGGTGGATGGATGGTGGGTGGGTGGGTAGATGGATGAATTGTGGATAAATGGGTGGGTGGATGGATATATGAATGAGTGAGTGGATGGACAGATGGATGGATGGGCGTATGGCTAGATGAGTGGGTGGATGGATGAATTGTGGATAAATGGGTAGGTGCATGGATAGATGAGTGGTTGGGTAGTTGAATGGGTGGACAGACCAGATGGATGGATTTATGAGTGGGTGAATGAATGAATTGGGGATAAATAGGTGGGTAGATGGATAGGTAAATGGGTGGATGGATGAATAGATGAGTGGGTAGATGGATGAATTTTGGGTAAATGGGTAGGTGGATGGATAGACGAGTGGGTGGGTAGATGGATGGGTGGGTGGATGAATTGCGGGTTGTTAGATGGATGGATAAATGGATGTGTGGATGAGTAGATGGATGGATGAGAAGTAATGAATGGATATGTGGATAGACGAATGGGTGGGTGGATGGATGGGTGGGTGGGTGGGAGGATGGATGCATGCTGGGTGGTTAGATGGGTGGATGAATGAGTGGGTTGATGTAGATGGATGGATGGGTGGGTAGGTGGATGGATGGTGACTGGATGGATGAATGGTGGATAAATGGTGTGGATGGTTGTATGCTGGGTGGTGAGATAGATGAATGAACAGGGGGGTGTATGGATAGATGAGTGGATAGATGAATGAACAGGTGGGTGTATGGATGGACGAGTGGATAGATGAATGAACAGGTGGGTGTATGGGTAGACGAGTGGACAGATGAATGAACGGGTGGGTGTATGGATAGACGAGTGGACGGATGGATGAACGGGTGGGTGTGTGGATAGACGAGTGGACGGATGGATGAACGGGTGGGTGTGTGGATAGACGAGTGGACGGATGGATGAACGGGTGGGTGTGTGGATAGACGAGTGGACGGGTGGATGAATGGGTGGGTGTGTGGATAGACGAGTGGACGGATGGATGAACGGGTGGGTGTGTGGATAGACGAGTGGACGGATGGATGAACGGGTGTGTGTGTGGATAGACGAGTGGACGGATGGATGAACGGGTGGGTGTGTGGATAGACGAGTGGACGGATGGATGAACGGGTGGGTGTGTGGATAGACGAGTGGACGGGTGGATGAACGGGTGGGTGTGTGGATAGACGAGTGGACGGATGGATGAACGGGTGGGTGTGTGGATAGACGAGTGGACGGATGGATGAACGGGTGGGTGTGTGGATAGATGAGTGGACGGATGGATGAACGGGTGGGTGTGTGGATAGACGAGTGGACGGATGGATGAATGGGTAGGTGTGTGGATAGACGAGTGGACGGATGGATGAATGGGTGGGTGTATGGACAGACGAGTGGATAGATGGATGAACAGTGGATAAATGGGTGGATGGATAGATAGACTGGTGGGTAGGTGGACAGGCAGGCACATGGCTGGATGAGTGAGTGGGTGGATGGATAGCTGGATAGATGGATGGATGGGTGAGTGAATGGATACATGAATGAAGTTGCCAGTTGAAGCCACTTGCTGCAATCCTGTGTGGTGTTATGCTAGGAAAAGAATGACCTTCAGAGGAAAACAGTCATGGTTCTGTCCCTCACAACCACATTACTCTGCAGTAGTTCCTCAATAATATCCATCCAACAAAGGATTTTTATATAGAACTTATTTTACAAAGTCGTGCACATGAAAAGACGCACAATATCACTAATCATTGGGAAATGCAAATCAAAACCACACTGACATACCACCTCACGCCCATTAAGATAATTACCATAAAACACAAAGCTAAACCAGAAAATAACATGTGTTGGCAAGGACGTAGGGACGCTGGAACCCTCCTGCACGGTTGGTGGGAATGTAAATGGCACCGCATCTGTGGAAGACGGTATGGAAGTTCCTGAAAAAATTAAAACTATGTCTGCTTTATGATTCAGCCGTCCCACTTTTGTGTACATACCCAAATGAACTGAAAGCTGAGGTCCAAAGAAACATCCGCACACCCATGTTCACAGCAGCACTATTCACAACTGCTAAAAGGTGAAAGCAATTCAATATCTGTGGACAGGTGAATTGATACATACAATGTGGTGTATTCACACCATGGAATATTTTTTATTCAGCCTTAAGAAACTCTGACACATGCTACCACATGGACGGACCCTGAGGACCATCCTGCTCAATGAAATAAGCCAGACAAGAAAAGACAAAAACTGTCTAATGCCCGTGGTGTGAGGTCCCTAGAGCAGTGAGATTCACAGGGCTGGGAAGTTAGTCTTTAATGGAGACAGAGTTTCAGTTGGAAAGCTGAAGAGAGTTCTGTGGATGGTGGTGGTGATTGCACAATGCCGGAAACGTGTTTGATGCCACTGAACTGCTTACTCAGAAATGGCTAAAGTGGTAAATTTTATGTTACATGTATTTTACCACAATAAAAGATAAAAATATAAGTCTCATAAACATGGTGTTGCATGAAGTCACATGCTTCTGGTGTGACTGCACCAATAGAAGTTTCACAACAGATCAGTCCACCCTCTGCCTTCAGAAGACAGGCTGGTGTCCGGGCGGGGCCCCCGGGGAGGGCAGGCCGTGTCCTGATCCTGGATCAGGCTCTGGGTTCATGTGTGTGCTCTGTGTGAAAAGGCTGTGGGGGTGTGCTTGCTTGCTCATTTTTCTGTGTTTCTGTTATCCTTGGAAGAAGGTTTTAAAACTACAGAATTCAGTCCAATTCTGCTATTCAGTTATTAGAGTAAAGGACACTTCGTTCACCATAGCTTCATGGAGGACTCGCCGTATTGCCTTAGCCCTCACTCATGGCCATAGGATCCTGAGAACCTTCTCATGGACCTGACATGGTTCACAGATGGACACTGGCAAACATTGCTTATGGGGTAGAACTGGCCCCCAGGCAACAGCGGAGCTGTTTTACAAACAGCGTATACCCGCTTGGACACTCGCTCGCACACATGCCAACACTCTGATTTAAAAACTAAAAAGGAGCAAACTTGCCTTAAAGACAGAGTGAGTGTGTGGGAGGGGGTTTTCGGGAAGCCTGGGTGTCCCCACCCCCACGTCTGTGGGCTGGAAAGATAGGGCACAAATGCTCCCACGAGCTCTGCGACCTGGAAACGATTAATTAATTAGACAGTGGAGACGGGAGCCTGCCGCGCATTTGGCCTCTGCAGGCAGCTGCTTTTTTATGTCTTGCTGACAGTCCGAACGATCCTACATAAAATGGGGAGGGGCCGGCGAGCACCTGGGGAGGCTGAACAGTGGATCCCAGCAAGCACAGCCATCATGCAAAGACCCCAGCCTCCAGTGCTCTGCACTTTTACATGTAAAACATCACCAGAGACAAGAAAACATGTCTTTGGAGATTACCTGGGTTAGTTGGAGTCATGGGTGCTGAGTTAGCTGGAGTTAGCTGGGGTGACGGGTGCTGAGGAAGGCACCAAGAATCCAGTGCTCCTGAGATCCCCTCAGAGCCACAGCTCCTGCCGCCACCCACCTTCCGGGGCATTGATGGCGGGAGGGTGCCTGGAGTGGCTCGGGCCCTCACAGCATCCTTCCACCTCTGTCATCACCCCAAGAGGGAGGCGCGGCTTTCTCCTCATGACTAGAGTGGGTACACTGAGGCACTGAAAGACCAGGCTGGTGTCCAGGCTGCTGGCTCTGAATCCCATGCAGCTTCTAAACCGGTGTTTGTCACGAGCCTGATTTCCTCCTTCCCCCAAACCCCAAAGCCTCACAGGACCCTGGTTAGGGAAGGAAGTGTGGGGCTGGCAGCGTGGTCCTGACTCTTGTTGCGGCATGGTGGAGGGGATAAGACCCCCCCAGGAGGCGGGGCACAGGGGAACAGGGGAAGGTGTCTCCCCAGCCCCTGGCTCACACA
Source organism: Homo sapiens (assembly GCF_000001405.40). NCBI lineage: Eukaryota > Metazoa > Chordata > Mammalia > Primates > Hominidae > Homo > Homo sapiens. Next base: position 29,301,702 of record NC_000016.10, read on the forward strand.
GCCCAAGTGAGACACAGAGTCCTGTAAGATGGAGACCAAGGGGCTGGAAAACACGGGAACAGGCCCATAAAGTGCAGAGTCCATCCTGGGAGGCCGAGGCAGCGACCCCGGCAGGACCACAGTGCTGCAGTCCTTCCCCCAGCATGATGCCGCCTGGCACCCTCCAACCGGCTCCACATGGGCCAGCAAGTGGACACCCCTCTGGGGCACAGTGCAACGACCAAACAGAGTGATCCAGACTTAGATGCCATCCTGGGGGTGGGGGATGGGGTGAGAAAACGAGGCCCCTGCACAGGAGTCAAGGCCACAGAAAGCCAGATGGGCAGGTCCTGGGATGGCCAGGCCCCTGTGCGTGTAAGCGAGTGTGCAGAAAACCATCCAAGCACGCTCGCTGGATATGGAGTGGGGGTGCAGCAAGCAGTGGGGACTGGGAGGAAAGTCAGTGCATTTCAGACAAGTGCCATCAAGCGGGCCCCTCTCCTCCACGGGGCCTGGCAACTGCCCACCCTGGGGGGCTGCACCCTACTGGTTTCCCCAGCACCCCCACCGAGCACCTCAGCCTAAATGCCTGTGTGTGATTTGCAGAGTCCTCCGGAGGCTGAGAGCAAACGGCTGCACTAGGAACCCAGCAGTCAGACCGGCCCCCACCCTGGAGTGAACACATCGCCACTGCCAGGCATCGCAGGGGTAAGGAGCGGTTTTCTCTTCTCTTTAAAGCTTGATTTCACGTCATGTCCTGCCTTTTTCCTTATGTTTATTGTCACGGGCTGTATCGCATGAAGACAGTGCACGAGTTAGTACTGGAATCACAGCAGTGCATGGGTCAGTGCTGTGCCACACTGACACTTGGTCAGTACCATGCACAGTTAGTGCTGTGCCACGCTGACTCTCGGTCAGTACCATGTAGATATCAGTGCACGGTTAGTGCTGCGCCACGCTGACGCTCAGTCAGTACTATGTAGATATCATTAGTGCTGCGTCACACTGACTCTCGGTCAGTACCGTGTAGATATCATTAGTGCTGCATCACACTGACACTCGGTCAGTACCGTGTAGATATCAGTGCACGGTTAGTGCTGCGCCACGCTGACACTCGGTCAGTACCGTGTAGATATCAGTGCACGGTTAGTGCTGTGCCATGCTGACACTCGGTCAGTACCGTGTAGATATCAGTGCACGGTTAGTGCTGTGCCACAGTGACAGTCAGTATTGTGTAGATATCAGTGCACAGTTAGTGCTGCGCCATGCCGACACTTGGTCAGTACTGTGCTGATGTTGGTGCACAGATCAGTGCTGTGCCACACCAACACTTAGTCAGTACCTTGCACAGTTTAGTGCTGTACCACACCGATGCTTGGTCAGTACCGTGTTGATTTTCGTGCACGTGTTGATTTTCGTGCACGTGTTGGTGCTGTGCCACCCTGACGCTTGGTCAGTACTGTGCTGATGTTGGTGCACAGGTTAGTGCTGTGCCACACCAACGCTTCATCGGTACCATGTAGATATCAGTGCATGGGTTAGTGTTGTGCCACACTGACGCTTGGTCAGTACCATGCATGGGTTAGTGCTGTGCCACACCAATGCTTGGTCAGTACCATGTTGATTTTGTTGCACGTGTTGGTGCTGTGCCACCCTGATGCTTGGTCAGTCCCATGCCGATGTCAGCACACGGGTTGGTGCTGTGCCACCCTGATGCTTGGTCAGTACTGTGCTGATGTCGGTGCACAGGTTAGTGCTGTGCCACACCAACACTCAGTCAGTACCATGTAGATATCAGTGCATGGGTTAGTGTTGTGCCACGCTGACGCTTGGTCAGTACCATGCATGGGTTAGTGCTGTGCCACACCGATGCTTGGTCAGTACTGTGTCAATTTTGGCACACAGATTAGTGCTGGGCCATGCTGACGCTTGGTCAGTACTGTGCTGATGTTGGCTCACAGGTTAGTGCTGTGCCACACCAATGCTTTGTCAGTACCTTGTCAATTCTGGTGCATGGGTTAATGCTGCACCACACTGATGCTTGGTCAGTACTGTACTGATGTCGGTGCACAGGTTAGTGCTGTGCTATGCTGACACTTGGTCAGTACCATGCACGAGTTAGTGCTGTGCCACAATGATGCTTGGTCAGTACTGTGTCAATTTTGGTGCATGGATTAATGCTGTGCCACACTGATGCTTGGTCAGTACTGTGCTGATGTCGGTGCACAGGTTAGTGCTGTGTCTCATTGGAATAAGAAGGACAGTAGCTCCTGACTGTTGGAAGCAGGGAATAGTAGACTGTGTCTTCATTCTTGTTCTTGCCTTTTGTCCATAGTTTTGGTCTTGGTGTGCTCATGGCTTTGATTTGTACTTTAAAGTGTGTGGGGCCTCATCATTCAATGACTAAGCTGCCAGCTGGGTCAGAGAAACAAGTTGAGCGAAAATGGACCTAGCATGGGATCTGTTTGTCCATTAAGGGATTTAGTTAGATTCTTAATCAAGAGTTTAAATTTCTGCTGTGTATGCATTTGATAATTCTTACAAAATGTGACTGATCCTACACATAAAATGTTAGGTACTTCATTTCAGTGGGGGAAGGATTGTCGTTGAATTCTAACTGAATTATTGCCAGGAATTGGTCCCATGGACTTCCCAGTCAGTAGAATGACTTACGTGGTAGCTCTTGGTGATGCTGGTGAAGGCTGGTGAGGCACAGCTGGGAGAGTTGGGCAGCTGTGAGAGCTGTCAGCTGTGGCCATCCTGCAGCTGCTACTGGCACGCTGTGCTGACCTCGTTGTCCCAGACCTCGTTGTCCACAGAACGTCAGCCATGCACGTGGAAATAAGAACATGTAGCCACACTGCTGTGCGGATTTACGGACCTCACAATGTTAGCCGTGCACATGGAAATAAAAACATGTAGCCACCCTGTGCTGTGCAGATTCACAAACCTCGCAGTCCACAGAACACCAGCTATGCACGTGGAAAGGAGAATGTGTAGCCACGCTGTGCTGTGCAGAGTCACAGACCTCGCAGTCCATGGAATGCCATTCATGCACATGGAAAGAACATTTAGCTACAAACATGCCTCGAACATTTATTTACAGAATTCATCTTATGTAAGTGTTTTTAACATAAGCGCCGTATGTGTGAGGTAACAGGGAAACACTTTTTCATGGCAGTCCTGAGTTGATTGCTAATAAGAGTAGGACTGCAGAGAGAGGAGTGATCACAATAAAACCAAGGGAAGCGGGAGACAGCAGTTTGAGAACAGTCGCGGCTCTGAGTGCCACAGAGCAGCCAGAAGGGCAGTCTGGGGAAGTGAGTGGGGGTGATGGCGTCTCAGCAGCTTGGGTTGAGTTTCTGGATGCACAGCCTGTGCCCCAGGATGGAGGTGTCGGGAGCAGTCTTGACCCATGGCAATGTTGGTGCTGAGCAGTCAGGAGTTCACCCAGGCTCCTCCCCACCACCTCCCCCACCCTGAAAGACGCCCTTTCCATCCCTGCCCTGTGAGACCAGACACTTGGAGAGCAAACTTCTCAGGTGCTAGAGGCGCTCAGCTCTCCAGAGCTCGGCCGCCGATTGGTGTTGGACTTGGGTTCTCTGCGTGACCCGGAGGCGCAGGATCCTTTTAACTCGGTTAAATTATTTTTCACTTTAAGAAATGCTTAAGCATTACAGGCAAAATCTTTACAATAGAATTGTTGATGGAAAACAGCCCACTCAAAAAGACAAACAAAATAAAAGTAGGCCACACCAAAAAAGTATTTTGAAAGAAAATGGTAGTGTTCCATTTCTAAACTGAGGTCTCTGTAATGTGTAGCTTGTGGAATGTCAGTGTTACAGGTGTCTAAAATTCTCAAATACGATGTCACATAATCATAAAGTCCCTGATTTTAGAGCGAGGCCACCCTATCAGGAGCCCACCTGGTTTTCAAAGTTGTCCTCCAGAAGTGTGCACTTTTTGCTGTTCAGGGTACCCCCCTCTTCCTCTCCCCTCCCCTTTTAATCTTTCTGCTCCCCTTTTCCCATCCCAAATATTCATTAAGCATCCACTAGTACCTGATGGGAATGGAGGTTCTTTTGAAGCATCCGCATGTGACATCATAGACATCTAGCCAGCAGATGGCCAGAGTTGGCGTGTTTGGGACAAATGTTGCCTTACCTTTATAGGGTGTCCCTAGTCCCCAGGATCCTGGCATACCCCAACACATTATATTTTCTTGTGGGGCAAATAATTATGAGGAGCCCAACAGATAAAATGTCTCATGCATTCCACATAGAATTCTTATTCTCTACGTTGAATAGGAGAGATGAGTTATTGACAGTTATGTTTCATCACGTCCTGGTGCTGGAAGCATTTTGAGCCGTGATGTGTGTAACGACACAGCCCGGTGCTGCCTTTAGGTTTGAATTCTGTGTGGGTTTGCTCTGTGTTATCCATTGTTGGAACCATTTATTTCATTTTATGCAGAGTTGCTTTTGAAATTCATAAACAGCTTGAGTAAGCCTTTGCAAAAGCCGGATGAAAATTAATTTTTGGCATGGATGGCATATCTAACGTGAATCTGTTCTCTGAAGACTTACCTGGAGATGGTGAGGCTGACCTTGAACTGAACTGACATGGAGTTGGTTGTGTTGTGGAAATTAACACCACGCTATAAGGCTTTGAACAACCGTGCAGCCCAGTGACTCGCAAAGGATGGCCTTCTGATTTGTTCACTGTCCTGCTGGAGACGGAAATCCGGCATTCGTCGCCTCTGTGACTGCAGGGGACTAACGTGTGGAATCCCAGGGACAGGAACACTCTCAGCCATTGCCTGAAAAGTGACCCTGGAGCTGCGCTTCCCAGGATGTTCAAGGAGTGACCGTGGAGCTGCGCCTCCCAGGATGTTCATGGAAGTTAGGGCTTCGGTCTTGGACAACACAGATAACATTTATGGGAATTATTGTTTCATCTGTTCTTGGAAAGTCAGCATTCAAATGAAAGTAGGAGAGAGAGGGATCTTAAAAAGATTGTATTTCAATTATTGGTTAATTCCTTTCTATAGACTGCCTAAGAAAAAAGGATAAATTGATAACTATTCACTGTGGTGTGACAGTACAAATTCCAGGCTGGGAGTTTAAGTCATCGTTTTGTTCCCCTTTTTCCCCCCAGTAGGGAATTCTGAATGTACAAAAAGTTGAGTAATACAGCAAATTATATCAGGAAGCAGGTATGAGACAGTGCCTTCCATTTCAGTGTAGTAAAGGCATCATTTAAACTCGGAGTCTTTGAGGATTCTAGGAAGAGACACTAGAAATGTGTGAATCACTGGTTGTTAGTAGGCAGGGACTTCTCATGGCCTAGAGCGTTTGCCTCCATTCCCAGTCTGCCTCTCACTTGGCCTGCAACCTCGATCAGAGTCATTCATTTCTGCAGACATCTGAGCGCCTCTCCTGTGAGATGGATCATGGGCTGGCTCAGCTGCTGGGGTTACTGTGGGGACTGAGGAAATGAGGCCTCTGAAGAGACGGAGGTGTGGAATCAGGAGCCTGCCCAACAGGACGGGCCCTCCCTCAGTGCAGTGTGACGTGGGCCTGCCCCATGCCTAGTCCTTAGACTGCTGCCCGCACCCGTCAGAGCTCAGCAGGCCTTTGTGCTCTCCTGGTGCAGGAGGTGCCAGGAGTGGTGTCCTTCATGGTCTCTACACATGGGGCCCTCCTTGCACAGGTCAGAACCCCCTTGCCTCAGAACCTCCTTGCTAAGCAGGGCCCACCCCACAGCCTCTGATTGGTTGGGCCCGAGAATGAGCATTTTCAGGAAGTTCCCTGCCACTGCTGATGCTGCTGGTCTGAGAACATGCCTGAAAATCTCTAGTACTTAGAGGAGTGAGGTGGGAGTGATGTTGTCAACAGGAAATCCATGGACACAGGTGTGGATGGGAACCAGTAGACTGGGGTGGGTCAGCACTCATAATGTGGCTGTGCTGAGCAGGAAGCACAGGGTGTGGAGCTGTGAGCCACAAACACAGGCCAGCACAAACTGGGTCCTGCTGGACGCTCCAGGCGGGAGATTCCTGGGAGCACAGGCCAGGTGGCCTTTGGGTAACTCTGGTGGGGCAGAGTTTAGAGTCGGAGTCTCCTGCGGTGCTGAAAAAAGGCCAGGAAGAAGTGTTGAGGCCTGGACGAGGCCAGTGGTTGTGGAGGGAGGGTTCGTTGTGACCTGCGGTGCAGGAGGAGTCACCCAGAGCTGGGGCAGCTCCATGTGGGGTGGAGGGCGCGGCCAGCCTTGGTGCACTGGGTCTGGACATTTGCACACCGGCCTTCGGTGGGTCCTGAGCCTGCGAGAGGATGAGCTCAGTGGCTGCCCCGACATTGCCTTGAGGTGGAGCCTGGGGAGGACAGAGGTGGTGGGTGGCAGCCCCCCCAGGAGCTGGCTGTCACCCTAAGTCAGGGAGGTTCTTGGTGTGGGCATGGAGAGCCCACGTCATCCCTCCTGGAGGGTCTCAGTGACACTTTGACATGATTTTGACTCATGTTTGAAAAACAACTCTGAACTCTTATCCAGTGTTTACTTTAAAAATACTATCTCACCACAGAGAGCTCAGCTAAGTGTGTTTCAGCACTGTTATTTCCTGAGAGAGGCTGCAGGGATCTTTAGCAGCTTGGTGGCTACAGCTGAGAGCCCCTGCCCACCGTCCCCACACCATCTTCGCACTGGTCCTGCATCACCCACATCCCGGTGTGGGTGGGTGATGGTGGGGGAGGCCGGTGGCTCAGGATGCTGCTGCCCTTCCTGCTGCCTGCCTCGGGTCCTCTGCTTGTGATCTCCAGGTCCTAAGTCCAGCTTGGTGTCGCTGGAGACCACCCTCATGTACCCAGAGTTCCCATTAAATGAGCCTCAGTGCTGGGAACCCTGGGAAGTTTAAAGACAGTGGGCCTCATTGTGAGCCCTACTGACACCAGGCCCTTGGCTATTCCTGGATTACTGAGCAGCTCTGTAATCAGCTGCTCACCCCCTCTGCCCGTCCCTCTGCCCATGCCCCCTCAGCTCATGCCCTCTGCCTGTCCCCTCTGCCCATCCCTCTGCCCGTGTCCCCTCAGCTCATGCCCTCTGCCTGTCCCCTCTGCCTGTCCCTCTGCCTGTGCCCCCTCAGCTCGTGCCCTCTGCCCGTCCCCTCTGCCCATCCCTCTGCCTGTCCCTCTGCCCGTGCCCCCTCAGCTCATGCCCTCTGCCCGTCTCCTCTGCCTGTCCCCTCTGCCCATCCCTCTGCCCGTCCCTCTGCCTATGCTCCCTTAGCTCGTGCCCTCTGCCCATCCCCTCTGCCTGTGTCCTCTGCCCGTGCTCCCTCTGCCCATCCCTCTGCTTGTGCCCTCACCCTGTGCCCCTTCAGCTCATGCCCTCTGCCCGTCTCCTCTGTCCATCCCTCTGCCCATGCCCTCTGCCTATGCCCCCTCATCTTGTGCCCTCTGCCCATCTCTTCTGTCCATCCCTCTGCCCATGCCCTCTGCCTGTGCCTCCCTGCCTGTGCCCTCTGCCTGTGCCCCCTCAGCTCGTGCCCTCTGCCCGTCCCTCTGCCAGTCCCCTCTGCCTGTGCCAGTTCAGCTTGGACCACGCTGGGCGTGGGTGCCTGCTTTCTGCCCAGGTGACCGGGCCCTGCTCAGTTCTCCACCCTCCCCTGTCCCTCGTCTGCCTTACGTTCCCTGCTCTGGCCACGCTGGTTCCCTTACCTTCCTGGAGCATGTGGCCCCTCCTGGCCCAGGCTGGTCCTGCTTCCCACTCTGGAATGTTCTCTGGAGTTCTTCCCCTGGGTGGCTCCTTCCCGCTTCCCTGCTTGGGGTCACCCATTCTCGTCTGAGGTCAGCTCTACCCCTGCCTGTCTCCCTGTTCGCTTGCAGGCCACTGTCCCTGGCACTTGGGAGTCAGGAGGAGCGGGGCCAAGGTCTCGCGCTCCAGGAGCTACCAGGCAGCTGCCGCAGGGACTCAGGTACTCAGGTGCTCTTCTAGCGCCTCAGCGGCTTTCACTCCATTCGTGCTCCTTTACCTGGGGCTCTGTACCAGTGCTGCCAGGAGGCCTGGCTGGCCCGGGCTGGGAGCCCACATTGAGCAGCATCTGTGTGGGATCGAGGCTGATTCCCGCGGCCCCGGTTCACATTGGATGGCATCTGAGGGTGTCACCTTGGCCTGAGCCCAGCCCGGGTGTGGGAGTCTGGGAGACCTTGCAGTGGGACAGTTCCCATTTGCCAGCATGGGCCTCCGCAGCCTCTGCTTCCCAGCCACCAGGGGCCATAAGCAAATCTCTGCCCCTTGCCCAGGCCCCAAGGCAGAACATTTTAAAAAATCCTCCCTTCACAAGTACAGACACAGGGAAGGATTCAGCCCCTTAGGTTTAATCTGACCAGGAAATCTGTGGCATGGTTTAAGGTCAGCACAAGTGGGGAGCTGTGTCTGGGGCCTCCCGTCCATGCGGGAGAAGCATGCGGCGCTGGGAAATGCGTGGTGCAGGTGCCAATGCTCCAGAGCCGCCTCGGCCACTGTCCTCCCACATCTTGGGTTTCCCCTGCAGATTCCCATTTAGATCTTCAGTCCCATGGAGTCCATGACCATCTCTAGCCATGGTGTGACCAGCATGTGGCTTCAGATCTTGGAGACTGGACCACTCCTGCCTTGGCTCACACGTCCCCTCTGTTTCCCCTTCCCCTCCCCATGGCTTCCTTACTGGACTGCTGCTGACCAGGGCCTGTGCTGCTGTGTTCGATGACATTGACCTGTGACTCTGAGCAAGAGCTTAGATGCAGAGCTTTAGACCCAGCGCCAGGCCCTTGGGTGTCCCGTAAGGATTCGTAGATACATTCATAGAATCCCCGGAAGCTGGAGTCTCGTAGCTTTGCAGCTGCGGCCTTTAGACAGCTCTTGCCATGAGACTCCATCCATTAGTCTTGAGGTCACGTGTTTCCATTTTGCTCCTCATATACAGGTGGAATGTAATAGTGGCCGACTGACGGATGTTCTGAAAAAATGCACGTCTGAGCGTATGTTCCTAGCAGCATCCCTGTACTTCTGAACCACCTCTGAGCATCGATGCTTCTTAATCATCTCTGTCCTGAATTTCAAAAATTAGAGCTGTTTTCTATCCTTAGCTACAGCCAAGAGCCCAGCCACACTGCCCTGCCCCTGTGACAATGTGTGTTTGAAGACAGGGTGACCAGCCCTGCCCTGATATTTCATGGAAATCTTATATTTCAGGGAATGGGAGAGGCTGCCTGTGGAGGGAGCTGTGCACGCTAGGAGCACACGGCAGCCACAGGCTTCTCGGCTGTGCTCCAGGCTTACTGGCCCACGCTCCAAGCTTCCTGGCCCGGCAGGCAGGGCTGGCTGCCCTTGTAGGAGCCGGAAAGTCAATATTGGGATATTTCAGAATAAAGCTCACAGACGTTCTGAGGCAGCGTTGCCCAGGGTGGCATGACTGTAGCCAGCCCTGGGCCTTGGAGACTCTGGCAGAGCGTGGTGTCCCTCCTAGGTCCCGGCCCCTTGTGGGAGGTATTCAGGTTTCTACCTTTCCACAGGGGAGGACGTGCTGGGGGAGGGGAGACTCTGGCAGCCTCCCTTTGGTTCAACTTCAGGGTCAGAAGAGATTGTTTGGGAAGCTGCTGAGCTTCCAAGCAGGAGTGTGAGTTTTCCTGTTTATGATCATGTGTGGAGCTTTCTTCCGTCACATGGGGAGGCTTTGAAAAGGCAGCCTTTCACATACTGTACTTGGTCAACCTGAGGACAACCCGGAGATGCCGTTACACAGAGAAGGAGTCCATGGTTCAGAGAAGACTAGTGACTTGTGAAGGGTCAGCTAGGAAGCTGAGAGGCCACGCTTGGGTGGGAGGGAGGCAGAGAGGTGTGGAGGGGCTGGCGGGCATCATTGCCTGGGCAGGCAGGTGGGAAGTCCCACTCCATCATCACAGGAGTGTGCTTTGCAGGCAACCTCAGGCCACTCCAGGTGCCTGGCCACCCTGTCTCCTCCGTGTGGAGCATGGGCCTGTCCACGGGTCCTTGCTGTGGCCTCACTGACAGCAGAGAACATGGCGCATTCCCACACCTGAATGTGCTGCTCTGGGCGGCTGCATTGTAACTGCCCTGAGAATGCTGGCATCCGGGGCATGCTGTGACTTACACTGTGCAGAGGCAGGGACTGGCATTGTGTGCATGGGGGCGATGCCAAGCCGGCTGCTGATGCTAGAGCCCCTCACCTCTGCGTCTTTCTTGGTGGGAGTGGCTGGCCAGTGGGAGAGCATGGCTGGCAGTGAGGTGTGAGGGGCTCCAGGGAGGGTTCCGCTCTGCAGATGGCTGGGGCAGGTACCAACTGTGTGCAAGGATATCGGTATTGCTGGGGTCCCAGGTCCAGGATGAGCAGAGTGTGTGACCGTGTTGGCGCTCAGGTCCCAAGGCCCTGCAGCCCCACAGGCACCTGGCCGCTTCTGGGGGTGGTGGGATCGTTTCTGTTCCACATCAGTTCTTTCTTGGGCAGCAGTCGGAGGCTCCAGCGCTCTTGGTGACTGCATCACAAGTTAGGAGGGATTTGCCCAGCCCTGTGTGGAGCACCTTTCCCGGGTGTGTCTGAGCAGAGCGCTCTGCTGTCCTGAATGTGAGCTTATTTGAGCCTTGGCCATCTGAGGACCTGTCTTCTGTTTTTCAGAGGATTACCCCAATGGCACCTGGCTGGGCGACGAGAACAACCCCGAGATGCGGGTGCACTGCGCCATCATCCCCTCCGACATGCTGCACATCAGCACCAACTGCCGCACGGCCGAGGAGATGGTGCTCACGCTGCTGGACTACCTCTTCCACCGCGAGGTGCAGGCTGTGTCCAGCCTCTCGGGGCAGGGCAAGCACGGGAAGAAGCAGCTGGACCCGCTCACCATCTATGGCATCCGGTGTAAGTCGGGCCCCATCTTGGGGGACTGGGGTGTGCGGGGAGCTGGGTCAGGACCCACATTTCACTGCTGAGGGTGCTGGCATCAGTAGCACTGGCACGGGGCTGCGTTTCTCCAGGCGGTTTGAAATCTCAGCCCGAGGATCAGTGCTCGAGGGGATGGATGCCCGGTTGACCCTGATGTGCTCATTACTCATGGCATGCCTGTACCAAAATACCTCATATACCCCATCATATATATACCTACTGTGTACCCTTAGAAGGTAAAAAACTCCTCGCCTCCTGTCTGTAGGCCACTCTTGAGGAAGAGAGAGGAGGAGGAGAGCCAGGGCCTTCCCTGCTGTCCTGGCCACGCTGACCCAGGCCCCGCTGAGCCTCTCCTAAGTGGGTGGAGTGCCGCCTGCCTCCTTCCTTCTGAGAGGGCTGGGCCTCAGCAGCCATGCCAGGGCCTCAGCGCTGACCTGGCTGTGATGGGAGCCAGGAGAGCTCCAAAGCCTGATTTTCGTGCCCAGCCCGGCCTGTGATGTTTCCCTCCCCTCTGAAGAGCGGGACTTGCTCCAGGTGGCGATTGCGGTACTGCCCTTCAATGGCGTTTGATGGGCGCTCAGGTCCTCTTTGCCAGCGTCCATGGTCCATTTGCTCCACAGAGCCCGTCTGCTTCAGAAGCTGTCCTCCTGGCTTCTAACAAAGATGTAAAGTGAAGCAGCAGCAAACGCAAGAGACACGAGGCCCCTGGCGGGAGGGTGTGGGAGGGTACAGCAGCCTCCGGCAATCTGGGCTCTGGAGAGTTGCCTCAGGGGATCGTGAATGGAAATCTGATCTTGAAACAGGGCGAGCGAGGTGGAGCACTCAGCGTCCGGGATCTCAGCGTGCGGGGGGCCTCCGGGATCTCAGCGTGCGGGGGGCGTCCAGGATCTCAGCGTGCGGGGGGCATCCGGGATCTCAGCGTGTGGGGGCTGCTGTTCCAGCAGGAAAGAGCCTTGCTCCTCTGGGAAGCACGGTGTGGCCCGTGAGCCTCTGTCAAGAGCAGTGGGGGAGTGGAAGGGCTCAGCTGTTCCGTAGCTGCTGTGAAAATGGGGTCTGAGTAAGACTGGGGTGTCATGCTGACTGCAGGTTTTTCTGGAAGCTGCTGAGAGGTGGGTCCAGGTCCCACCCACGTGTGTGTGAGCAGGTCATGGCATCTTCCCATGTGCCATGTCTTGTTCCAGGCGTGTGTCCCAGCTGTCAGACACTGGCGGGCACCCATCCTGGACCCTGAGGGTAGTCTCAGATAACTGCCTGGGAGACCACATGTGGGGCCTCCTCACAGCTTCTCAGCGGTGGAGTAAAGCAGGTCACGAGGATCAGAGGGTCATGGGGCAGGGGTCACCCGCAGCCTTCTGAAGGGCCACATGGCAGATGTTTCAGGCTTTGCAGGCCCTGGGGTCTCTCTTCAACTGCTCAGCTCTGAAAGCAGCCACAGACGAGGTGTCACAGGAGTGTCAGGCTGGGCTACAGGTTGGAGGCGCAGCCTGGACAGAGAGGAGCGGGTGATCTTTGGAGAGGATGGTGGCATGTGGGATGAGCGTGCTGTGCTGTGTGGGGCAGTGGCATTCAGGGCTGGGCCCTGTTCCCAGGTGAGGAGTCCCTGCTCCTCCAGGGAGATGACAGGGGCCTTGGATGTGAAGCTGGAGGCCGGCTGGCTCTGCTTTGGAGACAGTGCCTTGGTATGTCAGGCTAAGGATTCGGGCTTTCAGGGCATTGGCTGCGATTGGTCTTTTTATTAATCGAGCACAGGGAATGTTCCAGTGAGGTGACAGGGGCATGGCAGGGCGATAGAGCAGAGCCCATGGCGGTGGGGTGGCTGTGTCTGTATTCAGCGAGTCCGTGTGGGGTGGTGGAAGGCACTGCGTGGGGCAGAATGGGGCAGGCCCCGATTCCCTGCATGTTGTGGCTATGAGTTGACCTTCCCTGCTGAGCTTCTCCTTGCTTGGGAAGTGCTGCCAACCTCGATGGGGGTCTGGAGGCCAGAGAGGGGAGTGGGAGCCTGGCATGGGCTACCACCCTCTCCCCTGGGCCCGCTGGCTTCAGGGCCATCCTCCAGACAGCTGAAGTCATTGGCTCTGTTCACCAGGCTGCTGGACCTCATGGCTTGGGGACCACTGGCCCTGCCTCCCCAGGCTCTGAGCTGGGCTCTGGAGCACGGTCCCCTGGCAGGGGCGTCCGCTAGCACCGTCATTCTGCTGGAAGTTCCTCCGGGGCGGGGGTCCTGGGCTTGCTCACAGCGCCCGGCCCCTTGGAGATGCCCAGTGAATTCTGGTCTCTAGAGCCGAGCTTTGGGAAGGTCATGGTGTGGCTGACCTTCAGGGTGACTTTGCATGAGGAAGGCTGGCCTGTCCACCGGGCCGTGTGGAGGGGCCTGGAGCAACTGCTGGGTATGGACCAGAGCTGGGCCTTCTCCCCCCACCTCAGGCCAGGCATGCCTGTGTGGCTCGTGCTTAGATGGAATTGCTGAAATGTTAAAAGCATGGCTTTACCTTTTCTCCCTGTGGCCCAGTTTCATTCTTATTGCTGATCGTTGCCCAAAAAACCAAAACAAATCAAATAAATACATGGACCAAACCTCCCAGGCCCCAGCTTGAACAGCGGCAGGAATGGAATTGGCCACATCACTGCATCTTACTCTCTGCTGTTGCTTCAGAGCCTGCAGTGATGCCTGTAGCCTCAGCAGTCAGAGGTCTGCGGCTGTCCTCACTCAACCCAGACAGCTCACGAGGGAGAAGATTTTGATTTAAGTTTCTCCTTATTTGTCAGCAGAAAGATTTTCTTTCTTTTTCTGGAGAAAAAAGTCTACATTTTGAAACACACAGTAGGTAAAGTCTCTAAGTACCACCTTCTCAAAATGAGGAAATGAGGTTATTGAAAGAGGGAGAGAGAGAAATTTGCTTTTTGGGGTGTTGGCTTTCTTAGGGTTCCCAAGGATTGGTGGACCCCCCGAATTTGGGCAGCTAACCAAATTTGTGTGTTTTATGCAAAAGTAGCATATCATTGCAACTTGGAAAACCTTGGAACATTTTCCTAAGGAATGTGCTCTCAGGACAGCAGCATTTGCCTGTTTTCTCTATGAAGAGAAATTGGTTTAGTTCTTAGGATTTCTATCCATGGCTTGCTCACGCCTCTGCTTGGACTGTGCATCCAAGCCGGTGACCCCGGATCTGAGGGCTTTTCTAAAGAATGCTGTCTAAGGCCATGCCACCCTGAACACACCCGATCTCATCTGATCTAAAGAATGCTGCTGTGGATGGCCGATCCCCATGAGACCTCCTAGCAGTTACAGAAAGACTGGATTCATTTGCACAAAGTAAAAAGTTATGCTTTCAGAGTTGCCCTGTCAGATGATTGTAGTTCTTTTCAAATCATTCACTCCAAGCGCAGGTGGTGTTTCCTAGCGGGAAGCAGCGGGGGCCACTTCACCCACACCTGTCCCTGTGAGTGCAGGTGTGCGACCTGGCCCCATTGTGTCTTGCAGGGTGCCTCAGGTTCCTGTGGCCACTGGGACAAAGCTCACAGCCTGGCTGGCTTAGAACACAGGCTTGTGTTCTCGTGCAGGTTTGGAGGCCAGATGCCTAGGATGAAGATGTGGGCAGGGCCACGCTGCCTGAGAAGGCCCTTTCCTTCTCCCAGCTTCTGGTGGTGGCCGCATCCCTCCAGTCTCTGCCCGCGTCCCCCATGGCTGTCTTCCCCCCGTGTCTCCCTCTGTGTCCCTCTCCTTACAACGACAGTCACTGGATTTGGAGCTCCCTCTCCTGCAGGATGACCTCATTACAACCTAAGGAATCACATCTGCAGAGACCCTAGTTCCCAGTCAGGTCACATTCTGGGGTCCTGGGCCAGGACATGAGTTTTGTGGGGACACTGTTCAGCCCAGTACACAGGACACGGGTGGTCAAGTGCTGTCTCTTCTCCAAGTTCTCTGTGAGGTGAAATGGTGAGGCTGACCTATATGTGTCCTTAAGGCAGAATGTGGACTCCACGCAGGGGTGGGTGTTTGTCTGTCTGTCTTGGGACATTGAGTGCCTCACGGTGACTGAAAGCTGGGAGGAAGGTGTGGTCAGTGTGGGCTCCAGGCAGAAAAGTGAGCAGAGCCTCCTTCTCAGCAGGTCACCCAGATGCTGTGACCTGGAGGTAGTCCTGCAGGTGGCTGTGAGGGGCTCTCTTGCTAACAGACTGAGGACAGGTGTCTCTCCATCATTTTTTCTCATAAAGGAATGAGTCAGCAGGCTTGAAGAAGGTGGCCGGCTTGGCCTGGAGGCTGCACATGTGAGGTGCACGGGGTGTGGGCTGTGCGTGCTTCCCCCGGGAGGGAGCATGTCAGCTGGCTTCCATCGGGCAGAGGCTTCGAGATGCCTTTTGTTTTTCTAGGCAGCGCTGTCACGTCGAGTCTGTAATTTGAAGAAATCAGTTGTTGGCACTCGGTTTTGTGCTGCCTTCCCTTGCACATGAGAGTGCGTTAGCAGGTGGTGCTCTTCATTCCTTTGTGACTAATAAAGCCACATGCCACCCACCAAGGCACAGGATGACAAGCCCTCCTGGCTCTCTTGTCTCGCTTCCCACAGTGCCTCTCATGGCCCCACAGATGGAGAGCTGGGAATCGGCTTGTGATTTGAACCACCAGAGTCAGTAACGGGGGTTCTGGAAAGTGGGAAGGCAACTAACGGTGTAATGGAGACTCTTTAGCTCTTTGGGGACTGCAGGACAGCTCGCCAGGAAAATAGAGGCGTGCACGGTGGCAGGGATGCTGCCTGGCTGAGCCTGGAAGGCAAGCCCGTCCTGGCCTTGAGGGGCCTCAGTGGGCATAGTGTAGGGATATGGCTGGGGAAAGCAGGGACTGAGGCCAGACAGGGTGTTCTCCTCCCAGGTGACGCCACGCTGTGGGGATCCCATGAGCCTCAGCAGCCGGATGCCGAGCACTTCTGTTCTCCTTGTGTCCTGGGCACTGCTCAGGGGGGAGACTTCTGCCTCGATTGAAGTCCGACTAGGCCTCCCAGAGCAGGGCCTGCGGGTGCCTTGGGCTGAGGGAGCTCAGGACAGCAGAGGCACGTGTGCGGGGCTGTGCGTGTTCTTCCCGTCTCCCTGAGCACCTCTCATGGGTTCCTAGGATCCAGTGAGGGCCGCTGCTTCTCCACCTGGTGGGCCCAGGAAGCTTGCACTTTAAGGCCGGTGTTCACTCCTAACTAGTAATTGGACTTGGACACATCACTTCTCCTTTTTCTGGCTTTTGCCTCAAAACCAAAGTGATGAGAGTAGTGACATTCCTACTTCATGAGGCTTTTTAAAAAAAGTCCATCAAATAACATGAGATCAAATGCTTAAAGTGGAAAATGGCAGTTAAATTCAAGGTGATCTTTTGATCCCATCATGATAGGATTTTTCCCACTCCCTGTTAAGTGCGGCTGCTCAGTGCTGTCAGAAAAGGTAAAGGAATCCGAGCCCCGAGGGCTGCCCAGAAGTGGGCGCTTGCCCCAGCTGCTGTCCAGTAGCATCTGCGGGCAGCACCTGCACCCATCTGTGCATTTTCAGATCCTCGCCCTCCTCACCCGCCGCGCTCTGCGGGCAGCACTTGGGCGGCTGGTCCATTCTCTGGATCTCCTTGGTGGCCGGCAGGGAGCATTCGCCCAGGCTGGGGCCTGGAGCGCAGACGGAAGGAATTAGATAATTTGATGTCTGAGGACAGTGGAAACTCGGTGGCGGGTAACCAGATGAATATATATTTTTTATTTAATAAGTATGAGTCAGGGTTTGAACTGGCAACTTAATTTTTACAAAGTTGAATTTAAATGTGAATGTTTTCACTCATTTCTCTTACCTATACACCTGGGTGTTTTAGATTTATCTTCTTTCCTGTTACTAACCCGTTTTTAAATTTTGTGTGGACTCATTCATCCTTCAAAGTCTATGGAATTTTTCTCCTGGAGTGTGAAGGTCGGAGGGTCACAGGAGGGCGGTTCTGAGGATGTTTCTTTTTATCGACTCGTGCTCCAAAGACGTTTTCCTGCTGGTGGGATGGCTGTTTCTTTCTTGCCTCCCGGTGGCAGCAGCTGGGCTGCTTTGTATCTAAAGTCAGTAGTTGGGCTCTCATGAAACTATTGAAGTGCAGTTTGAAAGCTGGGTTTTCCGGTAACTATGGTGCAACCTCTGGCAGCAGCTGGGCTCTCCTGTAAGGATTTCCTAGTGATTTTAATGGTTAGGTTCCCCCATGACCACAGCCAGCGGCTGGGTTCCTCTGTGAGTCACTAAAGTTGCTCAGCCTGGGGCTTCCTGAGGCGCCCCAGTCACCCAGCCAAGATCTGAGGGTGACTTGGAGTATTTTAGAGATGACCCGAGAATTGGAAGCCAAAGAGCGGCTGCTTCCTGTATGGCTTCTTTATGCATGAGGATGAAAATGTGCTGCCGAAACGACTTTAGGGTGTTCTTCCCTCTCATCCTACAAATCCCACTGTCCTGGCTGGTTTCTTTTTGTCTGTAGCACAGACAGGTTTGTTGTGATTATACAGAGAGTCAAAACGTGTCTCAAGTATCTACTGATAAGAAAGTCAAGAGGCATGTTTCCAAAACCCGAGGGACTTTTGATACCTAATAGAGTACTTAAAAAAACCCAAACACTTCTTTCTCTGTTTTAATTATTTCCACCATTTTAGTCTCAATGGGAACAGATTTTTAGGGTTTGGGCAGTAGAGTCCAAACTTGAGGCTCTTGGTAGTCAAAACAGGACGCTTTTCAGCTTAATCTTTTTATTACTACAATTTTGGATTCCATCCTGTATTTTCCTGTAAATTAGTGAAGTTGCATGAGCCAGCTAGAGAGGCCACTGCATTGAAGAGCCCTTCCCATCATGCCCAGATTCGTCATCGCTACAGGGATGGGGTCCTGTGGCCTAGTGGGAAGTGGCCAGGCATGCAGTGGGGCGCTGGCTCCATCCTGTCACCTGCTCCGCCGTGGCCTTCGGATCCTCAGTTTTCTCCCTGTTGAATACAGGGCATCTCTGGATGCTGCTCAGGGCGTGCTGAGAGCTCTCCGTAGCGCAGGTGGTAGAGACCTGGGGGTCCCAAGACAGTTCTCTGCGTGTGCACGGTGAGCCCCAGGAAGACAATGCACCTGGCTTTGGCCCCACAGTGAGAGTAGGTTGTGCCCACTCGGCTTGTGGTATAGGGACTCCAGGGATGAGGACACAGGCCCTGTCCGTAAGGAGTTTGTGCTCTAGTTGAGAAAGCACGATGGAGAGGCATTGGGAATGACATAAGCAAGCCCCGGACCTGAGCAGCGATGGGAGGGTGTGTTGCAGTCCGTTGTAATCACTATTTACACAGGAGCAGCCACTGTGCACCAGAATGTTCTGGGTGCCTGACATCCATGGGTGGACACAACAAAGGCCCGTGTTTATGAGGGGGACAGTAACAATACATACGTGAATTCTCCAAACTGTGTTTGCGAGGGGAACAGAATAACAATACATAACGTGAATTCTCCAAACTGTGTTTGTGAGGGGGACAGAGTAACAATACATACTTGAATTCTGCAAACTGTGTTTGCCAGGGGAACAGAATAACAATACACACGTGAATTCTCCAAACTGTGTTTGCCAGGGGAACAGAATAACAATACACACGTGAATTCTCCAAACTGTGTTTGCCAGGGGAACAGTAACAATACACACCTGAATTCTCGAAACTGTGTTTGTAAGGGGGACAGAGTAACAATACACACATGAATTCTCCAAATGCCAGAAGGTGGTCAGTGCTCTGACAAAACAAGTGGGAGGAGGGTGGGAGCCCAGGAGGGCGGGAGGGTCAGGTGGTTATCCAGGGGGATGGTGAAGCCAAGACATGAAGGAAGGGAAGGCGGTGGCCGAGCAGGTCTGAGTAGGCGGAGGACCAGCGAGTTCTGATCCAATTGTTGAGGTCCCTGATCTCACCCTCTGGGCATTCAGGACCTTAGGTGCTGCTGCGAGTTCAGGGCAGAGGGAAGTTGGAGCATGGAAGGTCTGGGAATCTTGTGAGCGCCCCAAGTGTGCACCTGGTATGGGCCGACCAAGTCAGAGGGATCAAGAACTTAAGTAAATGGAAAGAGTGTGTCATGACACCTTAGTGAGAATTTATATCTCGTGGGGAGCCCCGCCTGTGGGCCAGCTAAGCACCTTCTGTGCAGTGGGCCTTTCCAGACCCTTGCAGGAAGATGGGGCCGGCCTGGTGGGCTGGGGTGCCTGGGTGAGGCCTCTTCAGTGGGCCCTGACCCTGCAGCCAGGCAGCTCCTGGTGGCTGTCCCAAACAGGCCTCACCCCTTCTCCTTGGATGTGTCCTTCCAGGTCACCTTTTCTATAAATTTGGCATCACAGAATCTGACTGGTACCGAATCAAGCAGAGCATCGACTCCAAGTGCCGCACGGCGTGGCGGCGCAAGCAGTGGGGCCAGAGCCTGGTGGTCAAGAGCTTCTCGTGGAGAATGCCCAACTCATCCTCCTACTGCCCCTCAGGTAGGCCTCGTGCTGCAGGAGAGGCCGCCCTCCCCTGCTCGGGGCAGCTGGCCTGGTGGCACCCTCAGGGGCAGCCAGAGCGTGGCCGGCGGCTCCACCAATGGCCGGGAGCCGAGGCCAGAGGCTTGTGAGGTGCACACGGAGCAGTGGAGCTGCAGGACCTGTGCCTGGCCCTGTGCGCCCTTCACACAGACAGCCTCGGGCCTGCTCCAGGCTCCTCTGTGAGGGACAGAGGGCCTGTTGGGCCTCCTGGAAGTCTTCTGGATGGGGGCAAGGAGGCCGAGGCCTTTGTGTAGGGCTGCCGGCCATTGTATTCTCACGATTTGCCTGGTGACTCCGGGTGAGGAAGTGGGGTGGATTCTGAATTGTGCTTTATTTTTACTTTGAGTTCATGGCCTTAGTTGGATTTATCCACAAGATAATGGAAACAGTTCTCTTTGAGTTGCCTCTCAGGCATTGCTGGGGAGATTGTTCTCCTTGGAGAATTTTCACTAGGAATGACAATGTGACTTGATACTGCCTTTTACCCAAGACATCTCAAAATATTTTAATACGTATTTGAATGAAAACTATTCTCTTAAAGCTCCCCACAGTAGCTGCATTGGCAGTGACTCTTGGAACTTGAGCTCTGACTGGGGCTGGGGTCAGGATGCGAGGGCAGCTGTGGGCAGGGCCAGCTCTCCTATTCAGTGGAGTCTTTGTCGGCCGGAACCCTTTGTTCTGGAAGTCCTGGGAGTTACAGACCAGATCACCTGGAGTTCTCCCGGGGCCTCGTTCTTTCTGAACCGGACTTCAGGAAGTGGTTTTCCCGGGCTGTTTTGGTAGTTATCAGATACTCGGCCTCAGCTGCTGCCCAGGGGCTTGAGGATGGGAGGTGGCTGCCTGTAGTGGGCCACACAAGTTGTGTCCCTAAAGCAGCACTTTATTGAGTGACCTGTGTTGAAGAAGCTCTTCTATTCTAGGCCTTTCTACTACAATGAGGAATTCTGCCTTGGGACTTGAGAGAGGTAGCAGTCCTAGGGTGTGGGTTAGGGGCATTCACTGAAATACCATGTAGCAGCGTAACCTGTGGCTATTGAAATGTGGCTGTAGGAATATTGCTCATGACTTGACTTCTCTCTTGAATATTCATAGCTGGGCAGCAGAGAGCGATGTGAGGACTATACTTATGGCATGATACCATTTTTATTGCAAATATATAGGTATATGTGGAAGTTGATTAAAAATTTATGTGTGATCATTTTTACAGTGCCTATCTCTAGGTAGTAGGATAATTTTTATTTTTCCCTTTGTCTTTTATTGTAGTTTCTCAGTTATTTCCAATAAGCACTGCATTAGTTTTATAGTTGTAAAAAATGTTGTTTAAAAGTCAGGGAGCCCAGGCGTGGTGGCTCATGCCTGTAATCCCAGCACTTTGGGAGGCTGAGGCAAACTGATCACCTGAGGTCAGCAGTTCGAGATCAGCCTGGACAACATGGTGAAACCCTGTCTCTACTAAAAATACAAAAATTAGCCAGGTGTGGTGGCACATGCCTCTAATCCCAGCTACTCGGGAGGCTGAGGCAGGAGAATGGCGTGAACCTGGGAGGCGGAGCTTACAGTGAGCCGAGATCACGCCACTGCACTCCAGCCTGGGCTACAGAGCAAGACTCTGTCTCAAAAAAAAAAAAAAAAAAAAGTCAAGGAGAGGAGATTTCTGTCAGGCACAATTTCTGTCAGGCACAATTTCTGTCAGGCACAGTAGCAGGAACCAGATTGAATTCTCTTGCCATTGAAATCTGGACAAAAATCTGTGAATCGGCTGTCCTAAGACATTAGACAAGCAACAGCACAGGACCGTGATCCCGAGAGAAGGAACACGAGAGGAGGGGACAGGGAGATGCCAGGCAGAGATAGCTACATCACTGCATGGAGGAGATGGGTTGGAGTTGAGAGAGGCTGAGGCAGCAGAAAGTTGTGGAATCAAGTTCTTAAGAGCAGAGGGTTACACGGGGGCCATCTTGGGTGTTTGGGGGATTCCAAGGCAGGCATGAGCTCAATGGCTCCTAAGCTCACCCCAGGCTGGGTGGTGGTTGGATTCCCACTAGCCAGAGTCCTCAGTGATCAGTCACTGCACTAGCTGGCCATGCCTACTGGCAGGCTAAACTGTCCCTAGAATAAAGGCAGAGCTTAAGAGAGCCTGAGAAAGATCACATTGAATCACAAGTAACAACACTTTTAAAAGAAAGACAACAAAACCTAGACACCCAACAAAGTAAAATTCACAATCTCCAGTATCTAGTCCAGAGTACCAGGAAGCAGGAGATTGTGACCTATGATCAGAAAATCAGCAAATAGGAAGGGACCCTGTCTGGAATTAACTGACCAGGACATTGAAATCTATTAAAATTACATTCAGGAATTTAAAGGAAAAAAGGAACATAGCAAGGAGCGAAATAGAAGACATAAAAAAGAACCATATGGAACTCCTAGACTCGAAGAGCGAGGAGAGTTGTTGCCAGGCTTGCCTTCCATGTGTTTCGGGTACGTGCATTTGGTAAGGTTAGCGGTCTGCTTCATCCAATGGGGAATCAAAACCCAAGTTAAATGACTTGCCAGGACCTTAGTGAGCAAGAAGCTGCTGTTATATAACCTGACGACTGCCAGATATGTTGGCCTGCATCATTAGGATACCAGAATCTTGAAAGGGTAAATTTAGTGAGCTGAAATTTCATAGCTGGAAATGTAGACTAAGAGCATTTGCACAGTAGTAGACGGTGGTGTAACAGCATGTGAAGCTGAGTGTTTTGCTGGCTGCGCTGGTGTGCAGGAGCTTCCTCAGAGCCCTTGTGGTTGGAAGGTGCACTCTGGAGCACACCCATTCTTAGCTTGTCTACCCTGTGGCCCCAGTGGAGCGTTTTGGAGCTGCTGGGAGGAGCTGTCCAGGGACAGACTGTCATGGTGGCAGTGGGCTGGAAACTTGTCTTTGGGGAAACGGTTAGAAATTGAGATTTCACAAGGTTTGATAACGGTTAGATGCCTGGAGAAGCAGTGCATAAGTGAAGAATTAGGCTGGTTTTGTAGGTGCTAAGAGGGTCAGTGGAGGAAAAGCAGCTCCGCGGAGGTGGGCTTCAGCCCAGCTGGGATTTTGTCATTTTCTTCCTGGGGTGCACAAGGCTTGCTCGAGGACCTGTGGTGGTGAGTGCTCTGTAACTGCTCAGGCAGACAGGAAACCGCCATGGAGCACGCAGCACTGCCTGGCGGTGGTTGCTTTGGGACATGACCCATCACTGGAGGTGCTCAGGTGGAGTCAGGGTCTTTGGCTGGAGCCAAGCTCTCCACGTGCAGCATGCAGGTGGGCATGTTGAATCTCCTTTGAATCTCATGAATTTCAGATTCTGATTTAGTGTAGCTAGGCAATTTCTAGCATATTGCAAGTATCAACATTCTGTTATGTGGCTGGGCACAGTGGCTTACACCTATAATCCCAGCATTTTGGGAGGCCAAGGCAGGCGGATCATTTGAGGTCAGGAGTTCAAAACCAGCCTGGCCAACCTGGTGAAATCCCTTCTCTACAAAAAAATACAAAAAAAAGATTAGCCCAGCATGATGGTGGGTGCCTGTTATCCCAGCTACTTGGAAGGCTGAGGCAGGAGAATCGCTTGAACTTGGGAGGCGGAAGTTGCAGTGAGCCAAGGTCACACCACTACACTCCAGCCTGGGTGACAGAGCAAGACTCTGTCTCAAAAAAAAAAAAAAAAACCAACATTTTATTGTTACTTTAAAAAATGTATTCAGTGGAATCTATGTACTATGGCAATTTAATACCTACCATTAGCTATTGGTAAAAAATACATGGAAAGCTTTTCTCTCCCCTTCCCCTCTCTGCCCCTCCCCCTCCCCCTCTCCGCCCCTCCCCCTTCCCTCCCTCCTCCCCTCTCCCCTCCTCCCTTCCTCTCTCTTGCCCTCCCCTCTCTTGCCCCAACCCGTCCCTTCCCCTGCTCGCTCTGTTGCCTGGAGCTAAGTGCCATGGTGCCATCTCAGCTCACTGTAATCACCTACTCCCAGGTTCAAGTGATTCTCCTACTTCAGCCTCCCAAGTAGTTGTGACTACAGATGCATGCCGCCACACCTGGCTAATTTTTGTATTTTTAGTAGAGACAGGGTTCACCATGTTGGTCAGGCTGGTCTCGAACTCCTGACCTGAAGTGATCTTGCCTGCCTTGGCCTCCCAAAATACTGGGATTACAAGCGTGAGCCACCATGCCTGGCCTGCTTCTCTTTAATAATCAGAAATTTTATGTCTTTCATTTTTCTCCTTTCATTCATATCAACATTCTACTTCTCTCACAGAATTTCATCTTTCTGCTTCCCTCCCCAGTCCCCCCGAGATGGAGTCTTGCTCTGTTGCCCAGGCTGGAGTGTAGTGGTGCCATTTTGACTCATTACAACCTCCGCCTCCCAGGTTTAAGTGATTCTCCTGCCTCAGCCTCCTGAGTGCCTGGGATTACAGACCCCCACCACCACGCCTGTCTAATTTTTGTATTTTTAATAGAGATGGGGTTTCACCATGTTGGCCAGGCTGGTCTTGAACTCGTGACCTCAGGTGATCTGGCTGCCTTGGCCTCACAAAGTGCTGGGATTACAGGTGTGAGCCACCGTGCCCAGACTACATTTTTACGCTTAAAAGCTTTTTAAAATTAGTCATTATAATTCTCTGCAACAAAACTACGTGTATACATTGAAAATTAAAGTTTTTCTGCGCTCTTAATATTCTAAGAGTTTAAGAAAATTATGATTGAGACATCATTACAGTGAAAATTAATACACAGTACATCAAAGCAAATGTATCTCATTTTGATTAAACACAGCAAGTAAAATTTGTTGGAAATGTATCTTTAAGTGCGTGGATGAGACTTTTGCTCTATTAGTTTAATTACCCATGGACAAATATTGCCAGCCTGAAACAGCTTTTAATGTCCACTTTAAGAACTTCATTCATTTAAATAAGTTGGGGACTAGAAGGGGTTTTGTCATAGCATCACGCCACTCTCAGGCCCTTCTGCATTCCACGTCGGAAAACTCAGTTCCTAAGACTCACTCATAGTGACCTCTGCAGAAGAGTGGAGATGCAGTGAGTCGAGGAAAAATGAAGCATTTCCTCTTCTCTGCTGTGGGAGTCGAGAGTGAGGGACGGGGGTGCACACATGCTGCACAAGGCAATGCCTAAGAAACTTCTCGTTCACCCCGTTCACACCTGTTTCCTCCACAGAGCCGATGATGAGCACCCCACCTCCTGCCAGAGAGCTCCTGCAGCCACAGCTGCAGCCGCAGGCCCTGCACTACGCGCTGGCCAACGTGCAGCAGGTGCAGATCCACCAGATCGGAGAAGACGGACAGGTGCAAGTAGTACGTACCCTCTCCACCTCGCACCTTGGTAAAGGGGGCTGTGGGGTGGGCCACGGCGGGGCCATGGCGGCTTCCACCAGTTCCGCTGTGTTTCGGGAGCACAGTGATAGCTTGGGAGGAGGCACAAGGTTCCCATTTAAAGTAGAGGTCATCGTGGCCATGAGCTCTTAACATTTCACAGGTGGGGGCGGCTGCTGCAGAGCCTAGGGATTGAAGCACATGGTGGGGTGGGGCATTCAGTCAGCTCACCTCAGTCCTGCCAGCAGGCAGGCGGGCAGTCAGCTCCAAGGGTCAGGCCGTGCAGTGGTCCCTGCCCCAGCTCGTGCTCCTGGGAAGCAACGGAAATATTTCTCAGCTCAGAAGTGCAGGCGTCCTCTTACTGAGGGAAAGAGTAATTTCCTTCTAGGATCAGTGGCAAAAGCTTGAGGTCATTGTTCCCATGCAGCGTTTCCCTTGGAGTTACTCAGCACACCCAGGTTGGGCGGGCACTGTCCCAGCAGCAAGTCAATGTCCTGCCTTGCCCGTGCGGAGTTCTCTGTTGGGGTTTTGTGACCCAAGCTGTGGTCAGTCTGATGCGCCTAGGGGCTCGCTCCCGGGTGAAGTCCCTCTACAAACACCTCCTGGATTCTGTGGCACGAGAGTAGGGGGCGGCTGAGAAGAAGACTTTTCTGGAAGCTTTGCTGAGTGACTAGAAATTTTACATGTACCACTAGACCTAGCCTGTGTTTTTAGTGGCACCAGCCCCCTTGGGCCCTCTGAAGACAGGTCATCGTGTGCCTCCGTGTTACCAGGGCTTTCTCCTGGAAACAAGGTCCTCCACTATTGAGAGTGGGTCGTGGCTCTCATGTCAGTGTGGCTTCAGCGTGCTGTCTGGAAGAGGGAAGGCTTCCAGAAAATTCTGGGGCTTTTAGAGGGGGCATTCCCTTCCTCTTCCAAAGGAGATGAGACAGTTATGAATAGTGAATCTTATTTAATAAGCTTATTAATTTGTTTGACATTCACAATGGCAGTTCCTCTCATCTTGTTAGTAAGAAGTTCTTTGAAAGCGTTCCAGAGTAGATAACTTTGTCATAAGGCTTACATAGAACTTTCTACAGGAGTTTAAGATCCATTTCAACTAAGAGAGAATTTCAAATAAGATAAGGAGTATTCATTTCATTTACAGGTTTATAGGAAATATTTGTCTGCCCGTATGTATAAACAGTGGATTCTTTGATTTTTTTTGAATCACATTTGTTAGTGTTTCCTCAAACTGTTTAAATAGTCATATGAGTGTTTCTTTGATTTGAAAAACGTTGCCTGCCCTGTTGTGAGTGTAGGCACGCAAACAGCTCCCCTGCTTCAGCCACACACTGCTTGTGTAGCCTCCCAGCATCCCCAGAGAGCTGAACGTATCATTTGAAAAGAGGCGTCATTGTGATTTTCTATTTCCCCTCTTTTCTGTGTGTCATGCACATTTTAAAATTTACTTGTTTAGTAACATTTAAAGATGTATATATCTTTCCTGGGACCTATTGCTCCTTTGTGAAGTACTGGAACATGTTCTGTGTTACACAGTACCCCCCCTTACCCATGCTTCCACTTTCCTAGGTTTTAATTACCCACAGTCAACTGTGATCTGAAAATATTAGATGAGAAATTCCAGAAATAAACAATTTGTAAGTTTCAGATTGCATACTCTTCTGGGTAGTACCATGATGAAGTCTGGTCGTCCTGCTGTGTCCAGCCCGGGATGTGAGTCATTCCTTTGTCCAGCATGTCCAAGCTGTGTGGCACGTATGGGCAGGAAAAAGCATAGCATATACGGGGTTCAGCACCATCCACGGTTTCTGACGTCCACATGGTGGGGGGAGGGGGCGCTTCTTGAAACCCTCATGGATGAGGGGGACTACTGTGAACCAAAAGCTTAATTTAAAGAGGTGACCACAGACTATATTGCACTATTCAGGATTTAGTTATCTTTTTGAATTGTAAACAGATAATCAAGAACAAACATTCCGGAAGATGTTTCTTGTTTCCTTTGCTTTTTATTTTCTTCTGATGCTTCTTGGTGTCTTTTCTTACTGCGGATCCCACAGGGACACCTCCACATCGCCAAGGTGCCACAGGGGGAGCAAGTCCAGATCACGCAGGACAGCGAGGTGAGTCATCTCTCGCTGCAGCCCTGTCCCTGCAGGCACTGTGCCCGCATGCTCCCGACCTTCATCAGTGTCACAGTGTGAGGGCAGCAGGGAGCCCCCAGGATGGGGAACGTGGGCGAGGGCTGCAGGACTCCGCTTCCAGGGTGCACATAGTGGGCCTGCAGTCTCTGTGGCCTCACTGCCTCCCCCTCCTGTCCGTTGGTCTCCACAGCTTCTGGTCTGTCTTGGCAAAGATCTCCTGGGTAGATGTTTCTGCTCCTGGCTGGAAGTGCCCTCTGAGTACCCTTCTCTCCCTGTCTGGCCCTGCCCTTCCTGCCAGGGGAGGGCCCCAGTGTGGCCGAGATGGGGTCTGCCCCTGCACAGGTGACCTGACATACCCCCTCACCTGCCATGTGGCCCCAGCTTCCTGGTGGCCTCTACAGGATTAGTGCCGATTTCATAGGATGGTGGGGAATCCCACAAGGTGATGCTGCCAGTCCTGAGAGCTGGTCATAGCCCTGACGCACCTGCCGTGTCTGTGATTGTCTCAGTTTCTGGAGCTCTACCCAGCCACGCACTCAGAAGTGCGGGCTCAGCTGCTGTTGGGGTCTGGAATGTGAAGGCGGGAGTGACAGTCTGAGTTCTTGGAAAGCCGAGGCCGGCCGGTTGCGATGCTCCGTGTTTGCGTACCAGAGCAGGACTGTCTTCCGGGTGGCTGGTGACCGTCCTTCGACTCTGGGCTGTTTCCTGCAGCACAGGCAGCAGCAGGCACAGGGCACTAAGCAGCACACACGTGTTGTACTGAGTGACCGTGGTGCGCTCTGGGGGATGAGGAACATGGCTGTTTCTAGGTGGTGACAATGGCACCAGCTTTGTGTTTGGTGCATAGTAGTGTGTCGCTACGAAGATCTCAGGCTTCCCCACACACACCAGCAGCAGAGACTAGGAAGCCCAGGTGCTGAGGTCAAGGGGACTCATGGACATGTTGGCGTGCGAGGCCTCCCGGGAGCTCATGCTGGGTACAGGTGCTGTGGGGGAGCAGAGGAGAGAGAAGCCCTGCCTTCGGGGACTCACAGTGGGCACAGAGCCTCCTGCCCAAGTGCCCGTGAGCAAGACTGTGGACACATGCACGCCGTGGCACGTGGAGCACCAGGGACTTAGGTGTGTCTGCTGGCAGTGGCTTTAATTTGGACACCAGCAGTTCCCAGTGGGTTATCCTGAGAGGGGAGCACATGCATAAGGGTTCCAGGGGTGGAATGAGGATGAGGTGAAAGGGGAGGAATGAATTCATGTGGGGGCCATGAGCGACTGGGAATGAGTGGGCTCATCCACACAGCGACATGACCAGGTCACTAAGAAACATGTGGTCAGATGGATGGATGGAAGGAAGCACCAGGGCGGGGAGCAGGTAGGGGACGGTCCCAGGAGGCCAGAGTGTCCAGGAAGGGGCAGGGCCTGGTTCTGTGTCTGTGGGTGGGTCAGGGACCATCTCCCTGGAGATGTCGGGAGATGCGCCTGTCAGCTCAGCAAGGTCAGGTGCAGGAGTTGGGGGCCTGAGCGGCTGCGAGGTGCAGGATCCCAGCAGCACCTTCCAGTGCAGGAGCTGCCTTTGAGGGGCAGGGGAAGGTTTGCTTCTCAAGGCACAGACAGGTTGGGGCTGGGAGGCTAAGCTCACTGCCAGAGACCTCAGCCAGAGTTCTTGAATACCTGGAAGCCTATGAAGTTCGTCGGAATGCTTAATTTCCTTAGAGTCATTGAAAATGCAGGAAAATTGAAACAGCAGCAAAAGAAAAAAATCAACACACATTTGCTTTTTATAGTTTATGCTAAAAAATCTTGACTACTGGAATTTCAATTTTTTATTATTAGTTTTATCCTTCAGTTTTCAAAACTGAATCCATCTTGTATAGGTGATTGTCTTTCATTTTCATTAGGAATTGAATGCAGTAAGTTAGAAATTGCTAATAATACTAACGATGGCTTTGTGATAAGTGACAGTATGCAGTCTCCTCACCATAAATTCATACCATGTTCATTTAAAATTATTTTGTTAAAACAGGATATCTGCAAATAAACATTTAGCAGGGTCTAACAGACATAAAACAGTTCCTTTTTACAACAAATGAAAATGAATTTCTAACTGGAGAGCTCTTAGTAGCTCTGTGGTTGAGTGAGTTGGTTCCTTGCGTGCAGCCCGTGACCTGGCGTGGTGATGCCGCACAGCTCAGCAAGGCGTCCCCCTTTGGGGAAGCTGGGTGACATGCACATAGGACCTCTCTCTGCTACTTTCTGTACTTTTTGTGAGTCAGATTCTTTCAAAATAAAAAATGAAGTAAAAATGACATTTTCATTTGGGGTCAGGGTGGGGGAATGGGTACAGTGCTTTTTGAGTTGTTTGTTCACCTTTAAAATAATAAATAGTACCTAGAAATCTAAATATTTTGTTTTGGGGCTTTTGTTGCTACTGGAGGTTGAATTTTTGCAGAACTAGTGTTTTTCTTGTTATTCTCAAGTGGCCTGTGATGTGTCTTGGCGTGTTTGCCGTGTCTGCGGGTGTCTTGGTGTGTTTGCTGTGTCTGCGGGTGTCTTGGTTTGTTTCTACTCATGACCGTTCCTCCTCTTGTTCTTTGTAGGGCAACCTCCAGATCCATCACGTGGGGCAGGATGGTCAGCTGAGTGTCCCAGTCCCCATGCACATGCGGGCGTTGCGCTGCCAAGGGGTGGGGTTCTCAGGGGAGGGGGTGGGACGGTCAGGTGAGTGCCCTGGTCCCCATGTACATGTGGGCATTGTGCTGCTGAGGGGTGGGGCTCTCATGGGAAGGGGGCGGATGGTCAGGTGAGTGCCACAGTCCCCCTCTCACATATAGGCCATTGTGCTGCCAAGGAATGGGGGCTCTCATGGGAGGAAGCGAGGGTGCAAAGGCCTCTCAGTGTGAGCCCCAGAGCAGGACTGGCTTTCCTCACCATGGCAATGCACAGGCCTGGAAGGGGGAGGGCGGGGCTTGGGGGTTACATTTGCTGCTCCGTAGGATTTCAGCAGCTTTTGCATTATGGCGGAAACATGCCCTCCCACCCCCACCACCCCACCCCCTTCAGATGGTTATTTTCTGCACACGCATGTGTATGTTGATGGTGGTCATATTTGCACAGATAACTCTGTTAGAAAAAGGTGGTTTCGCTCCTGTGTATTGCCATCAAACTCACAAACTTGCCTGCTTTCTAATCCTTGACAAAAAGAGTGACCATTGGTTGAACACCCCAGTACGAATGGTCTTTACAAAATGATGTGCTCCGACGGTGCGGGTCCTGGGGAGGGTGTTGCTGTGCAGGACAGAGTCAACTCGCTGGTGGTTTTGAGGCTGTGTGTTCCTAGGTCCTGGTGAAGACCCTTTCTGTTCAGGAGATGGCTGTCACCTCTGGATCATTGAAGAATCTGGGTGATCTTCCCATTTCATAAAACAGAAGCTGGGAAGTTGACAGTGAGAACCATAAACAGAGCTCACTGTGTAGAAAGATAATACTAATTTTTCAAAACCACAGCGCACTGTCCTATGAGAAACCTGCATGCGTTCCCTTTGTCAAGGCCAGGCCCTGCAGATCTCTGACCCGACTGAGCCTGGGGCACCCCCAGAGTGAGGTGCTTTACACAGAGGGGGACAGAAGGGCATGTGCTCCCGTGGGCTTTCTGTTGACCCCTCAGAGGCACCTTGGGAGAAGGGCTGCAGACCCTCCGAAACTGGTTTATGTCAGAGTTTCTTAGTTGGAAAGTTTCATCTTAAAGATCAGCACGAGGTTTTCTCAGGTAGTCCTGCAGCATCGCTCGTCTGTAAGTATGAAATTGCTGCTCTGGAAAAGAGCCAAAGGAATGCGCAGCTTTTAAATCCACAGTTGTGGCCTTGCGCTCACTCCACTGGGGTAATGAGGCTGCGGTGGGCGCAGTGCAGGTCAGTTCTCTGCGCCTTTGTCCCCCGTGGTTCTCACGGTCACGGGGGCAGCAGAGGACAGGGCTCATAGCTGGCGGTCCGTCTTAGTTTTCTGCAACATAGTGGTTTATGGTTCTGCTGGTAGTGGAACTGTATCATAGTTGAAACGCTGCTGGACGTTTAATTCCTAGGAAAAGTAAGGCACGTCACCTTCGATATTCCCTTGTTCCTGTCTCTACCCCTGAACAAAATCCACTTGGAATTTTAAAGATAGAACCAGGCTTTTACACTGTATCACTGCAGTGCTTCTGTTTGTGATTGTAGACAGAATTCTCCCAACTCTACTGTGGGGACAGAGATTCCAGCTTTTCTCAGCAGGCATGGAGGCCCATTGGCTCCAGCACAGATCTGAGTTCAGGAAGGACTCAGGGCTGATGTCGGAGGAGTTGCTGTCTGGATTTCTCTGAACAAGATTCCGTTCTGGTGTCTCTCGTTCCTCCGTCACTGCTGCCGCCCCACGTGCCTTTGCACTGCAAGCAGGGTCGCAACTGCTGCTCATTCCCGCCTCTTCCGTGGCCCCTCCGAGTTCCCACTGTCTCTAAGTGGCCTCACCGCAGAATGAATAAAGCTGCCGTACTACCACTTTTTATGTGAAACAAATAATTTATAAATCACCTGTTTTTTTTTCCCCTTGTGAACTCTCATACGCTCCTGATTCCTATTATCGGTCACATTTCTGGGACCTCAAATCAAAGACGGCTTCAGGAGAGGCCGGTGCTGCACTCAGGGTAACGGGCGGAATCTTGGTACATGGCCCCTGCTTCTCTTGGGAAGGAAACTGCCGTGTGATTTAAAGAAACCACTGTGTTCAACTGAAGCTGCCTTTTCTGGTAAATCTGTGTAGTGAACCCCCTCGTTTTCCATTTGTGGAAATTCTTTTTTTTTTCCATCATTTGGCCAGTTCTCATTCCTGCTGAGCTACACCCTGCTCATGCAGGCTTTGTCCTCCGGGCTGGCCACACGTTTGGGAGACAGAAGGATGTTTCAGAAAGCACAGAGAAGCCCACTCGCCTCGATGTTGTTGACTGGGCTAAGAAGCCCCGAGCCGTGGGGGGGGTCACACAGCCCATTTGCTCTCCTCCCCGTCCCAGTGCCTACAGAAGCCCCGAGCCGTGGGGGGGGGGTCACACGGCTCATTCACTCTCCTCCCCGTCCCCGTGCCTACAGAAGCCCTGAGCCGTGGGGGCGGTCACATGGCCCATTCGCTCTCCTCCCCATCCCCATTGCCTACAGAAGCCCCGAGCAGTGTGGGGGTCACACGGCCCATTCCCTCTCCTCCCCACCCCCATGCCCACAGGAGGATAGTGCATGCAGGTCTAGGGCTCTCTCTTCTCCAGCCAGACTTGATCTCAGAAGCATCCTTCATGTGACACTGCAGATGGCTCAGCTCCCCGTCCTGTCCCAGAGGCCCTTGGCCTGCCCTGGTGTGAGCACTGGCTTGATTGATGGGAGACCCTGCAGCCCACGCTTGTTCCAGGTAGTTGGGGGAAGGCGAGGAACAGCACCCCAACCGGAGTAAGAGAACACAAAGAAATGGACGCGGCTGCTTTAAGTTCCTAGATCACTGAGGATTGGCTTAGTATTCCCTTCTGATTCCCTAGTTCCAACTAGGAGTGGTTATGTGGCAATAGACTCAGAATCTGACAGAGCAGCTAGAAATCCTCTTGGGAGGGTGGCCAGGCCTCCCCTCTTCCGGCCGTCCATTTTCCATCCTGGGGCCGGGGCCTGTGCCCTGCGCCCTGTGCCCCACATCCTGCACACCACCCCCTTTCCTTGTGCTGGGCTCACACTTGTTGCTGTTCTCCTCCTATTCCACTTCTGAGATGATTGTTGCTATTACTTCTTGTAGTTAATTGATTATTTTCAGAATTAGTGGACAGCTTCTCTGAAAATAGCCTCCATTCTTAGTTCCACGGAGGGAGGGATGTACGCTGTGCTTGTGGATTGCTGCTGGGGCGACGGGTTTGAGGCCACGTCTGCGGCCAGCAGCAATGTCAGTTCCAGGAGGGCCTTGGTGGCTGCGGTGCTGGGAAGCGCCATTGTGCTGCGTTGGTGTGACCCTGTGGCACCTGCTGCCAGGGGACCATTCTTTTTGAGTCATGTTTTCTTCAAATTAAATATTGAGAGATTCTAGTGACATCCCACAGTTGCCATTTGCTGTCTGAGTAGAAAATATGAAGAATCGCCTGATTTGAAGCTATGTGGTCAGTTTCATGTCCATAGCAGCCTTGCTTTTCTTCCTTGCTGAGAGATGGACTGCCCCGTCTCACGCTCTTTCTGCTGTTATGTCTCTGTCCGCTCTGATACTGAGGTTCCAGGAGGGCTGCCTTGGCCTCCTTTCCCTGTAGCCCACGACACCCGCATCCTCTGGCTTCTTTGCTGACAGTTGTGGTGTGCGCTTACATCTGGTGCTGGGTTGCAGGCAGGGTGGGACTCACAGCTGTTCGTTGACTCTGGGAGGGCTCCCCTGGCTGAGGCTGTCTGCTGACAGGTGCTCTGCAGGTGAGCATGAGCCTGCACTAAGGAATGCTGATTAGAGTCCATTTCAGGCCCTGTTGGGCACACTGGGAGTGCGCAAGAACCACAGAGCCTGAGAGACACAGTAGGAGGGTGGGAGATGCAGTAGGAGGGTGAGAGACGCAGTAGGAGCATGGGAGACACTGTAGGAGGGTGGGAGACACAGTAGGAGGGTGAGAGACACAGTAGGAGAGGTCGGGAGAGCCACCTGCACCAAGGCCTCAGGACAGCGAATGGCACAGCCATGGGGAGGGTGACTGCCTGTGCAAGGCCGGAGGCCATGGGCACCCAGGTCCAGTGAGGTCGGACGGAGCCCCCGGTGCTCAGCCTCCTGTGACCAGTGTTGGGGGGTAGCAGTAGCGGACGGTGCATCCCAAATGTGGGCAAGAAGTTTGGAAAGATTGGCAGAGCACCAGAGGCTTCATAAAGAGCCATTTGGGAAGACAAGGTTCGGGGGATGGTGGTGGGTGCGCAGGTGTGGGGACGCACTGGCTGCATGGTGCCCGCTTCCTCCTCCCCGAGCCGTGCTCTCCAGCGCTGTGTCTCAGCCTCCCCTCCAGGAGCGCTCACTTCCTCTCAGCTCTGGGCCCCTGTGGCCTCTGCTTTGCCAGCTGCCCAGCCGTGATGACTAGTTTCCACTCCAGTGCTATCTCTGTCTTTATTGTTCTTTTTGACCTCTAAGTGCACATGCTGTCGTGCCTCAGTGTTCCAGCATTGCTGACTGGGAGAGGGAAGAAGAGGTGAGGGAGAGGGAAGAAGAGGTGAAGGGCTTTCTTAGAACACTGACATTGAAATTGCAGCTGAATCTTTAAAAAAAATGTTTTGTGCTAGCTCACATCTGTAATCCCAGTACTTTGGGGAGGCTGAGGTGGGAGGATTGCTTGAGCCCAGGAGTTTGATGCCAGCCTGGGCAACATAGCGAGACCCTGTCTCTACAGAAAAAAAAAAATTAGCCACGTCTGGTGGCATGTGCTTGTAGTCCCAAGCTACTCATGAGGCTGAGGCAGGAGGATTGCTTGAGCCCAGGAGGCCCAGGCTGCGGTGAGCCATGATTGTGCCACTGCATTCCAGCCTGGGCAACAGAGCAAGACCCTGTCTCAAAATAAATGAAGTGTACAATTCAATGGTTTTTCAAAAAATTAAAATACTTAAAAAATTATTTGGAACCACTTTGGCTGGTTTCAAAGGTTGTGTATTATCTTTCCTCCTGAATAACAACTTTACATAAGAGTGGGCATTGAGGTCACTGTGGGAGGTGCCTAAGTTAGAGTCTCAGTCTCGGGCTTTGTAGAGCAGAGCCCCTGTGTGTGTGTGGACGTGTGCTGCCCTCCTCGCCTCCTGCCCTCCACCGTGTCCTCATCATGCACCTAATCTGCTGCCTTCCAGGGAAGCCAAATAGCCACTGCTGTTGGAGTTGAAATTAAAATGCAGTGGCTGGTTCTGGTCATGGCTCCAGGCATGGGTAGCTCCTTCGGGTGAGCTGCGTAGAGCTGAGCCTGGGTCTTTGGCTGTTTAGATGCATTTGTGGCTGTGTTCTGGGTGCTTCTTCGTTGAGAGTGGAGTTGTGGAGAAATGGCTCCTTCATCAGCTGACTACACTGTGCTGATTTCTTTTGTCCCTGCCTCACTGGGGGTGTGAGGCATCCGGGCAGCATTTTCCTTTACTGGACAATCCCCTAGTGTTGGCTTTGTTGCTCAGTGAGTATTTGAAATTAATTATTTGCTGCCCTGGGCATGAAGATCAAATGATATCATAGCAGAAATTTGGAATGATTTAAGTAGAGGTGTTATTGTATTGCCCATATGGTTAACTTAAGGGATTGCAGAATTGGTTTGAGTAGAGGACAGGCCTTGTATGGTAAATTAGACCAGAATCAGGGGCATCTGGAATTCCCTGAAATTCCCTGGAGCAGGGAGAGGCAGTCTGGTGTGCCAGCGATTCACAGAGCGAGAGAGTACATTCAAACAGATGGTGCCAGGAGTGTAAAATAATGTATTGTCTAAGGAATTTCAATTTTCAGTTAGTGGTAAGGATAATAAAATCTTTAATTTGGTGCAGATTTTCAGAAGATTCTGAAAAACAAAAAAAGCCCTTAAAAATTAAGAGTTGTAAGGATTGAAATTTGCAGGGAGGTGGATGACTTTATTTTTGAGTGCATTTTAAATGAAAATTGATGGGTTTTTTATGAGGTCATGGGAACTTTTGCATAAGGTGGATAGACCAGTTGGCCACTTCAGGGGGCTGACAGGGGAACCGCTGGTTGGTCATACCTGCATCTTGGTGCAGCTGCTTTGCTGCCGTGGGTACCCTGAGCCAGTGCTGCATGACCTGGGCAGACTCCCTATAAAGGCGAACTCGCATTCTGCGGCGATGCTGCCTCTGGAATGATGAGTGCATGCGAGCTGCATGGCTGGACTCTACCAGCATCTGCGCAAGCCACAGCAGGAAGCAGCTTTCCATCGCGGTTCTAGAACCCTCCTCTCTCACTCATGCGTGTGCACACACACAGTCGGAACAGGTCCACAGGACAACAGGCTACAGCGAGAAGGCAGCTTTCCATTGTGGTTCCAGAGCCCTCCTCCCTCGCTCACATGTGTACACTTACACGGTCCGAACAGGTCCACAGAATGGTATTACTGTGTGCTGATTGCATTAATATTTTTTATTCTGTTTTCTGTTCTGCTTTTCGTTTCTCTCCCTTTTTGTCTCTTTGAAAACTGGCTATGACACATTGCATTGATTTTGCAACCCACACTTCGAAAAATACTGGAATAGATGATCGCTAATGTCTCTTTCTTAAGAGTTTGTAGTTCTAAAAGTTGTAATTGCGTAGCTGGGACTATAGGTGTGCACCACTGCATCTGTGTAATTAAGTAATTTTTAAAAATTTACAACTATATAGGCTGGGCACGGTGGCTCACGCCTGTAATCCCAGCACTTTGGGAGGCCGAGGTGGGTGGATCACGAGGTCAGGAGATCGAGACCATGCTGGCTAACACAGTGAAACCCCTTCTCTACTAAAAATACAAAAAATTAGCCGGGTGTGGTGGTGGGCACCTGTAGTCCCAGCTACTCGGGAGGCTGAGGCAGGAGAATGGCTTGAACCCAGGAGGCAGAGCTTGCAGTGAGCTGAGATCATGGCACTGCACTCCAGCCTGGATGACAGAGCGAGACTCCGTCTCAAAAAAAAAAAATTTACAACTATATAAAGTTTACACTGCAAATATTAATATTCTTCCTCTCATATTTTGATAAATCAAAAGATAATTGTTCTTGAATTGGGAAGCTTTTTAAAAAATCACATTCAATCTAAGAAAAATGATTATAAATGTGCTAGTTAAAAAAATGTTTAGCGTGCTTCTCAGGGCTTTTCATCTAGATCAGGAAAATTAGGATTATCCATGTCACTTGGGCATTAGAGTGAAGTTTCCCTGCTTTTCATCTAGATCAGGAAAATTAGGATTATCCGTGTCACTTGGGCATTAGAGTGAA
Source organism: Homo sapiens (assembly GCF_000001405.40). NCBI lineage: Eukaryota > Metazoa > Chordata > Mammalia > Primates > Hominidae > Homo > Homo sapiens. The sequence continues at coordinate 29,338,596 of NC_000016.10, forward strand.
GTTTCCCTGCTTTTCATCTAGATCAGGAAAATTAGGATTATCCGTGTCACTTGGGCATTAGAATGAAGTTTTCCTGAGAACTGCAGTCAGGTTTTTGGCATGGCTGACCTTCTGTTGGTCATATGGTGGGCATGGAATGGAAGATGGCTCGATGTTTGCCGCGGCTGTCCATGCCCCTCTACGCCATCCACAAGCCTCTGACCGAGTTGTCCATGCATGCATTTGAGCGTTTCTTGCAGGAGAGGCCGGGGCCAAAGGAACGCTTCAGTTGCAGCTGGGCTGTGCCAAGGGGCCTCAGCAGGAGCAACCCTTGGGGGCCAGAGCCCAGGCTCTTCCAGCAACAGGAAGGACCTTTCTTCCCTCTGCAGCACCTGTCGAACATAACATGCTGGACTCCCTTGTTCATTCCCGGCAGAGAAGCGCTCCCCTCACCCCCCACAGAGCCCTGCTATGCCGGGCACTCAGACCAGCCAGGGGTGGGGGAGCCTGTGAGTAAAGTGGAGAATTGGAGGTGTGGTGCCACCCTGACCACAGCACCTTTCTTCTCCCTGAGGCCACCTCCTCAAATACTCTTCTTGGCCACAGATGAGGGCCCAGCTGTGGTTGGCAGATCTTTTGGGAGATAACTGGATGTGTGGGGTTGGGAGAGTTGCCATGGGTCCCAGTCTCAGGGCGGCCGCTCCCTCAGTGTCTGTCATCTTGGGATGCAGCAGTGTCGCTTCCTCGTGCTTCAGTGCCCTCTTCACTGCAGTGGGATGGCAGCAGCACCTGCTCAGGAAGTTGGTGGGTTTTGCTGGGTGCACACGGCCCACCTGACACTCACCAGCCTCTGGGCTGCCCTTGGCAGGTGCCGTCCACACTCCAGCACTCAGGGAAGGGTGGTGCAAATCCTGAAAAAATGACCACACAGACACTGGCACCCAGGTGGTGAGTAGGCAGGCTGTGGTCTGCAGACAGAAGCTTTACCCTGTATACGTACAAGGAGTAACAGCTGCTCATTTGAGTGAAGTCACTGGACTGCGGCCCTTAGAGCCTCCTGACGCGGAGGTGGGCCTTTCACTTCTGCCTTTTGCGTGTGTGTGTGTGTGTGTGTGTGTGTGTGTGTGTGTGATTTTAGAGATACTGTTTTAAAACTGTGTACTCAAAGCATTAGTTAATTAACTAGGAAGTTTTGTCTTGTGAAAATGATGACCAGGACTGAACCTTTTAAAACAGATCATCTGAACCTCATCGCTGTAAAGCAATCTGGACTACAAAGTTCATTCTTTCCGTGAATTAAATGGTTTGGTAAAGAAATACTGAGCGTAACATGGACGTGCTCTAGTGATCTTAGGGAGCTGTGAGCTCATGCAGTCTTGGGTGGGAGTTGGCATTGTTTATGTTCTTTTTTTAATTTTTTAAAAATGTTTTTAATTTTTATATTTTTGAGATGGAGTCTTGCTCTGTTGCCCAGGCTGGAGTGCAATGGCACCTTCTTGGCTCAATGCAACCTCCGCTTCCTAGGTTCAGGTGATTCTCCTGCCTCAGCCTCCCGAGTAGCTGGGATTACAGGTGCCCACCACCATGCCCGGCTAATTTGTGTATTTTTAGTAGAGACAGGTTTCACCATGTTGGCCAGGCTGGTCTCGAACTCCTGACCTTGTGATCTGCTCACTTCGGCCTTCCAAAGTGCTGGGATTATAGGTGTGAGCCACTGCGCCTGGCCTTGGTACTTGTGATATTTTGATACATGCCTAGAATGTGTAATGACTTTGAACAGATGTTTGCTTTTTTTTTTCTTTCTTTGAGCAGTCTCCCGGGGCTAGGGTAAGTTCAGAGAGGCTCCTAGATCTTTGTTTCTTGTTTATTTCACCAGTTAGTCATTTTCAGAAATGAATCAAAGATCTAGGAGCCTGAGCCTACTCTAGCCCCCAGAGACTGCCCAAAGAAAGAAAAAAAGAAGCAAAGATCTGTTGAAAGTCATTACACATTCTAGGCATGTATCAAAGTACCACAGGTACCCTATAAATATGTACAAATATTATGTATCAATAAAATAATTTTAATAATTTTTTTTAAAAAAAAGATCTGTTGGAGCCGGGCACGGTGACTCACATTTAGAATTGCTTGAACCCGGGAGGCGGAGGTTGCAGTGAGCCGAGATCATGCCACTGCACTCCAGCCTGGGTGACAGAGCGAGACTCCGTCTCACCAAAAAAAAAAAAACGATTCCTGTCCCTGTTGAATTTTCTGCCATGCTTCTGTGCTCCTTCAACAGCCAGGGACGGAGGGATCCAGTCTGAGAAAAGCCAGCATCAGGGACTACTTCAGTCCTCATAGAAATCACTGCCAATGGCTTTGGCCACCTCCTGTGTCCTGGATTATGTCTCTGCAGCTTCCCATCTCCCGGACGCCTCCTTGAGTCCCTGTGTATGAGTGATTTAGTGTTACAGGCTGGGTGAGGAGCTTTGCAGGGATTTAGCTTTTCTCAGGGCCACCTGCCCTCAGGCTTCCTGGGCCCTCATACTTCTTCTTGTTTATATCTTATCTGCCTTTGGGGGAATGACCTTAGAGGAATTGGTGTGAGTAAGCCATGAGGTTCTTGGTCCACCTCCATCCAGCCAAGGGCAGCTGGCAGCTGGGCACTTACATCCAGCAAGGCAGAAGCAACCCTGGCTTTGAAGTCAGACTGCTAGGGTGAGTCTGAATGGCCTCGGGGAAAGTTCCCTCTGAGCCTTCGTTTTTTTCACTTGTGAAGGCGATAGTCTCGCCTAGCTTGAGGGTTTGTCAGGGGGATTCAGTGAGAACCTCATTTGAAGCAGCTGCTTTAGTTCCTAACACCTAATAAATGTTTAACCACTTACCCTCCTCTCCCACCACCCTTTCAACTTTGAACCTCTTCCTCCATGTCATCCCTTCTTAAGGTGCTGACCTTTTGGCCACAAAGAATGGCTCTTTTTGTTCCCATCAGGACTAGAATTCTTATCTTTTTGTTGCTTGGCCCTGGTAATCAAAGAACCACCAACACATTTGCAAGGCATCTCCAGCCTTCTCGTTCTGGCCGCCCCTCTCTGTCTTAGGGAGAGTGCTATACTGGCATGGTGATGAGATGAACGAAAGGGCAGTCTCTGGCTGTTTTCTGCTGATGAGGATGTGCTGAGCAGCCTCCTGCAAATGAGAAGCAGGGAAAAGACCAAACTAGCTTAGCTCATTAGCTGGGCATGGTGGTGCCCACTTGTAATCGTAGCTACTTGGGAGGCTGAGGCAGGAGAATTGTTTGAACCTGGGAGACTGAGGTTGCAGTGTGCTGAGATCATGTCACTGCACTCCAGCCTGGGCGACAGAGCAAGATGCCATCTCAAAAAAAAAAAAAAAAAAAAAGACAAGCTTGCCTGCCTTTGTCTTACAGAACAAAGGACAGGAGATTCCACTTTACCCCCTCATCGTCATACCATATTCAGTTTTCTGTATATCCCACGATGTAGCATGCTTTTTTGAAAGCAGGACACCGTGTTTGTTTACTTTCTCTTGACGCCTAGCATAGTGTCTGCCACTACACAGGTTGTTCAATAAAATTATGTTCACTAAACAAATACATCTTGGTTGGAAGGAAGGGCATTATTCATTGCGTGCAGTACTGTATTTCATGGTTCCCGAGGTACCATATACCAGGATCACTACAGCTTGCTACAGGGAAAGTGATTAATTTTTAAGGAACAAAGCAAAAATTAATGAAAAGCGACCCAGAGCTCTACACAGACTTGGCTTGCTGTCTTTGTAGCCACTGGAAACCCAAGTAGCCAGTACAGAATACAGTATGGAAAAATGAATTATTTTCCATTCCACTTGGGAAAGGAGAAAGAACCACTGCTGTTATTGGCGTTTGATGCATTTGATGGCATGACCTTGGAATTTGATTTTTTTTTTTTTTAGATGGAGCCTCACTCTGTTGCCCAGTCTGGAGTGCAGTGGCATGATCTCAGCTCACTGCGACCTCTGCCTCCCAGGTGCAAGTGATTCTCCAGCCTCAGCCACCTGAGTAGCTGGGACTATAGGTGTGCGCCACCATGCCTGGCTAATTTTTGCATTTTTAGTAGCGATGGAGTTTCACCATGTTGGCCAGGCTGGTCTCGAACTCCTGACTTCAGGTAATCTGCCCATCTCGACTTCCCAAAGTGCTGGGATTACAGGCATGAGCCACCACGCCCGGCTGGAATTTGATGTTCTTTTAATCACTGATATATCATCATCAGGTTATAGATTGGCAGTCAATTACAAGGTGATCGGGGCCATTCAGAATATACCAGAGACACAGTTACTGTTGCTGAGCTGCCTGTAAAATTGAAGTCTAATCTTCCCTGTCTGTTCGGCAGCCTTGGGCATCGAGGATCTTCTGACTTTGAAACACTGGCTTCCCTTGCTTTCTGTGATGCCATAGCCTATTGGCACACTTTCTTCTTTTCTGATCCTTGTTGGCATATCACTTCCATACCCTCAAATATTATTCATCCTTGGATTCATTGTTGGCTCTTGTTTCTATGCATACTGTTTGGATTCCTTGGTGAAGTTGCTCTGTATGTGCCTGTTATTCTTAGTCATACCCACAGCCCAGAGCACTTCCTCGAACTCTGTCTCATGAATGTCTCTATTTGGTGTACAGCACGGGCTTGTCAGTCTCCAAAACTGAATTCTGATCTTCATCCATATGTGTTCCTGTGTTTCTTGCTTAGTAAATGGCTCTGCCCTTTACCCAGGTCCCCTGGACAGCTCTTGGGCTTCCTCCCAGCCTTCTCCTTCTCCCTTTCCTCTGCCCCAAAACCAGTCCCACAAAGAGCACTGTTTTCTGTCTCTCACATGGGTCCCTGAGCCACGCGCGGTTCCTCCATCGTCAGTGAGTTCTCTTCTTTCTCCCCGACTTGTGTTTTCCTGCCTTCAGTCTTGATCAGCTCTGACGCACTTTGCATATCACGGAGTGGTCTTCTTTAATTACCATCCCACTCCCCCACTTATTCCCCATAACCCCACTAACTTAAAGCTCTTCCGTGGGTCTCTTGTAGAATTGGGACAAAGTATCGAGTGCTTGATATGGCTTCTTGGGCTCTCTTCCCTGCTGGCTGTGTCTGTCTCTGTTCTACCTCTTATGCCGTGCCGTACGCCAGGGCTGACAGGCAGCGGCAGGTCCAACATCACAACTCTTTCATCCAGTTTGCAAATAAATGATGGCCTGAGTCCCACAAGCTCCCCTCCTGCCACACCCCTGCCTTGGGACTCTTGAGACCTCTCCATAATTCAGCAGCTAAAGCACTAATGCCAGATCCTGTGTGGGGCAGGGCCTTCAGTGCCACTGCCTGTGCTTTGCTTGGTGCCTCTCAGTAATTTAGATGATTCAGTTCTGTTTTTTTTTTGTTTTTTTTTTTTTTTTTTTGAGACAGTGTCTTGCTCTGTTGCCCAGGCTAGAGTGCAGTGGTGTGATCTCGGCTCATTGTAGCCTCTGCCTTCTGGGTTCAAGTGATTCTCATGTCTTGGCCTCCTGAGTAGCTGGCACTACAGGTGTGTACCACCATGCTGCCTAATTTTTGTATTTTTGGTAGAGATGGGGTTTCCTCATGTTGGCTAGGCTGGTCTCGAACTCCTGGCCTCATGTGATCCACCTGCCTCAGCCTCCCAAAGTGCTGGGATTACAGGCGTTAGCCGCTGTTCCTGGCCCAATCCTGTATTTTGAACAGCTCTCCTGGTTTCTATTGTCTTGAAACTCTTCAAGTCTGGCAGTTCTTTCCCTTCTGCTACCTTCCTTCCTTCCCCAGCTCTCACCCAAGCTCCTACTGGCCAAACTTCTATTCTCTCTTAAAAAAAAATATGGCCGGGCCTGGTGGCTCATGCCTGTAATCCCAGCACTTTGGGAGGCTGAGGCGGGCGGATCATGAGGTCAGGAGATCGAGACCATCCTAGCTAACACGGTGAAACCCATCTCTACTAAAAATACAAAAAATTAGCCGGGCGTGGTGGCGGGTGCCTATAGTCCCAGCTACTTGGGAGGCTGAGGCTGGAGAATGGCATGAACCCGGGAGGCAGAGCTTGCAGTGAGCCGAGATCGTGGCACTGCACTCCAGCCTGGGCAACAGAGTGAGACTCCATCTCAAAACAAAACAAAACAAAACGAACAAAAAAAATTGGTAAAATATACATAATGAAATTTACCATTTCAGCCATTTGAAGTGTACAATTCAGTGTGAGTGTACTTAATGTACATTCACATGTCATACAGTAATCATTACCACCATTCATCTCAGAACCTTTCCACTTTTACAAACCAAAACTGTGTACTCGTTAAACACTAACACTCACTCCCTCCAGACCCCTGCCCCTGGCAGCCAGCATTCTACTTTCTGCCTCAGTGCATTCTACTACTTTAGGTTCCTTGTGCCAATGGAATCATGCAATATTTGTTCTTTTTTTGTCTGGCTTTATTTAGCATAACATCTTCATGGATCGTCCGTGTTGTAGTATGTGTCAGAATTTCCTTCTTCTTCTTTTTTTTGATGGAGCCTTGCTCTGTTGCCCAGTTTGCTAGAGTACAGTAAGTAGCGCTATCTCAGCTCACCACAACCTCTGCCTCCTGGGTTCAAGTGATTCTCCTGCCTCAGCCTCCCAAGTAGCTGGGACTATAGGCAGGCGCCACCATGCCCGGCTAATTTTTGTATTTTTAGTAGAGACGTGGTTTCACTATGTTGGCCAGGCTGGTCTCGAACCCCTGACCTCGTGATCCACCTGCCTCGGCCTCCCAAAGTGCTGCAATTACAGGCATGAGCAACCGTGCCTGGCCCAGAATTTTCTTCTTTTTAAAGGCTGAACAATATTTTTGAGGGTATGTAGAGCCCATATTTTGTTTATTCCCATGACAGTTGGGTGTCTTCCACTTATGGGCTATTGCGAATGGTACTGCTGTGAATATGAAGATACAAATACTTGTTTTTTCCACTTTTAGTTCTTTTGGGGCATATACCCACAAGGACAGTGCTGGATCATATGGTAATTCTATGTTTAATTGTTTTTTAGAAACCATCAGAGGGTTTTCCATAGAGGCTATACCCTGTTGCATTCCCACTAGCAATGCACACGAGGTCCATTTTCTCCACCATCCTTCCACATCCTTGCCAACTCCACAGCCTTGCCAGTGCTGGCTTTTTATTTATTTTTTTGAGATAGAATCTCGCTTTGTCACCCAGGCTGGAGTGCAGCAGTGTGATCTTGGCTCACTGCAGCCTCCACCTCCCAGGTTCAAGTGATTCTCCTGCCTCAGCTTCCCAAGTAGCTGGGATTACAGGCATGCAACACTGTGCCTGGCTAATTTTTGTATTTTTAGTAGAGGCAGGGTTTCACCATGTTGGCCAGGCTGGTCTCGAGCTCCTGGCCTCAAGTGATCTACCTGCCTTGGCCTCCCAAAGTGCTGGAAGTACAGGCGTGAGCCACTGTGCTCGGCCAATGCTGCCTTTTTAAATTAGAGAAAAGGTATACAGCTTTAATTGTATACATGGGGAGAACCAGAGAGTGATTACCACCCCCTTTTTTCATATATATATATATATATATATATATATATATATATATATATATAGTAATTTTATTATTTTTTGTAGGGACAGTATCTTACTATCTTGCCCAGGCTGGTCTCGAATTCCTTGCCCTAAGTGATCCTCTCACCTTGGCCTCTCAAAGTGCTGGGATTACAGGCCTGAGCCACCGTGCCTGGCCTCCTTTTTTCTGTTTTCATAATTGCCATCTTAATGGGTGTGAAGTGGTATCTCATGTGGTTTTGTTCTCTTCTCTCTTGAAGTTTCAGAATTGTTTTCAAAAAGCCATTCATGAGCTCCCTACATGGTTCAGCTGGACTGTGCCCCTCCTATAGTCCTGAGTTCTTCTTCCATCAAACCTATATATGGAACTACTTGTTTTCTTTTTTCTTTTCTTTTTCTTTTTTTTTTTTTTTTGAGATGGAGTCTGCTCTGTTGCCCATGCTGGAGTGCAGTGGCGCAATCTTGGCCCACTGCAGCCTATGCCTCCTGGGTTCAAGTGATTCTCCTGCTTCAGCCTCCTGAGTAGCTGCGATTACAGGTGCACATCACCATGCCTGGCTAAGTTTTATATTTTTAGTAGAGACGGGGTTTCATCATATTGGGCAGGCTGGTCTCGAACTACTGACTTCAGGTGATCCGCCTGCCTTGGCCTCCCAAAGTGTTAGGATTACAGGCTCATCCTTGTAGCTCTAGTGTCTTGCAAGGTACCTGGCCACCTGCACAGTAGAGGCCACCAAAGGACTGCATTCAAAATAACCACTTGAAGACCCTGACTTCAGAACATGCTGCTCATTTTCCCGGGAAGCCAAACCCCTACTCTCAGTGGTCTGTATGCATCTTTAGTCAGTGGGAAGCGGTGATAATATACCCACAACTGTAAAGTGAGAGAGACCGACTTCCTTAATCTTCAGTGGGGATTTTTGAAAATGGTTGATTGCACTCAAAGCAGAATTTGTATTTTGCTTCATTGGGTCACCTTGGGCAACAATTTCATTTCTGTAGAAAATTAATTTTGGAGGAAGCTGCATGTGCCAGGGGAGCCCTGGGTCCATCCTTTTGATGGTGAGGGGAAGTCCAGTTCCTCACTCGCCCATCCCTGCTTTTGGTTCCCTGTTGGTGATTTTCTTTTGTATTCATGCACGTGCAAATCAGCTGCTTTTGGTAAGGGAAGCCTTGGAAGGATGTCTGCTAAAGGTGCAGAGAAAATGCAGAGCTCCGTTCAAGGTGAAAAAAGTGGTTGACAACTGGCAGAAAGAAGCTGGCCTTAAGGAGGAAGTCAGAAGCCAGGGTGCTGTACCCCTTGGGCTGTGTGTTATCCTGGGTCACTGGATCATGGGGATGTCCACAGGGTCCCTCGAGGGTGGGTTCTTGACACCCAGGGTGGCAGGGACCTGGGCCAGTGGCTATTTACTAAGGGGTATGAATGTGTCCCAGCATGTTAAGATCTAGTGGAGCTGGACTGATACCTATTGGCCGAATGTGACCTCTGCCTGTTTCAAAGGTGTTTAATCCTGATGTCTCATAAATTAAGACTCAGGCCTGTAATCCCAGCACTTTGGGAGGCCGAGGTGGGTGGATCACTTGAGGTCTGGAGTTCGAGACCAGCCTGGCCAACATGGTGAAACCCCGTCTCCATTAAAAATACAAAAATTAGCTGGGCATGGTGGTAGGCACCTGTAATTCCAGCTACTTGGGAGGCTGAGGCAGGAGAACTGCTTGAACCCAGGAGGCGGAGGTTGCAGTGAGCTGAGACCGTGCCCTGGCACTCCAGCATGGGCGACAGAGCAAGACTCCACCTCAAAAAAAAAAGTAAAAAAGACTCAGTTTGGCCTCTGAGTTGTCAGTTTTTAGATCACAGTTATCCAGCCTGAGTTCCGTGGGTCCTTTGCTTTGCTCCTTTCAGAATGTAAATGACTCTTCAGCTCATGATGGCGTATGCCCCTAAAAGGAAGTGAGATACAAGTTTTAGAAGTCCTTCTTAGAAATTTCCCATTTTTTTTTTTTTTTTAAATAAGAGACAGGGTCTTGCTCTGTTGCCAGGCTAGAGTGCAGTGGTGCAATCATGGCTCTCTGCAGCCTTGAACTTCCTGGCTCAAGCGATCCTCCCACTTCAGCCTCTCAAGTAGCTGGGACTGCACATGCATGCCACTGTGCCTGGTTAATTTATTTCCTACTCTTTAATAAAGGAGGTGGTATGCTGTAAACTCTTGTAGGATGCGGGTGTGTTATGCTGAGCCCTGGTTCTGGAAGGCAGTCTTGTGGCTAGTTGGAAGTTGGTAGAGTGACAGAGCTCAGCCCCTTTTTGGCACTCTGCTCTGCCAATCCATTTGTGCCTTGCAGTCAGGCTGGTTCAGTTTGGGATGTGACAGATTTGGGAGCACTTGTATTCACTGAGTTCTCAGGCTGGCACATGAGTGAACTTGGTTTACCTTTGTTCCTGGCATGGCTGATACCATGTGTGGCTGATTCTGTTAGAGTGTGCCCTCAGATTCATCCCTCTGTCTTCTTTGGCTTTGATAGAACCCAGATTTTGCTTGAGGCTGTGGTATGTACTCCTTTATCTCGGTGAGGGATTAAGCCAGTTTTGAGTTTTGTTCTTTGCTTTCTCTGCTCCCTTGTGATTTTCTGGGATTACTTGTTCTTTCCTGATAAAAGGGGCGATAAAGCTGGCTTCATCCCATTCCCTTTCTTCCTGCTCAATTGTAAATGAGATGCCCAGAGTTAGGACAGTCCTCTGGGACAGCGAGGTCAAAAGGTTGGAGGTTTTGGCCTGACATAGCCTTTGTATCACTGGCCTATTTCCAGACTAGCCCAGCTCCATGGGGTTGGATTTTCTTTGTGTGTGGGTTTTTTTGTTTTGTTTTGTTTTTAGAGACAGGGCCTTGCTCTGTTAACTAGGCTGGAGTGCAGTGGTGCAATCATAGCTCATTACAGCCTCAAACTCCTGGGGTCCAGCCATCCTCCTGCCTCCGCCTCCCAAGTAGCTGGGACTACAGGTGTGTGCCGCCACACTCGGCTCCTTGTAGTTGGGTTTTCTGTTTCCTTTCTTTAGAGATGGGTTCTTACTATGTTGCCCAGGCTGGTCTTGGGTTTTCTGTTTTTTTCTTTTTTTTGTTTTTTTTTGAGATGGAGTCTTGCTCCATTGCCCAGGCTGGAGTGCAGTGGCACCATCTCGGCTCACTGCCAGCTCCGCCTCCCAGATTCACACCATTCTCCTGCCTCTGCCTCCCAAGTAGCTGGGAGTACAGGCGCCCGCCACCACACCCGGCTAATTTTTTGTATTTTTAGTAGAGATGGCGTTTCACCGTGTTAGCCAGGATGGTCTCGATTTCCTGACCTCGTGATCCACCTGCCTCGGCCTCCCAAAGTGCTGGGATTACAGGCGTGAGCCACCGTGCCCGGCGGGTTTTCTGTTTTTTTGTTGTTGTTGTTGAGCAATGCATTGTTTTGGGGCAGTGTTGTCACATTGATGAGACACCCCTCACCCCCCATGGCTGTGGAGCACAGGTGTTGCTCAGCACCTGGTGTGTTCTTGGTCTTCTATAGATGATTGTCAGATGACTGAAGAACATGCCCTGTCTCACTGCATTATTTCCTGTGGTTGCAAATGATAGAAAATTCTTTAGATTGATTTAAGAAAAAAAAAGATGAAGAAAATTAATTTATTTATTGACTCAAGTATCTAAGAAATCATCTTGGAGTTGAGCTGGATTCAGGGGGCCTGCCTTCTCCCAAATCTGTCTCCATCTGTCATCCCTCAGCACCGCTTCTCTGTGGTTGGGTGTCTTTCCGGGTGGGGGGTCTCTACATGATGGGGTGGAAAATGGCCCCAAGTAGCTCCAGGTTTCCAGGATGATGAGAGATCCTACTTCTAGGACGGGGTCGGCACACTCCCTCCTTATGGGTCGTATTATAGGGTTTGTGAGCCATGCAATCTCCATCGCAGTGACTCAGCTCTGCCACTGGAGCAGAAACTCAGCCACAGACCATATGGGAGCAAATGGGTGTGGCTGCGTTCCAAGAACACTGTGCTTACAGAAACAGTTTGGAGGCCAAATTTGACCCCCAGGCCGTTGTTTGCTGACCTCAGCTTCTGGAGGAGACAAGGCCTCTTTTCTGGTGGCTCTGGTAGAACTTGTGCGAAGGGACCCTGTGGTCCAGGGCTGAGACTGGGGTGAGGTTAGTGACACACTCACTTTGGCCACAAAATTGAAGGCGGTACCAAAAAACTTATCAATCAAGATAAATACTATTTTTATGTAATATTAAAAAAAATGAAAGTTGCATATGCCATGGTTCCGGCCAGTTAATTGCCTGCCCTGGGTTAGCTGTCCACCCCTGCAGTAGGGGGAGGTTAGGATAGTGCTGAAGGATCCCAGTGGAATGTGTTTCCCATAGGAAAGAGGGGTGCTCTTACTAGAAGAAAGGGAAAGGGACCAGGCTCGGTGGCTTACGCCTGTAATCCCAGTGCTTTGGGAGGCCGATGCTGGATGATCATTTGATTCTAGGAGTTCAAGACCAGCTTGAGTAACATAGTAAGACCCTCGCCTCTACAGAAAAAAAAAAATTAGCCGTGTATGGTGGTGTACACCTGTAGTCCCAGCTACTCATGAGCCTGAAATGGGAAGATCGCTTGAGCCCAGGAGTTCAAGACTGCAGTGAACTATGATCGTGCCACTGTGCTCTAGCCTGGGTGACAGAGTGAGACCTTGTCCCCACCCCACCCCTCAAAAACAAAACAAAACAAAAAAAAACCCAAACAAGGAAAAGGAATGCTGTTTGGTGCACGTGTAGTAGTGATATTAATAGTTGGTTTTCATTGAGCACCAATTATATGCCAGGTATGTTAATAACTATGGCTAACATTTATTCACTGCATTTATTGGATACACTTTACATGTATTCCTTTTTCTCATTTTTCCCTCATAGCAATCCATACACATAGGTACTGTTCTCCCCACTGTACAGATGAAGAAAGTAGAGGACAAAATAAGTTTCCCAAGGTCACACAGTGCCTGAACTAGAATTTGGGACAAGGTTTTTGTCTTCCTTGTGGTCCCCAAGGTATGAATTCTTGGGCATCGGTGATAGTTAAGGCTTGATAGAAACTTTCCCAAAAGCCTGGTGCTGTTAGTCATCCTCTGTTAATAGGTGTCCCGGGGCAGCTGTTCTCAACACCCCTTCCTGGCACTTGTTCTTGTTGGCATTCGGCTTTCAGGTGTTTGGAGAACCAGAAGCCCTTGCCTGCTTTTTGACTTAACCCCATGTTTCAAAGCAGATCAATGTATATCCCTAAATTAAATTATGGACACCGCAGGCGCTAATTGGCAGGTGAGCTGCACTTTAAATAGACCACATTAATTCTGGCAGTGGAAGCGGAACCCTGCTGGGATAATTCTTATCATCAGCAGCATCACCCTGACAAGCTTTAAAAGGATTCTGTAGCAGTAAGCAATTTTGCAGAATTGAAAGGTGAAAACACACTTTAAAGCGTTCATGTAGATTCAAGGTCGGAGGGAGGTGACTGCATTTTTCAAGACAGGCTGCAAGTGAGAGTCACTTGACTGGAAATGTGATGGACGTACCGACAATGGTCTGGGGTATTTTGAAATACGTTGTTGGCCAGCTGGCCCAGGGCGTTGTTGTCGCCAGATTCCCCGTCCTGGTTTCTGAGTGAGGTGGAGAGTGGAAGGAAGGCTGTTTTGTACAGTTGTGTGGATTAGACTGATCGGATGAGCTTGGGAAGTGGATTAGTTTGACATTTAGGGATCGAGACAGAAGACAGTCTTGAGGGACCTGCCCTCTTGCTGGTTTTTGTTATTCCTGGGAAGTTTATTCTAAATGATCCCAGTGATTGGCTTGATCCACAAATACTTATGCACGCTCATACGGATGTATACATTTAGATGCTGCTAACACAAAAAGGAACCCACGCGAATGCCCTCTGCTGTGAAGGGAATTAATTATTAAGCAAATGCTGATTGGTCATCATGGACTGGGCACTGTGCTCGGTGCTTTCCTTCCCTTTCTAGTTACCCTAGTAACCCTGGGCGATTCTGCACTTTTGTGTTGATTTTATGGGAGAGGATTTTCAGGCTTAGCATGGTTGAGTGACTTGCTCAAGGTCATTTGGTTGAATGGACTTTTTCTCTGTTGTCCTGCCTGCTAGACTGGAAGCCCCTTAGGGACGAGTTCTTGTTGTCTCTAGCTGGTGACACATAGCCTAGCTCGGTTCACAGCTCCCAGGAAGAATGCAGTGGATCCTAGTGAAGTTGAATTGAAACATTAGAGTGAACTTAACTAGCCTGCCATGCAGTTTCTGGAGATGGGTGTACTTGCCTCCTTCTGGAAGGCAGGTTCAAAGCCTTTGTCATGTTTCAGAGGGGACTGTGAGCCTGTTTAGCTCCTAGATTGGAAGCCAGGTCCGACTGCAAAGACTCAGCTTCCCCCACTTGGAATATTAAACAGTTGTGAACGTGATCATTTTGAAGAAGGCCAAGTCCCCTCATTTTGCAGGGCAGTGTGATTTAGTGGTTTGCAGTGAGCTCTGGGGTCCCTTTCTGCCATACTGTTTACTAATTGTGTTGCTGGGTGAGTCGCTTCACTTGTCCTGGCTTCAGACCTTGTCTTTCACATGGAGATGGCCTTGGTTGTGATGATGTCAGATGTAAAGTGTTTACTGCAATGGCTGGTGCAAAGTTAATGCTCAGTAAATAGTAGTTGCTGTTGCTGCTGTTATTATTATTGCCAGCATGAAAAACTGTTAAAGAGCCAATGTTAAGTGAAGAAAATTGATCACAAAATTATGTATACACTAGCATTACAACTATGAAAATATCTGGGGTTGGGCATGGTGGCTCCCGACTGTAATCCTAGCATTTTGGGAATCTCAGGCAAGAGGATCGCTTGAAGCCAGGAGTTTGGTACTAGCCTGCACAACATAGCAGAATCTCATCTCTACAAATAAATAAAAATTAAAAAATTAGCTGGGCATGGGGGTGCGTGCCTGTGTCTCAGCTACATGGGAGGCCGAGACAGGAGGATCACTTGAGCCCAGGACGTTGAGGCTGCAGTGAGCTCCAGCCTGGGTGACAGAGGGAGAGGCCCTGTCTCAAAAATAAATAAATAATAATTAACTTAAAATGTATATAAAAAATTTTAAAAATCTGTGTACATGTGGATAAAAAGTGGTGGGATGTGAGGAGATACAAGTAGTTGTAGGAATGACTGTCTTATGGATAAAAACAAACTTTCTTAGGTTTCCCATAACGCCTTAAATCTGTTCCTATCCTCAGACTGAGTAATTTGACATGTGGAAATCTTTCCTAAGGAACTAGGAATGAGGACAATTATTTATGTATAGGGGTGTTCTTTACTGTACAGAGGGAAAGTTGGCCATGTGCCATGCCCTTAGCAGTATGGAAATAGTTGTTTTACTGGAAAGCCATCAAAAATCATCTTTGAAAGACTTTTAATTGTAATAGGAAAATGTTCATGCTCTAGACAAGAAAATAAATGAATCAGGATCCAAATTACACATACAAATATGTATGCGTATACACTCATACAATATGATGTGGTTTTATTTATTTATTTTTTGAGACAGAGTGGAGTGGAGTGGCGTGATCTTGGCTCTCTGCAACCTCCGCCTCCTGGGTTCAAGTGATTCTCCTGCCTCAGCCTCCCAAGTAGCTGGGACTACAGGCGTGCACCACCACGCCCAGCTAATTTTTGTATTTTTAGTGGAGACATGGTTTCACCATTTTGGCCAGGATGGTCTCGATCTCTTGACCTCGTGATCTGCCTGCCTTGGCCTCCCGAAGTGCTGGGATTACAGGCGTGAGCTACCACGCCAGCCTGTTTTTTTTTTTTGAGACAGAGTCTTGCTCTGTCGACCAGGCTGGAGTACAGTGGTGTGATCTCGGCTCACTGCAACCTCCGCCTCCTGGGTTCAAGTGATTCTCCTGCCTCAGCCTCCTGTGTAGCTGGAATTACAGGCACCTGCCACCATGCCTGGCTCATTATTGTATTTTTAGTAGAGATGGGGTTTCACCATGTTGGCCAGGCTGGTCTCGAACCCCTGACCTCAGATGATCCGCTCGCATCGGCCTCCCGGAGTGCTGGGATTACAGACATGAGCCACTGTGCCTGGCCTGATGTGTTCTTTTCTTCTGGCTGCTGTAACAAATTAATACACAATTGGTGGCTTTTAAACACTATAATTTATTCTCCCACAGTTCTGGAGGCCAGAAGTCCCCAATCCATTTCACTGGGCTAAAGTCAAGGTGACAGCAGGGCTGCTTCCTTCCAGAGGCTTCAGGGCCGAATCCGTTTCTGGCCCTTCCAGAGTCTGCTCGCTGCCCACCTTCCTTGGCTATGGCTGCCCCATTCTAGTCTTTGCTTCTCTGGCCACATCATGTCCTCCTCTTCTGTGTCAAGTTTCTCTCTGCCTGCCTCTTATGAAGATCTTGTGATTACATCAGCCTCACAGGGATTATGCAAGATAACCTCCCAGTTTCCAGATCCTAACACAGTTGCACAGACTCTTTTACTATATAAGGTAATATTCAGAGAATTCTGGAGCTTAGGACGTCGATATCTTTGAGGATTATAATTCAGCCTACAGCAAATGTTGATTTTATTATAAAAAAGAAAAGTGCAGTAAAAAAGACTGAAAATTCTTGAAAATGTCAATATTGGTCTTTTCTGGATGAGAGGTTTTAGAGTCATTTTTATTTTTGATATACTCTTCTGTATCTCCCACCTTTTTTTCTTATTTCATTATTGTTTTTGAGGCTGAGTCTTGTTCTGTCACCAGGCCAGAGTGCAGTGGTGCAATCTCAGCTCACTGCAACCTCCGTCTCCTGGTTTTAAGTGATTCTCCTGCCTCAGCCCGCCCGGTAGGTGGGATTACAGGTGTGCGCCACCATGCCCAGCTAATTTTTGCATTTTTAGTAGAGATGGGGTTTTACTGTGTTGGCCAGGCTGGTCTTGAACTCCGAGCCTCAAGTGATCCACCACATCAGCCTCCCAAGTGCTGCGATTACAGGCATGAGCCACCGTTCCCAGCCTCAATTTTTATTTTAGATTCAGGGGGTACATGTGCAGGTTTGTTACCTGGGTACATTGTGTGATGCCGAGGTTCAGGGCACGATTGAACCCATCTCCCAGGTAGTGAACATAGTACCTGGTAGGTAGTTTTTCCGTCCGTGCTCTCCTCCCTCTCTACTCTCTCTAGCAGCCCCCAGTGTCTGTTGTTTGCCATCTTTATGTCTGTGTGTACCCAGTGTTTAGCTTCCATTTATAAGTGAGACTATCCAATATTTCGTTTTCTATTTCTGTGTAATTCGCTTAGGATAATGGCCTCCAGTCATCCATGTTGCTGCATAGGACACAATTTTGTTCTTTTTCAAGGCTGCATAGTATTCCTTGTGTAAATGTACCACATTTTGTTTATCTAGTCCACTATTGATGAGTATCTGGGTTGATACCATGTCTTTGGTGTTATCTCCTACCTTTTCCATGCTAAGGGGATACTCTGTTACAATCTCCAACATCGCCTAGAGGCTTTGTGTGTTCCTCTCCCAGTGCTGAGTGCCCCAGGCCGAGTGCCAGGCACCTGTGCCCTCTCTCCGTAGAGCCCGTGTTCTGGTACTACGTGAAGGAGGTCCTCAACAAGCACGAGCTGCAAGCGCTTCTACTCCCTGCGCCACATCGCCTCAGACGTGGGCCGGGGCCGCACCTGGCTGCGCTGTGCCCTCAACGAACACTCCCTGGAGCGCTACCTGCACATGCTCCTGGCCGACCGCTGCAGGCTCAGGTACGTGGCCGGGATGGGACCTGGAATGGGATGGAGCAAGGGGTGAAGATCTTGGAGTCTGTAGTCAGACCACCTGGATTTTCATCCTAGTTCCCCGATCTGGGGCAAGTGGGCCTCCCTCTGACAGCTCCGGAGTGTTCTGCTGAGCTGTGGAGAAACTTGGGGGAGAATCATTGAGAGACTGCCTGTAATGGGCTCGGCATGGCACTTGCATACAGCCAGCTTGGATGTGGAGAGAGCTGTTGTCCTAGGACATAGCTTCCTCTTCACTTTCTGGATTTTTTTTTTTTTTTTTTTTTTTTTAAGACAGAGTCTTGCTTTGTTTCCCAAGTTGGAGTGCAGTGGCATGAACACGGGTCATTGTAGCCTGGACCACCCTGGCTCAAGCAATCCTCCCACCTCAGCCTCCTGACCAGCTAGGACCCTAAGTGTATGCCACCCTGCCTGGCTAATTTAAAAAATTGTTTTGTAGCGATGGGGTCTCAGTGTGTTGCCCAGGCTGGTCTCGAACTCCTAGGTTCAAGTAATCTTCCCGCCTCAGCCTCCCAAAGTGCTGGGATTACAGGTATGAGCTACCATGCCAGGTGCAGAATTTTAATTTGGGATTCTTGCATTCATTCAATCCCAAACTGAAAAAAACATGGAAATTTTATATTGGGGAAGGAAGTCATTTTTGTTTGTTTGTTTGTTTTTGAGACGGAGCCTCACTCTGTTGCCCAGGCTGGAGTGCACTGCTGCTATCTGGGCTCACTGCAACCTCCATCTCCCCAGTTCGAGTGATTCTCCTGCCTCAGCCTCCTGAGTAGCTGGGATTACAGGCGTGTACCACCATACCCAGCTGATTTTTTGTATTTTTAGTGCATACGGGGTTTAATCATGTTGGCCAGGCTGGTCTCAAACTCCAGACCTCAGGTGATCCACCCGCCTAGGCCTCCCAAAGTGCTGGGGTTACAGGCGTGAGCTACTGTGCCTGGCCGTGGCCATTACTTTTGCTCTGAGAATGGTGGACTAGACAAGTTGTTTTGTGTCCTTGAGTGATACGGAGTGACCCTGATGAATCCTGTTCTGGTTCCTTAAGTAACTTCCTGATCAGCACCGCCCAGATCTTCAACAGTGAAATTTCACTGAATTCAATAAGTGGGCAGCTTGTGAGTAGTGTGGCGTGTTCCCTTGATTTTATATCTTGCCCTGTGTTCCCTAGTTTAGGTCTCCTCTTCTGCTTTATCTACTGCTGTGGTCACCTCTCTACTGGTAATGTCTCAGATCTTCTGGGATTGTGCACTGGGGCTCTTAAAAATACCCTTAAAGTTCTCTGTTGCCTGTGGCTCCTTGTTCAATTGTATGGCAAGACTCTATGTGTCCAAAATGGGAGGGCTTGGGAGCCAGGAGGACTGACACTGACGACACCTGTGTACTGCTCACGGTCGGAGTTCGGAGGCTGAGAATGTCTGGACCTCTAGGGCATTAACCAGCTTTAGTTAAGGAAAACACACTCCTGTTTCTTTCTTTCCTTTTTTTGGAGAAGTCTCGCTTTTTTGCCTAGACTGGAGTGTAGTGGTGCAATCTTGGCTCACTGTAACCTCTGCCTCCTGGGTTCAAGCGATTCTCCTTGCCTCAGCCTCCCGAGTAGCTGGGTCTACCAGTGCCCACCACCATGCCTGGTTAATTTTTTGTATTTTTAGTAGAGACGGGTTTCACCGTGTTAGCCAGGATGGTCTCGATCTCCTGACCTCGTGATCCTCCCACCTCGGCCTCCCAAAGTGCTGGGATTACAGGTGTGAGCTACTGTGTCTGACCTACTCCTTTTTTTTGAAGTGAATTTCTGTGAAGCTCCTTCCAGCATATCATTTACGGGTAGTTCAGAGTTACATACTCAGTCTCAAAGTTGAAGTGACCAACAAGGAGAAGTCAGTCCAGCAGGTAAGAATCACAGTTGACTTTACCTGGATCACCAGCCACTTCCCCAGCTGGATGTTGGGAAAACACATTCATTTAGATGCGTGAAAACGGGCTCAGATTTTTAAAGGATTATGATTTTAGGAATCAGGTGCAGTCAGAATGTCAGCTTGAGCATGTGGTTTGTACGTCTACTAACATTTTCTGGGAAAGTATATTGGAAATGCTCCTCTTCTTTCTTTCTGTTAGTTGTATTCAGTCACTTCAGTGGCTAATTTTTCCAGTCTCTCACTCAACTACAGGTCATGTATCCCTGACTTTGCTTTAGTGAAATTGACTTTTTCCTTGATTAATTTAGAATTCAATGACCTGGCGGGGAAGTTATGGCATTGGGGATTTTTGGTTTCCATTGCTTAACATGAAGTCAGAGAGAGCTTGGAAGCTGGACTCGGGAGACCTGCTTTTAAGCCCTGGCTGGACCATTTATTGGCTAGATGACCTTGGACAGGCCCTGTGGGCTTCCTTGACACCCCTACCCCAACTGCCATCTAGATTTGTGGGGCATTTTTAGCCTCCTAGCCTTTTCCAAGGATAATGTGGGCTTTCAGGCCTGTAACCTAGGCAGGCATTATATTATTATTATTATTATTATTATTATTATTATTTTGAGGTGGAGTCTCGCTCTTTCGCCCAAGCTGGAGTACAGTGGCGCAATCTCTGCTTACCAAGCCTCTGGGTTCAAGCGACTCTCCTGCCTCAGCCTCCCGAGTAGCTGGGATTACAAGCACCTGCCACCATGCCCAGCTAATTTTTTATATTTTTAGTAGAGATGGGGTTTCACTGTGTTGGCCAGGCTGGTCTTGAACTCCTGACCTCTAGTGATCCTCCCACCCTGGCCTCCCAAAGTGCTGGGATTACAGGTGTGAGCCACCGTGCCTGGCCAAGGCAGGCATTATATTAAATGCCCTGGTTGATGAAGCCATAGAGGCTCTGTAATTTCTGTCTGAAATGGTCTCTTCTTGTATTAGGCAAATCAGGCGAGCCCTGTTGGCAGGCTTGGATTTCCTGTCTGTCTCTTGGGGACATTGCTTGAGTGGAAGTCACCCACCTGACTGCTCCGTTCTACTTTGCTGCTTTATAAATACATTTACATATCATGTCTATTTTAGTACTCTAAAGCTGAGGGTCGGGGGGGACCAGCGAGGAAGTTGTAGGATGTATGTGTTCAATCTTCTGTTTGTAACCAGAAGCTTTAAACCAGCAGAGACCTCAGACAAATCATATCCCTCCTGGGGTGACCAGGTGCAGATCTTCCAGGGAGCCGTCTAATGGAATTTCCTGGTTAATGGACACAGAGAACCACTGCTAAGAACGATTTCCTTTTCTCTTTCAATCTGCAGTACTTTTTATGAAGACTGGTCTTTTGTGATGGATGAAGAGAGGTCCAGTATGCTTCCTACCATGGCAGCAGGTAAGCCTGGCCCAGACCAGGGCGCCAGGCCTTGTGACACATGGCAGAGGGGCTGCCTTGGGGCAGTTCCACAGCGCCATGGAATGTTGTGATTCTTCTGTCCCTCAACAACTCAATGAGTCACTTGCTGCTGTCCTTCTTTTACTAGCACTGAATGTTGGTTTTTAAATTTTTATTTCTTTAAAGAGAGAGCCTCACTCTGTCACCCAGGCTGGAGTGCAGTGATGCAACCTCAGCTCACTGCAACCTCCGCCTCCTGGATTCAAGTCATTTTTCTATCTCAACCTTCCGAGAAGCTGGGATTACAGGCGCCTGCCACCACGCCCAGCTAATTTTTGTATTTTAATAGAGATAGAGTTTCACTATGCTGGTCAAGCTGGTCTCGAACTCTTGGGCTCAAGTGATCCACCCGCCTTGGCCTTCCAAAGCGTTGGGATTGCAGGTGTGAGCCACCATGCCCAACCACAGTGTTGGGTCCATTTATCTAGAATGTGAGACCCTGGCAGAGAAAGCGAAGATTTGAAGGTTTTTAGTTGGGCTTTGGAGATATAATATGCATTGCGGGGAATTGGAGGTGGGAGACCTATCTTTGAATCCTGGCTTTACTCCTTGCTACCTGGTGACCTGGGGCAGATGCCGTAAGCTTTGCTGCCTTTTCTTTCCTCTCTGTGAGGTGGGAATCATGCTGTCTCAGCAGTCATCTTCATGGGGCTGTGAGAGAATCATGTGAGATCAGGAGTCGCACACACGACGAATCAACATGGAGAGACCCTGGGTTGATGTTAGTCGGTGGACTGTTACATTGTTCACCCTTTGACTCAAAGGGTGAAAGGTGGAATCAGCTGGACTGAAGTGGGCAACTTGCTTCCTCTTTCCAAGTTCTTTGTTGCCTCCTTTTTGTTTTTCCTTGAAAATTTATACTAAACTCATATATCTGGGCTTATGTTAGTCCTGTCCATTGATGAGAAAAAGAATTTGACCATGATTTCCTTTGTAGATCATAAGATGCCCAGTGTAAGTTTCTGTCCACATTAATGATGATGATGTTACCAGTGCACATTTGATGGTTTATGGAGCTGAGTGTTTTGTGAGAGATTGCCTTTAATACTTACAATCCTGTGAGGAAGATAATATTGTCCCCATCTTACAGATAAGGCGACTGGAGTACAGGGAGATGATAAGTTGCTGGACCAAGGTCTTTTTTTTTTTTTGAGACGGAGTTTCACTCTTGTTGCCCAGGCTGGAGTGCAATGGCATGATCTTGGCTCACCACAACCTCTGCCTCCTGGGTTCAAGCGATTCTCCTGCTGCAGTCTCCTGAGTAGCTGGGATTATAGGCATGCACCACCACGCCTGGCTAATTTTGTAGTTTTAGTAGAGATGGGGTTTCTCCATGTTGGTCAGGCTGGTCTCGAACTCCCGACCTCAGGTGATCCGCCTGTCTCAGCCTCCCAAAGTGCTGGGATTACAGGTGTGAGCCACCATGCCCAGCCTGGATCAAGGTCTTGTAGCTAGTAGGTGGCAGTGCTGGGATTTACCCCCAGGCAGCCTGATCCCGGGACTTGTGCCTTTACCTCCTCCCAGTTGAATTCTTATTCATATTCATCTTCCTGGCTGTTAGGGAGAGAATGTGGCATGACTCAACTCCCATGATAACGGATGTCTGCTGACCCCAGTTTCATGGGAGGTTGTTTTTTTTTTTTTTTTGGAAGCCAAGTCTTGCTCTGTCACCCAGGCTGGAGTGCAGTGGCACGATCTCGGCTCCCTGCAACCTCTGTGTGGCAGGTATTTTTATACCTATTTAAGATCAACGTGTCTCCTCTTCTGTAATCTGTTGTCTGCAGCTGTCTTCTCTTATTGGTGGTATGACTGCCCATCAGCAAGCACTCCAGACTTTTCCCTTTTTTTGGACAGGTCCGAACTCCATACTCTTTGCGATTAACATTGACAACAAGGATTTGAACGGGCAGAGTAAGTTTGCTCCCACCGTTTCAGACCTCTTAAAGGAGTCAACGCAGAATGTGACCTTGCTGAAGGAGTCCACGCAAGGAGTGAGCAGCGTGTTCAGGGAGATCACAGCCTCCTCTGCCATCTCCATCCTCATCAAACCTGAACAGGAGACCGACCCCTTGCCCGTCGTGTCCAGGAATGTCAGTGCTGGTGAGTGGGAACTGGTGCTCGAGGCGGAGCAGAGGGAATCAGAATGTGGCTGATGGGGTGGACATACCTCATCATCTGAAAGTCATTCCAAGGGGAATGGAGTCCAGTGCACTTGCGTTTTCCATTTGTGTTTCTGTTTCTCATCCTCATTCACTCTGAAAGGGCTCTGATGGCCTTACCTAGATGTGAGAATTGCTGGGTGGAAAAATGAACAGCTCAACCAGAGCGAATGGAAAGTGAGGGTGTGAGAGACACCGGGAGCCAGATGACGTTGATCCTCATTCATTCATTCCTTTATTTGTTCCTTCATCGTATTCTGTGTGTTAGGCGGTGAGCCGAATAGGAAAGACAGATTGCCAGCAGGTAGCCTGCAGTCTCCTTTGGGATGGGTGTGGGTGGGTAGTTCATGACAAAATATATAATTTAGGATCCTTAGGATAAGAGGGATGAAAGCCAAGCATAGACTGCTATGGGGAACATCTGCCATTGGGCTTGCCTCTGATTGGGGATGGCATTTAAGGCCTCAGGAAAGAGAGGAGTTGTCAGGTTTGACTCTAGGCTCTGGGGAGGCAAAAGAGAGTTGATTCAGGCTGGGCATGGTGTCTCATGCCTGTAATCCTAGCACTTTGGGAGGCCGAGGCAGGAGGATCACTTGAGTTCAAGGGTTCTAGACCAGCCTGGGCAATGTAGTGAGACCCTGTCTCAATTTTTTAACTTTTTTTTTTTTTTTTTTTGAGACAGAGTCTCGCTCTATTGCCCGGGTTGGAGTGCAGTGGCATGATCTCAGCTCACTGCAACCTCCACCTCCTGGGTTCAAGCAATTCTCCTGCCTCAACCTCCCGAGTAGATGGGACTATAGGCATGTGCCAACATGCCTGGTTTCTTTTTGTATTTTTAGCAGAGACAGGGTTTCCCCATGTTGGCCAGGCTGGTCTTGAACTCCTGACCTCAGGTGATCTGCCTGCCCTGGCCTCTTAAAGTGCTAGGATTACAGGCGTGAGCCACTGTGTCCAGCCTGTTTTTAAAAAATTTTAATTAAAAAATTAAATATAAAAAAAGAAAGTTGATTCAGTTAAGATTAATTTGGTGAGAAGTTTTCAATACCCTTTGATTCCTTTGGGACATTAAGATGTTACTACAGCAAAATTGGAAATTTTGTTGTAGTATGTATGTGTATATATGTAGAGACAGGGTCTTGCCATGTTGCCCAGGCTGGTCTTGAACTCCTGGCCTCAAGTGATCCTCCTGCCTTGGCCTCCCAAAGTGCTGGGATTACAGGTGTGAGCCACTGCATCTGGTTGAAATTGGAAATTTTGGGCTTAAGTACTTAGTATTCTCAAATCTCTTAAACAAGGCAGTAACTGTGGCCATCCCTTTGGAATTATTGATGGTGACCCTGCATGAACCTTGTAGGAGATAGGGCTGTTGACAGCTTTGTGTAACAGACACTGAAATTTCTACACCCACAGGAGTAGCAGTCCCACCCATTTTTGGAACTGCTTTTGAGGTGATCTCAGAGTTGTGCTATACCAGTGAGGCCTCACCACATCACACATTGGTTTAGACAGATTGGGTTTTTGGAATTGGCTCAAAGTGTCTTACATCCAAGTGTGATGATTAAAATAGGGGCACAAAGTGTCTTCTGTGAGAGCTGGTCACTAAGGCAAGCTTGATTTCTTTTTCAGTTAGCATTTGCTATATAACAAGTGATTTAAAAATGTAGTGGCTTAAAACCACCGCAGTTCGTTACTTTTTTGTGTAGGTTGGCATGGTGGCTCTGCTGCTGGGCTCCTTCGGCTCACTCATGGGAGCTCGTGGTTAGATTGGAAGATCTAAGATGGCCCCATCCACATGTCTGGAATCAGTGCTGGGGCTGCTCAGATTCTACTCATGGACTCTCATCCTCCAGTCGGCTGAACTGGCTTCTTTATGTATGGGGTCAGGGCCACTGTCCAGGAGAGCAAAGGCAAAGCTGAGACCTTTTAACGCCTAGCTACTAGAACTCACACAGTGTTATTTCTGCCACTTTTTTTTTTTTTTTTTTTTTTTTGAGACAGAGTCTCGCTCTGTCACCCAGACTGGAGTGCAATGGCGCAGTCTCAGCTCACTGCAACCTCTGCCTCCCATGTTCAAGAAATTCTCCTGCCTCAGCCTCCCAAGTAGCTGGGATTACAGGCACCTGCCACCACGCCCAACTAATTTTTTTTTTTTTTTGTATTTTTAATAGAGACGGGGTTTCACCGTGTTTGCCAGGCTGGTCTTGAACTCCTGACCTCAGGTGATCCACCCGCCTTGACCTCCCAAAGTGCTGGGATTATAGGCATGAGCCACCGCACCCGGCCCTTTCTGCCACATTCTTTTGGTAAAAGCAGGGCATGGTGGCTCATGCCTATAATCCCAGCAATTTAGGAGGCTGAGGTGGGAGTATTGCTTGAGGCCAGGAGTTTTGAGACTAGCTTGGGAAGCACAGCAAGACCTCATCTCTACAAATAATAATAAAATTAGCTGGGTGTTGTGGCATGCACCTGTAGTCCCAGCTACTCGGGAGGCTGAGGGCAGAGGATTGTTTGATCCCAGGAATTTGAGGTTACAGTGAGCTATGATTGCACCAATATACTCCAGCCTGGGCAATAGAGCGAGATGCCCCAACTCTTAAAAAAAAAAAAAAAAAAAAAAGGCAGAGCACTACGCCAGCCAGATTCAAGAGGGTGCAGAAATAGACATCACCTCTGGCTGGGAGGAGCCACAAAGACCCATTGCAAAGGGGCATTGCACAGGAATGGCAGGAATTTGAGGCTGCTCAACACTTGACTACACCCCCCAGCTGGTTCTCCTGGTCTCATCTACCAGCTATGAGAATATTTTCCAAAGTGAAGCATTGAAGATCATTTTGGTAATGGTAGCATCCTTCACATCAAAGTGACTGCTTGGAAGGAACAGTTTCAAGGTGTGCTCTGTGGTGTGTTTATTTAAATCAGTGGGAGAGGCCTGCATCCATTCTGCTCAATCTTCTGTACACAGATTTTCACTGAGGATTTTAAAAAGTCTGAATTCATGTTACAGTGTATTTCTCACTAGAATAGTATTTTCCACAACCTGGAAGTGAGTTGGTTTCATCATCCTTTTGTCTTGCCTACTTTTTCTTATACTGTATCTTTTCTTTTTTTTCTTTTTTTTTTTTTTGCCAGATGCCAAATGCAAAAAGGAGCGGAAGAAGAAAAAGCAAGTGACCAACATTATCTCATTTGATGATGAGGAAGATGAGCAGAACTCTGGGGACATGTTTAAAAAGACACCTGGGGCAGGGGAGAGCTCAGAGGACAACTCCGACCACTCCTCTGTCAATATCATGTCCGCCTTTGAAAGCCCCTTCGGGCCAAACTCCAATGGAAGTCAGAGCAGCAACTCGTGGAAAATTGATTCCCTGTCTTTGAACAGGGAGTTTGGGTACCAGAAGCTTGATGTGAAAAGCATCGATGATGAAGATGTGGATGAAAACGAAGATGACGTGTATGGAAACTCATCAGGACGGAAGCACAGGGGCCACTCAGAGTCGCCCGAGAAGTAAGTTCCCCTCACGCTTCTGTGTGTGTGTGTGTGTGTGTGTGTGTGTGTGTGTGTTTGTATGTAAGATGGAGTCTCACCGTCCCCCAGGCTGGAGTGCCGTGGCGTGATCTCAGCTCACTGCAACCTCCACCTCCCGGGTTCAAGCGATTCTCCTGCCTCAGCCTCCCGAGTAGCTGGGATTGCAGGCACCTGACACCACACCCAGCTAATTTTTGTATTTTTAGTAGAGATGGGGTTTCACCATATTGGCCAGGCTGGTCTCAAACTCCTGACCTCAAGTGATCCGCCTGCCTTGGCCTCCCAAAGTGCTAGGTTTACAGGCATGAGCCACCAAGCCCAGCCTCCCCTTGTGCTTTTAATGAGGGGGTTAAGTTCACCGTTTTCTCTTTCTATGGTATTGGGTGAAATAGGTCTGCAAGTTTTATATTTGCCCAGGGTATCATTCATTCTTCAGGTGTTGATTTAGGAGTGTTATTTGGAAGGAGTGTTATTTGCTCTTCCCTTGAGAACTGAAAGAGGGGAAGAGAGTACATTTGAGGGCACTTAATACAAAGTTAATGTCAGAATGTGTGCCTTGAAATTCTTGCTTTATACATACATCTGTAATTTTCATTTCACAGGGTTCACAGGGTTTCACAGTCTGATGAGACTGTGCCTGTTATTGTTTTTTATTTTTACTCTGGATTTTCCTTGCATCTGACTTGCCACTAGCACAGGAAGCTCAGGACGAAGGCAGCGTTAGGAGAATAGTTGTGGTATGGTGACTTCTGTGTTTATCTGCAGGGGTGTGAATAGCTGTAATATCCACTGCACCTGCTGCCTTAACAGTGGAGTTGGCCAGGCGCAGTGGCTCACACCTGTAATCCCAGCACTTTGGGACACCAAGTTGGGTGGGTCATCTGAGGTCAGGAGTTTGAGACCAGCCTGACCAATATGGTGAAACCCCTTCTCTACTAAAAAAATACAAAATTAGCCAGGCATGGTGGTGCATGCCTGTAACTCCAGATACTTGGGATGCTGAGGCAGGAGAATCGCTTGAATATGGGAGGCAGAGCCAAGATGACACCATTGCACTCCAGCCTGGGCAACAAGAGAGAAGGTCCTTCTCAAAAAAAAAAAAAAAAAAATTCCCAAAATACCCCAAATAAGCTAGTTACCTCTTAGGCTTTGTGGTGCACAGTGCCCTCCTAATCATGACTACTGCAAAATCCAGTCCATTAAAGTGTAAAATGAGGCCAGGTGCAGTGGTTCATGCCTGTAATCCCAGCACTTTGGGAGGCTGAGTTGGGAGGATTGCTTAAGGCCAGGAGTTTGATACCAGCCTGGGCAACATAGCAAGAACTCCGTCTCTACAAAAAAATAAAAAGTGTAAAATGAATATACAGAAATGTATCTCTCTATTTGACCTAAATCTTATGGATCGCACCATTGCACTCCAGCCTGGGCAACAAGAGTGAAACTCCGTCTCAAAAATAAAAAATAAAAAAAACATTAAACTTCAAGTCCGGGTGCAGTGGCTCACACCCGTAATCCCAGCACTTCAGGAAGCTGAGGGGGGTAGATCACTTGAGGTCAGGAGTTTGAGACCAGCCTGGCCAACATGGTGAAACCCCATCTCTACTAAAACTACAAAATTAGTCAGGCATAGTGGCAGGCACCTGTAATCCCAGCTACTGGGGAGGCTGAAGCAGGAGAATCACTTGAACCCAGGAGGTGGAGGTTGCAGTGAGCCGAGATCACACCATTGCATTCCAGCCTGGGTGATAGAGCAAAGCTCCATCTCAAAAAATTAAAATAAATAAAATAAAATAATAAAATAAATTAAACTTCAGAAGGAAAGAGAGTTGTAGCCTTGATTCCTTTTTTCCCAAGACACTCCTTGAGGCCTATGCAAATTTTCCCAACTCCTCAGCAGTCACAGCTAAGTGGGCCAAAGCAAGGGCTAGTGGAAGGAGTGATCGCAGACCCCATGACACCCTTCACACAGAGCCATAGATGACTACTCAACTTACGGTCACGTCACCATGGGAGAGTCACCAAACAGCATCTCTCTCTGAAATGTCAACATCTATACACCCATCTAGTGTCTGGTTTAGGGTGGAAATGTGGGTGTAAGAAAAGTAATTTAGAGGTAATTACTGGCAGCTGAGGGGAGGAGACTGTTCCTCACCCAGCCTTGGGTTAGTGGAGATTTGGTGCAATGGACAAAAACAGAGGTTTTGATTTGGAGGCGAAGAAAGGGGGCAATGGCTCCAGAGGCCAAGAGCAGAGAAGGACAGCCAGGAAGTGGGCTGAGCATGGTGGACTCAGGAGATGGGGAGCCCCATCTTGGGATGCCTCAGAGACATTGTGGAGGGGGCCTGGTTTTCCTTTTTGAACATTTTTTATTGTTATTATTAATTAATTTATTTATTTATTTTTTATTTTTATTATTATTTTTTGAGATGGAGTCTCACTCTGTCATCCAGGCTGGAGTGCAGTGGCATGATCTTGGCTCACTGCAACCTCCGACTCCTACGTTCAAGCAATTCTTCTGCCTCAGCCTCCCGAGTAGCTGGGACTACAGGTGCACGTCACCACACCCAGCTAATTTTTGTATTTTTAGTAGAGACGGGGTTTCACCATATTGGCCAGGCTGGTCTTGAACTCCTGACCTCGTGATCCACCTGCCTCGGCCTCTCAAAGTGCTGGGATTACAGGCATGAACTACCGCACCCGGCCCTTTTCTTTTTTTCTTTGAGACAGAGTTTCACTCTTGTTGCCCAGGTTGGAGTGCAATGGCACAATCTCAGCTCACCGCAACCTCCACCTCTTGGGTTCAAGCGATTCTCCTGCCTCAGCCTCTTGAGTAGCTGGAATTACAGGCATGTGCCACCATGCCCGGCTAATTTTGTATTTTTGTAGTAGAGACGGGTTTCTCCATGTTTGTCAGGCTGGTCTCAAACTCCTGACCTCAGGTGATCTGCCCGCCTCAGCCTCCCAAAGTGCTTGGATTACAGGGGTGAGCCACTGTGCCTGGCCTACAAACTGGTCTATCAGCAAGGTCTTTATGACCTGTATCTTGTGCCAACCTCCTGTCTCATCCTGTGACTTAGAATGCCTTAACCTCCTGGGAATGCAGCCAAGCAGGTCTTAGCCTTATTTTACCCAGCCCCTATTCAAGATAGAGTCGCTCAGGTTCAAATGCCTCTGACACTCCTGCCTCAGCCTTTGAGACAGCTGGGACTATAGGCACACACCACCAGGCCTGGCTAATGTCTTCATTTCTATTTTGTAGGGACAGGGTCTTGCTATGTTGCCCAGACTAGTCTCAAACTCCTGGCCTCAAGCCATCCTCCCACTACAGCCTTGTAGAGTGCTGGGATTACAGGCATGAGCCACCACGCCAGGCCTTGGTTTTTCTTAGTATGTGGGCTAAAGTCATTCAATGTTGATGGTAAAGGAAAATGGGGCCGGGCACCGTGGCTCACACCTATAATCCTAGCACTTTGGGAGGCCCAGGGGGGCGGATCACCTGAGGTCAGGAATTCAAGACCAGCCTGGCCAACATGTCAAAACCCCATCTCTGCTAAAAATACAAAAATTAGCTGAACACGTTGGCTCATTCCTGTCATCCCAGCACTTTGGGAGGCCGAGCTGGGTGGATCACTTGAGGTCAGGGGTTTGAGACCAGCCTGGCTAACATGTACTAAAACTACAAACATTAGCCGGGCACAATGGTGGCTGCCTGTAATCCCAGCTACTCAGGAGGCTGAGACAGGAAAATCACTTGAACCCGGGAGGCGGAGGTTGTAGTGAGCCAAGATCGCACCACTGCACTCCAGCCTGGGCGACAATATAATAATAATAATTATTTTTTTTTGACAGAGACAAAAAATAATAATGATACTTTTTTTAAAAAAAGGAAAATGGGAGGTGATTGTAGAAGGTAGAGGATTTGGAGTGATAGTTCATTACAATTGTAATAAGGACCACAAGATGCTAAGAGTAATGAGATGTAGCGGACGTCTGCTATTTTTGCCTGTTCAGCATCCACTCGTTCTGCTTTGTGTGATAGCACCCCAAGCTTCCTTTGAACCAGTCCTTCCTTCAGCGGAGGCCGACCCCACCCCTTCGCTCTGTGGGGTGGCCACATGACCCAGGTCTAGCCAATCAGCACATTCCATCCCGGAGCAGCAGCTGTGTGCCCCTAGCCCAAGCTAGGCTGCTCCTGGCTTTGTGTACCTATTAGGGGAAAATGTGTTCTCTTTTCACTGCAGTTGCTAAGCATGTGGGATGTAAGCCTGGACTTGCTGGTGGCTGCCTTTGCCACCGCTTAGGGAGATTCTGGCCAGGCATGAAGCCGGCACAGAGTAAATGAAGCAGGGCCAGGAGATGAGGAGAGATGGATTCTGATTGCATTATATGAGTACTAGGATCTGTGTCTGAAATCCAAATGGCTTTTTCTTTTCTTTTCTTTTCTTTCTTTTTAGAAACGGAGCACACTCTGTCACCCAGGCTGGAGTGCAATGGCACGATCTCAGCTCACTACAACCTCTGCCTCCCGGGTTCAAGTGATTCTACTGCCTCAGCCTCCCGTGTAGCTGGGATTACAGGCGCGCACCAACACACCCGACTAATTTTTGTATTTTTAGTAAAGACAGGGTTTCACCATGTTGGCCAGGCTGGTCTTGCACTCCTGACCTCACGTGATCTGCCCCACCTTGGCCTCCCAAAGTGCTGGGATTACAGGTGTGAACCACTGCGCCCAGCCCCAAGTGGCTTTTTCAATTACATGAGCCAACATATTCTCACAAGTCCATTCGAGTTTGGTGTCTGTTACTTGCAAATAAGGGAGTTCTGATTGGTTCCCAGTGAAACCTCATCTGTAAGACCTCTGAGCCACCAGTATCCACGGGGCTTGTCCTATAACAGCTCCTGTGCAATCCAGTAACCTTGAACACTGGAAGCCACTGAGCCCTTCTGTGAGTAGATGCACACCTCTGAGGCTAAGATTACTGGTGTACTCATTGGGACCAGTTTGGTCTCAGTGACTGAAAACTCAACCCAAACTTGTTCATTTGGAAAGGAAAAGTCAACCAGGCACAGTGGCTCATGCCTGTAGTTCCAGCACTTTGGGAGGCTGAGGTGGACAGATCGCTTGAGCCCAGGGGTTCAAGACCAACCTGGGCAACATAGCAAAACCCTGCCTCTACAAAAAAAAAAAAAAATTCTTTTTTTTTCGAGACAGAGTCTCGCACTGTCGCCCAGGCTGGAGTGCAGTGGTGCAATCTTGGCTCACTGCAATCTCTGCCTCCCGGGCTCAAGCGATTCTCCTGCCTCAGCCTCCCGAGTAGTTGGACTACAGGCGTGCACCAACAGGGCCAGCCAATTTTTGTATTTTTAGTAGAGACAGGGTTTCACAATGTTGGCCAGGATGGTCTCGATTTCTTGACCTCGTGATCTGCCTGCCTCGGCTTCCCAAAGTGCCGGGATTACAGGCGTGAGCCACCGGTGCCTGGCCTCTACAAAAAATATTTTAAATTAGCAGGCATGATGGTGCATGCCTGTAGTCCCAAATGGGCAAAGTTGTTCTCTGATTGGCTGAGGTCTTTGTCACCTGCTCCACCCCTGAGCTGGAGCCCCACCCAAAGTAATTGACTGAAAGGGGGTGTTCTCCAGTGGGAAATTAGGTAAGGTTTACATTATTTGGCCCTAACTCTTCACCCTTCCCCCTACCCATGCCCTTGGCCATGTAATTTTGCAGTGCCCTCCTGTCACAGGCAGGATGACCTGATGCCTCTTTTTTCTTTTTTGAGATGGAGTCTCACTCTGTCGCCCAGGCTGGAGTGCAATGGTGCAATCTCAGCTCTCTGCAACCTCCACTTCCTGGGTTCAAGAGATTCTCCTGCCTCAGCCTCCTAAGTAGCTGGGATTACAGGCGCCTGCCACCACACCCAGCTAATTTTTGCATTTTTAGTAGAGAAAGGGTTTCGCCATGTTGGCCAGGCTGGTCTTGAACTCCTGACTTCAGGTGATCCTCCTCGCCTGCCTTGCCTCCCAAAGTGCTGGGATTACAGGCATAAGCCACCACGCCCGGCCCTGCCTCTTGAGCTGGGGAGTTCAAGACCAGCCTGGGCAACATAATGAGATTTCAGCTCTATTAAAAATAATAATAATTAAAAAAAAAAAGAATGGCCCTACCTTTCACTGGCAGGGAAGGGTGGAGGGCCCTCCTGTCATCTCCAAATCATAGTACTGTCCCCACCAGCCATAGCTGATCATTTTAGGAGTGGTTCCAAGGAGTCCCAAGCTGGGCCCATTACAGCCTCTCCTGGAGGGTTACAATTGGATGAGAAGCCAATCGATATCCTCTATAATTAAAAATATAAGAACTTAGGAGTCATGGGGCAGCTGTGTTTAGTTGAAAGCCTAGAGAAGCAGAGAGAGTCCATGTGTTTGTTACTTACGGTAATGCTGGCTGCTGGAACAGATAAGCCCCGAAATCTCTGTGGCTTAACATCACAGAAGTTTATTACCTGCTCAGATAACAGTCTAAGGCAGATGTGCCACATGGCGATTCAGGGACTGCTACCTTGTGGTTCTGCTGTCTCTCGGGGCCTCGGCTGGTAGATAGCAAACAATGCAGACAGGAGAAGACAGATCCATGATCTTAACCATCTCAGCCCCAGACAGGGGACCGCGTCATTTCCACCCACCTTCCATCAGCAAGAACCAGTCACATGAGCACATCTAACAGCAATGAAGGCTGGGAAATACATGCCCAGGAAGGGAGGAATCAGTTTCTTTGCAGAGGAGAGAGGGAACAGAAGAGAGGGAAAGGGGGAAAATAGAGAGACGGAGGGAGAGAAAGAGAGAAGAACTAATGAGCACAGAACTAAGAAAGCCCAGGCACAGTGGCTCACATCAGTAATTCTAGGGCCTTGGGAGGCAAGACAAGAGAATCACTTGAGGCCATGAGTTCAAGGGCAGCCTAGGCAACATAGTGGGACCCTATCTCCACAAAAATAATAATATTATTATTATTAAATAAAATAAAAGGAAGAGACAGCCATGAAGATAACTAGCTGAGGCCAGGTACAGTGGCTCATGCCTATAATCCCAACACTTTGGGAGGTTGAGGTGGACAGATTGCTTGAGGTCAGAAGTTCCAGACCAGACTGAACAACATAGCAAAACCCCATCCCTACTAAAAATACAAAAATTAGCTGGGCGTGGTGGCAGGCACCTGTAGTCCCAGCTACTCGGGAGGCTGAGGCAGGAGAATCACCTGAACCTGGGAGGCGGAGGATGCAGTGCGCTGAGATCATGCCACTGCACTCCAGCCTGGGTGACAGAGCGAGACCCTGTCTCAAAAAAAAAAAAAATCACCTGGCTTGTTAAAACAGATTCCTGGACCCCACCCCAGAATTTGATTCAGGTTGGGAGTGAGGCCTGTGAATTTGCATTTCTAGCAAATTCCCAGGTGATGCTCATGCCGCTGGTCCCAAACCACACTGTGAAGTGCCAGTTCCAGACTAGGAGACTCCAAAGAGACACTGGAGCCAACCACAATGTGCAAACCTGATTGGGTCCTGATTTGGAAATTAAACATCTTTAAAATGCATTCAGGGAATAATTGGGTTCATTTGAACGTGGACTCAATATTAGAAAATTTCTATTGATTTTCTTGGGTAGGGTGGTGACATGTGGCTGGCTATAAGGGAAGATGTCTTTATTTTTAGGAGATTCACATTGAAGTCATTATAGGGGTCAAGTGACATGATATCTACAGCTAACTTTTATTTCACTTATTTATTATTATTATTATTTTAGAGACAGGGTCTTGCTCTGTCACCCAGGCTGGAGTGCAGTGGCATGATCGTAGCTCACTGCAGCCTCAAACTCCTGAGATCAAGCGATCCTCCTGCCTCAGCCTCTCCAATAGCTGGGACTACAGGCCCACACCACCATGCCTGGCTTACAACTAACTTTTAAATGTTGGCCAGGCGCAGTGGCTCACGCCTGAAATCCAAGCACTTTGGGAGGCCGAGGCAGGCGGATCACTTGAGGTCAGGAGTTCAAGACCAGCCTCGCCAACATGATGAAACCTCGTCTCTACAAAAAATACAAAAAATTAGCTGGGCATGGTGGCAGGTGCCTATAATTCCAGCTACTCAAGAGGCTGAGGCAGGAGGATCACTTGAACCCAGGAGGCGGAGGTTGCAGTGGGCCAAGATCATGCCACTGCACTCCAGCCTGAGCATTAGAGCGAGACTCCATCTCAAATAAATAAATTAATTAACATTTCAGCAAAATACACACATGCACACAGACAAAGAAAATATGACAAAATGGTAATTATTGAATTTCAGGATAGGTGTATGAGTGACAATTATACCACTTTTTCAACTCTTCTATGTTTAGATGCTTTAAATATTTAAAGCTAGGGGCTGGGTGCAGTAGCTCATGCTTGTAATCATCATATTTTGAGGGGCTGAGGTGGGAGCATAGCTTGAGCCCAGCAGTTCGAGGCTGCAGTGAGCTATGATCACACCACTGCCCTCCGGGCTGGGCAGCAGAGCAAGACCCTGTCTCAAAAAAATATAAAATAAAATGAAATAAATCTGGGGAGCACGTGGGGGAGGGACTAGTGCATCACAGCCTAATTGAACGAGCAGGAGACTGCCATGGGATGAGGCCAGGCCCAACTGTGTCAGTCCCTCTGGGTCATTCTAAGGACTTCGGATTCTATCCTGAATGCATGAGGAAACCCTTGAAGGCCTTAAGCAGAGAGTGACATGGTCTGATTTTCTTTTAAGCTGTAGCTTTGTTTTTGAGATGGGGTCTTGCTAAATTGCCCAGGCTAGTCTCGAACTCCTGGGCTCAAGTGATTCTCCTGCCCCAGCCTCCCAAGTAGCTGAGATTACAGATAAGTGCCACCACGCCCAGCTAATTTTTGTATTTTTAGTAGAGACGGGGTTTCACCATGTTGGCCAGACTGGTCTCAAACTCCTGACCTCAAGTGATTCGCTTGCCTCAGCTTCCCAAAGTGCTGGGATGACAGGTGAGAGCCACTGTGCCCAGCCAATTGTACATTTTTAAATAACTCAAAGAGTGTAATTGAATTGTTTGTAACACAAAGGATAAATGCTTGATGTAATGGATCCCCATTTACCCTGATGTGATTATTATGCATTGCATGCCTGTATTAAAACATCTCATGCACCCCATACATATATATGCCTACTATCTACCCACAAAAATTAAAAAATGAAAACATTATCCTTTTGATGCTTGGCCACATGGAGGACACAGCAAACGGTTCATGGCCAAGCACAAGAGAGCCACTAATGTCTGCACCAGGAAGGGATAATTATCCAATTATAACCCAGAGGCAGCCTCTGGTGTCAATAGCTGATTGTTCTGAACAAGTCCAGATTCTATGCTTCCCCAAAGCTGTGTGAAATTTAAAAATTCATAATCATTGGCAAATGATAATCGTAATACACATGCCAAGGCACTACCCAGACCAAGGAAATCCAATTCCCTTGGCACCAGGATCAAATCCAAGATCCCCAGGGGATTCTTTCTTTCTTTATTTTGAGACGGATTCTGCTCTGTCACCCAGGCTAGAGTGCAGTGACGCAATCTCAGCTCACTGCAACCTCCACTTCCGGGTTCAAGCACTTCTCCTGCCTCAGCCTCCTGAGTAGCTGGGATTACAGGCACCCGCCACCACGCCTGGCTAATTCTGTATTTCTAGTAGAGACGGAGTTTTAGCACGTTGGCTAGGCTAGTCTCGAACTCCTGGTCTCAGGTGATCTGCCCACCTAAGCCTCCCGAAGTGCTGGGATCACAGGCGTGAGCCACCACACCTGGCCTCAGGGGATTCTTGATTGCAGCCAGGCAGAGCCTGCAGTCCCAGGGTGGGGAGTTCCAGCAGACCTATGAAGGACTGGCTCCAGGGTCCCTGAGCACAAGGTTGCAAGGCCATGTTGTCACACTCTGGACCTCTTGTTTGTTTGTTTGTTTTTTGAGACGGAGTCTCGCTCTTTCGCCCAGGACGGACTGCAGTGGCACGATCTCGGCTCACTGCAAGCTCCGCCTCCTGGGTTCATGCCATTCTCATGCCTCAGCCTCCTGAGTAGCTGGGACTACAGGCGCCCGCCACCGCGCCCAGCTAAATTTTTTGTATTTTTAGTAGAGACGGGGTTTCACCATGTTAGCCAGGATGGTCTCGATCTCCTGACCTCGTGATCCACTTGTCTAAGCCTCCCGAAGTGCTGGGATTACAGACGTGAGCCACTGCGCCCAGCCAACAGATAGGTACAGTCTTTATCTGTTCGTGTGGCTATAAGAAAGTACCAGAGACTGGGTTATTTATAAAAAATGGAAATTTTGGCCAGGCACAGTGGCTCACGCCTTTAATCCCAGCATGCTGGGAGGCCAGGGCAGGTGGATCGTGTGACCTTAGGAGTTCGAGATCAGCCTGGGCAACATGACGAAACCCTATCTGTACAACGCTAAGAAAAAAAAAAAAAAGCAGGGTGTGGTGGTGCATACCTGTAATCCCAGCTACTCGGGAGGCTGAGGTGGGAGAATCACTTGAACCCAGGAGGCAGAGGTTGCAGTGAGCTGAGATCGTGCCACTGCACTCCAGCCGAGGTGACAGAGACCCTGTCTCATACAAACAAACAAACAAAACCCAGAAATTTCTTTCTCACAGTTCTGGAGGCTAGGAAGGCCAAGATTAAGTTACCAGCAGGTTGGTATCTGGTGAGGGCATGGTGGCCATTTCCAATATGGCACCTTGCTGCTATGTCCTCCCGGGGGGACCAGTGCTGTGTCTTCAAGTGACAGAGGGATGTAAGGGCAATGAAAGGGCCTAGCTCGTTCCTGCCAACCTTTTTATGAGGTTACTAATCCCATGCCCTCATGACTTAATGATGCCCCACCTCTTAATACTACCAGACTGGTGGTTAAGTTTTAACATATGAATCTTGGGGAACACATTCAGACCACAGCAGATATATTGTAGAAAAGAATAGTCCGTAAATTCCCAGCAGTAACACTTCGCATATTTTGCCTCTTATTACTTGGAGTATACTGTGTTTCATATGGCTTTTTAAACTTTGTAAAAACTGCAGCAAGTGCCTGATTACTTAGGGCTTCTTTATCTAGTGACAGACTATTTAGTCCATTAATTTTGTGCTGTACAACAGGAAAGAGAAAGAAAATGACTTCTGCAGAGACTGAATCATCTTTATGTCCTCTATGGTAGTTGGCACTTAGTAGATATTAAATAAAAAACAGGCTGGGCAAGATGGCTCATGCCTGTAATCCCAGTACTTCGGGAGGCTGAAGCAGGTGGATCACTTGAGCTCAGGAGTTCAAGACCAGCCTGGGCAACATGGTAAAATCCTATCTCTACAAAAACTATAAAAAGTAGCGGGATGTGGTGGCATGTGCCCATAGACCCAGCTACTTGGAAGGCTGAAGTGGGAGGATTGCTTGAGCCCGGGGGGTGGAAGTTGGACTGAGCCAAGGTCCAGCTCCAGCCTGGGCCACAGAGGGAGACCCTGTCTCAAAACAAACAAACAAACAAATCTCTTTAACTCCCAAAATGGAAAGTTCTCCAAGATATATGTTAAGTGATTAAAAAAAAAAAAAAAAAAAGGGCCAGCCTGGCATGCTGGCTCATGCCTGTAATCCCAGCACTTTGGGAGGCCGAGGAAGGCAGATCACCTGACGTCAGGAGTTCGAGACTAGCCTGACCAACATGGGGAAACCCCGTCTCTACTAAAAATACAAAATTAGCCAGGTGCGGTGGCGCATGCCTGTAATCCCAGCTACTCGGGAGGCTGAGGAGGAGAATCGCTTGAACCCAGGAGGCGGAGGCTGTGGTGAACCGAGATAGCACCACTGCACTCCAGCCTAGGCAACAAGAGCGAAACTCCATCTCAAAAAAAAAAAAAAAAAAAAAAAAGGAAACCGCATCTCTACTAACAATACAAAAATTAGCTGGGCAAGGAGCTAGGTGATTATAGTACCAGCTACTCAAGAGGCTGATGCAGGAGAATCACTAAACCGCATCTCTACTAAAAATACAAAACTTAGCCAGGCAAGGAGCTGGGTGACTATAGTACCAGCTACTCAAGAGGCTGATGCAGGAGAAACACTTGAACCCGGGAGGCGGAGTTTGCAGTGAGTTGAGATTGCACCACTGCATTCCAACCTGGGCAACAGTGCGAGACCCTGTCTCAAAAGAAAAAAATAATATAAAGTGACCAGGTGTGGTGACTCACACCTGTTATCCCACCACTTTGGGTGGAAGCAGGAGGATCACTGGAGCCCAGGAGTTTGAAACCAGCCTAGGCAACATAGTGAGACCCTGTCTCTATATTAAACACACACACACATGCACACACACACACACACACACACAAAGGCAGCCAGACTATGCACTAGGAACTGCCCTGGGAATCCCTTTGCGTTCTCACAACAATCCCATTTCACAGATGAAGAAACCAAGGCACAGAAATATTAAGTAATGTGTCCAGGTGCGGTGGCTCACGCCTATAATCCCAGTACTTTGGGAGGCTGAGGCAGGCAGATCACGAGGTCAGGAGTTCGAGACCATCCTGGCCAACATGGTGAAACCCTGTCTCTACTAAAAATACAAAAATTAGCTGGATGTGGTGGCAGGTTCCTGTAATTCCAGCTACTCAGGAAGCTGAGGCAGGAGAATTGCTTGAACCCGGGAGGCGGAGGTTGCAGTGAGCCGAGATCACACCACTGCACTCCAGCCTGGGTGACAGAGCAAAACTCCGTCTGAAAAAAAAAAAAAAAAAGAAGAAGAAGAAATACTAAGTAACTTGTCTGAGGCCACTTAGTTACCAAGACGTGGGAGCTGGGACTTGAACCCAGGCAGTCTGCAGTCTGACTGGATTCATGCCTGCAGCCTCTGCACTCCTGCTACTTACTGTGTGAGAAGCGCCTGTTCTGTGGAAGGTTGTGGGCTGAGATCTTTCCATGAGTTCCACTCATTTACCCCCAAGGCTGTTCTTAAAGGCAGGCATGACAGTTATGCCCATTTTACAGATGCGGCCCTGAGGCTCACAAGGGCACGCCACTCGCCCATTTCCACAAAGCTATAGCTCGTTAGCGGAGGGCAGAATTCGGCCGCCTCTCCCCTAGCTCGAAGGCTGTGATTGACACAGAGGTTTTTGTTGTTGTTGCTGTTGTTTGTTCTTTTTTCTTTTTTTTTTTTTTTGAGACAGGGTCTTGCTCTGTCATCCCGGCTGGAGTGCAGTGGTGCGATCTCAGCTCACTGCAAACTGCCTCCAAGATGCAAATGATTCTCATGCCTCAGCCTCCCAAGTAGCTGGAATTACAGGTGTGCACTACCACGCCCAGCTGTTTTTTGTAGAGATGGGGTTAGTAGAGATTTGTTTAATAGAGATGGGGTTTCACCATGGTCTCTACTAAACCCTGTCTCTACTAAAAATACAAAAATTACCCAGACGTGGTGGCACATGCCTGTAGTCCCAGCTACTCAAGAGGCTGAGGCAGGAGAATCACTTGAACCTGGGAGGTGGAGGTTGCAGTGACCCAAAATCATGCACTCTAGCCTGGGGTCTCGCTTTTGCCCAGGTTAGAGTGCAGTGGCACAATCACAGTGGCTCACTGCAGCCTCAAACTCCTGGGCTGAAGGGAATCCTCCCACCTCAGCCTCCCAAGTAGTTAGGACTATAGGCATGTGCCATCCTGGCGAGTTAATTTTTTGTGTGTTTTTATTCTCTCGAGACAGAGTCTTGCTCTGTTGCTCAGGCTGGACTGCAATGGCGTGATCTTGGCTCACCGCAACCTCCACCTCCGGGGTTCAAGCAATTCTCCTACCTCAGCCTCCCGAGTAGCTGGGATTACAGGTGCGTGCCACCATGCCTGGCTAATTTTGTATGTTTAGTAGAGACAGGGTTTCGCCGTGTTGGTCAGGCTGCTCTCGAACTCCTGACCTCGTGATCCACCTGCCTCGGCCTCTCAAAGTGTTGGGATTACAGGCATGAGCCACTGAGCCTGGCCTGGTGAGCTAATTTTTAAATTTGTTATAGAGACAAGAGAGACAAGAGTCTCTCTTATGTTGCCCAGGCTGGTCTCGATCCCCTGGCCTCAAGTGATCCTCCCACCTCAGCCTCCCAAAGTGCTGGGATTACAGATGGGTGTCACCGCACCTGGCCTCCGAGGAGGATTTCATTATAAACCTGCCCTGAAGGGAGGGAATCCAATTTTACGAGAGGGTGTAGCCTGGTGAGGCCTGGATGACCTCCGGAGGCAGGGGCTTGTGCCTGGGCTGAGGCCTAAGGGACAATGGGCAGACATGAAGTTGCCCCAGGCAGAGGGTACAGTGTGGGCAAAGTCAGGAAGTGGCAGGGCTTGGATCACTCCAGGAAGAGAGAGGAGTCATGTGTCACAGGAGCTCGAGACCCAGAGAGTGAGGCAGGCAGGCAGGGACCAAGCTTGGGCACAGCCAGGAAGGCAGGACAGGGCATGGTGGGGCCAATGGAATCATTACCCAAGACGGGCATTTTCAGGGAAACAGCTTAGATAAGGCCAGGCATACAGTAGCTCCCACCTGTAATCCCAGCATTTGGGGAGGCTGAGGTAGGAGGACTGCTTGAGCCTGGGAGTTCAAGACCAGCCTAGGCAACATAGACCCCATATCCACAAAAAATTTAAAAAAGGAGTTTGTGTTCCTGTAGTAGCATACTTGGGAAGTTGAGGTGGCAGTATCACTTGAGCCCGGGAGTTCAAGGCTAAAGTGAGCTGATTGAGCCATTGCACCCCAGCCTGAGCGACAGAGAGATATGCTGTCTCAAAGGAAATACAAATTAAAAAACCAGCCGGGCATGCTGGCGTGTGCCTGTAGTCTCAGCTACTTGGGACACTGAAGTGGAAGGATCGCTTGAGCCCAGGAGTTCAAGGCTGCCGTGAGCTATGATTGTGCCTCTGCAGTCCAGCCTGGGCGACTGCAGACTGCAGGACTTTTTTAAAGACCCTGTCTCTTAAAAAAAAAAAAATCTTAGATAAGAGGATGCTGTGCCTCCCTGGGGGTCTTCAGTCACCCATGGTCCTGGCAAGAGAGGAGGGCCAGGAGAGAGCTTCACCCACCTGCTGTCCTGCCCATGTGACATCCGCAGGTGCTGCCATGGCCACGACTGTTGTTACACTCGAGCTGAGGAGGCCGGCTGCAGCCCCAAGACAGAGCGCTACTCCTGGCAGTGCGTCAATCAGAGCGTCCTGTGCGATGAGTCCCCAGCAGCACCATGCCACCCACCCCGAGTATCCCCTGGGCACCCTGGCATAGCCAGATGACTTCCGTGCCCCTGTTGCAATAACCACTGCTTCCAAGTCTCTGTAGACCACCCCTTGGGTATATCTCATGTAAGTGATATTTATTTTATTTATATTTTTTGAGTCAGAGTCTCACTCTGTCACCCAGGCTAGAGTGTGCTGACGTGATCTTGGCTCACTACAACCTCTGTCTCCTGGGTTCAAGCGATTCTCATGCCTCAGCCTCCCAAGTGGCTAGGACTACAGACATGCACCATCACGCCCAGCTAATTTTTGTATGTTTTTCAGTAGAGGTGGGGTTTCACCAAGTTGGCCGGGCTGGTCTCAAACTCCCCACCTCAAGTGGTCTGCCCGCCTCGGCCTCCCAAAGTGCTGGGATTACAGGCATGAGCCATGGTGTCTGGCCCTAATGTGAGTGATCTTTAACACTGAGCACTTGAAAAAGAAAACCCTGAAGAAACCTAATTATTCGATGTCTGGACGACAAGGAAGAAGATAGAAATGGCATCAGATAATAAACAGTGTAAATGTTTGTTTATCAGAAAGGGGCTGGTGGTCGGGACAAGTAGGAGGATCGCTTGAGTCCAGGAGTGCATCTCTACAAAAAAGTTAAAGGATTTTTTAACATTGGCCAGGCGTGGTGGCACACATCTGTGATCCCAGCTACTTGGGAGGCTGAGGCAGGAGGATTGCTTGAAGCCCAGGAGGTTGAGGCTGCAGTGAGCTGTGATCGAGCCACTGCACTCCAGCCTGGGTGACACAGCAAAATCCAGTCTCAAAAAAAATAATAATAATATTTTACATAACCAACCACTTCTAAAGATTAAAAAAAAACCCCTATGATTAAAAACCTCAGGTCCCTCAGGCAATCATACCAGATATCGAAACAAAGCAATAACATAAGGACTGCAGTATTTATTTTATTTTTATATTATTTATTTATTCTTTGTTAGTTTTTGGAGTGTGGGTTTTGTTTTGTTTTTTGAATTTTTTATTTTGTTCTACTCGGTTTTATTCTTATTGCTCAGGCTTGAGTGCACTGGCCTCTTCTCAGCTCAACCTCCGCCTCTTGGGTTCGGGTGATGATGGTTCCACGTCAGCGGCCCTCCGCCTCTTGGGTTTGCGTGACGGTTCCACATCACCGACCCTCCGCCTCTTGGGTTCGGGTGATGATGGTTCCACGTCAGCGGCCCTCCGCCTCTTGGGTTTGCGTGACGGTTCCACGTCACCGACCCTCCGCCTCTTGGGTTCGGGAGGTGGTTCCATCTCAGCCGCCCTCTGCCTCTTGGGTTTGCGTGGTTTTTCTGCCTCAGCCTCCTGAGTAGCTAAGGGAGGTGTCTTGAGATTATCATCGGCTGAGGGTGGAAGCGGCCCCCGCAGACGCTCGGCAGGTGTCTTGATATTATCATCTGCTGAGGTTGGAGCTGAGGGTGGAAGGGGAGTGAGCTGACGCTCGGAAGGTGTCTTGAGATTATCATCCGCTGAGGGTGGAAGCGGCCCCCGCAGACGCTCGGCAGGTGTCTTGATATTATCATCTGCTGAGGGTGGAGCTGAGGGTGGAAGGGGAGTGAGCTGACGCTCGGAAGGTGTCTTGAGATTATCATCGGCTGAGGGTGGAAGCGGCCCCCGCAGACGCTCGGCAGGTGTCTTGATATTATCATCTGCTGAGGGTGGAGCTGAGGGTGGAAGGGGAGTGAGCTGACGTTTGGAAGGTGTCTTGAGATTATCATCGGCTGAGGGTGGAAGCGGCCCCCGCAGACGCTCGGCAGGTGTCTTGATATTATCATCTGCTGAGGGTGGAGCTGAGGGTGGAAGGGGAGTGAGCTGACGTTTGGAAGGTG
Source organism: Homo sapiens (assembly GCF_000001405.40). Lineage (NCBI taxonomy): Eukaryota > Metazoa > Chordata > Mammalia > Primates > Hominidae > Homo > Homo sapiens. The sequence goes on from NC_000016.10 coordinate 29,382,237, forward strand.
TCTTGAGATTATCATCCGCTGAGGGTGGAAGCGGAACCCACAGACGCTCCCCGCAGACGCTCGGCAGGTGTCTTGATATTATCATCTGCTGAGGGTGGAGCTGAGGGTGGAAGGGGAGTGAGCTGACGCTCGGAAGGTGTCTTGAGATTATCATCGGCTGAGGGTGGAAGCGGCCCCCGCAGACGCTCGGCAGGTGTCTTGATATTATCATCTGCTGAGGGTGGAGCTGAGGGTGGAAGGGGAGTGAGCTGACGCTCGGAAGGTGTCTTGAGATTATCATCGGCTGAGGGTGGAAGCGGCCCCCGCAGACGCTCGGCAGGTGTCTTGATATTATCATCTGCTGAGGGTGGAGCTGAGGGTGGAAGGGGAGTGAGCTGACGCTCGGAAGGTGTCTTGAGATTATCATCGGCTGAGGGTGGAAGCGGCCCCCGCAGACGCTCGGCAGGTGTCTTGATATTATCATCTGCTGAGGGTGGAGCTGAGGGTGGAAGGGGAGTGAGCTGACGCTCGGAAGGTGTCTTGAGATTATCATCGGCTGAGGGTGGAAGCGGCCCCCGCAGACGCTCGGCAGGTGTCTTGATATTATCATCTGCTGAGGGTGGAGCTGAGGGTGGAAGGGGAGTGAGCTGACGCTCGGAAGGTGTCTTGAGATTATCATCGGCTGAGGGTGGAAGCGGCCCCCGCAGACGCTCGGCAGGTGTCTTGATATTATCATCTGCTGAGGGTGGAGCTGAGGGTGGAAGGGGAGTGAGCTGACGCTCGGAAGGTGTCTTGAGATTATCATCCGCTGACGGTGGAAGCGGAACCCGCAGATGCTCAGCAGGTATCTTGATATTATCATCTGCTGAGGGTGGAGCTGAGGGTGGAAGGGGAGTGAGCTGACGCTCGGAAGGTCTCTTGAGATTATCATCCGCTGAGGGTGGAAGCGGAACTGCAGATGCTCGGCAGGTGTCTTGATATTATCATCTGCTGAGGGTGGAGCTGAGGGTGGAAGGGGAGTGAGCTGACGCTCGGAAGGTGTCTTGAGATTATCATCCGCTGAGGGTGGAAGCGGCCCCCGCAGATGCTCGGCAGTTGTCTTGATATTATCATCTGCTGAGGGTGGAGCTGAGGGTGGAAGGGGAGTGAGCTGACGCTCAGAAGGTGTCTTGAGATTATCATCCGCTGAGGGTGGAAGCGGCCCCCGCAGATGCTCGGCAGGTGTCTTGATATTATCATCTGCTGAGGGTGGAGCTGAGGGTGGAAGGGGAGTGAGCTGACGCTCAGAAGGTGTCTTGAGATTATCATCGGCTGAGGGTGGAAGCGGCCCCCGCAGACGCTCGGCAGGTGTCTTGATATTATCATCTGCTGAGGGTGGAGCTGAGGGTGGAAGGGGAGTGAGCTGACGCTCAGAAGGTGTCTTGAGATTATCATCCGCTGAGGGTGGAAGCGGCCCCCGCAGATGCTCGGCAGGTGTCTTGATATTATCATCTGCTGAGGGTGGAGCTGAGGGTGGAAGGGGAGTGAGCTGACGCTCAGAAGGTGTCTTGAGATTATCATCCGCTGAGGGTGGAAGCGGCCCCCGCAGACGCTCGGCAGTTGTCTTGATATTATCATCTGCTGAGGGTGGAGCTGAGGGTGGAAGGGGAGTGAGCTGACGCTCGGAAGGTGTCTTGAGATTATCATCCGCTGAGGGTGGAAGGGGATGGAGCAGACACTCGGCACGTGTCTTGAGATTATCATCCGCTGAGGGTGGAGCTGAGGGTGGAGCTGAGGGTGGAAGGGGAGTGAGCAGACACTCGGGAGGTGTCTTGAGATTATCATCCGCTGAGGGTGGAAGGGGAGTGAGCAGACACTCGGGAGGTGTCTTGAGATTATCATCCGCTGAGGGTGGAAGGGGAGTGAGCAGACACTCGAGAGGTGTCTTGAGGCTCAGGGAGTTATCAGTTATACAATGTTGTTGAGTTGGAGGAGGTGGCTGGTGGCCCATCCTGTTTTTTAAAGTTTCAGCTGTGAGGTAGGGCCAGTAGGGCAATCCTGAAGAATGACGATGCTCCGCTGCCGCCATTCTGACCTGTAGGGCCAAAGGAGGGAATGTTTTCACACATATTCATTTGATGGACAAAATTACCGCCACCAACACAGTCTGCACCTTCTGTTGCTGGTGATAGATTTTTGCACCTTTCCATCCTCCAGGTTTCAAAATAGCAGTATCAGTGTCATAATATCACCCTTCCACTGAGTACTGCCGACAGCTGGAGGGTAAAGGAAAGTCATTGGGACACACTGTTGTCTCCACATGCCACTGTGTCTGTCTGCAAATGTAGGCAGGCTGGGGTCCTGCCCCAGGGAAGACAGAGTCATAACAGAGTAATAAAGAAGCATGTTTGAGACACAGGAGTGTCTATGTCTATCCTCATTCCTCCCTCACAGCCATCACCAGAGCATGTTTCTTGCACCAGGTCAACAGACAGTAAGAGACAGTAAGAGAGGCATGAAAAGCCCACTGTCCACACATGTTGCAGCTTCTTTTTGGAGAATGTTTTCCAGGCCTTTTATGTTCTGTCTCTGATTCTCAGAACTCTGCAAGGTCAGTGTGACCACCCTGCTCCAAATCTAAGAAAACAGAGGTTTCCAGAGGAAGGAGAAATTGTGCCCAGGGTCACACAGCTTGCAAGAGGCAGAGTGGAAGTTGATTCCAGCTCTGCCTGCAGGACCCTCTCATTTCCCCTCTGTTTCCCTTCTTGACAAAGGATCTTCTTCACTCTGGAGGTGCCACCCATGAGAACAAAGAGCTCTGGAGAGATGTGGATTCCTGAAGAGCTGCAGGGGAACTGGGAGAGGGTTTTCTGACAGAACAATCTCACCTCAAGAAGTCACTTAGGCATGGCTGTAATATTTCTTTTCACTCCCAGGTAATACCAAATTGTAAGTGCACTAGGACATAAAGAATACTTTTGTCCATGGAAAAATGAGGTGGGAATTCTAAACAAAGCAAGTTTTAAAACTGTGTTTCACTTCAAGTGTACAAGTCCCATCACGTGTAATCATAGGACTCGGCAGCTTTTGAAGGTACAGAGGCCACACAAGAACCAGCTTAGCTGAGCATCATTTAAGGCCTTCATTTGGAATTGTCCCTGTGGGTAATAAGTTACATTCACTCTTCACTAGTTTACAGTCAGGGCCCATCTGCTATTACAAATACGGAACCTCTGACACTTAGAATATTAGATCAGGGGCCCCACTGGGTGGGGATGAAGGTGTTTTTGCGCAACACGGTTACCAACAGGGATGGGACTGTGATGCTTGTAGGCAGCCTTTCTCTCTGCCATCTCCCTCTGCAGGGCTTGAGCACAGAGCTGTAGGGAGAAAAATGTATCCATGTCCTGACCTGGCAGACTATGTCCAAAAGCAAGGAAAACAAGCAAACTTACCCAGTTGCAAAGAGCCTTTCTTGCAGAAGGGGGGATCTGAAAAAGCCAACACATGAGAAATTGAATGTTGAGAGAGTCTAAGGGCCGTGGCATCATCTGCATCAGCACTGAACTATCCTGCAACTGCAGGGAGGAAGCTCCTTACTTTGCATTTGTGGTAGTCCTCTGCCCGCCGCCGCAACTCTTGCGCACGTTGAAACATTTTCCTATGGATTACAATCACTTTCATCAGATAAAGCACCACTTTCAGGATGATTTTAAATAATCTGCCATGTTTCTGTTATCCTCACAACTGTACCCTTACACAATCTATCTCTACCTAGAAAACGTATTTCAGATGGCTATAAGAGTACAGTCTGAGCCGGTCACGGTGGCTGACGCCTGTAATCCCAGCACTCTGGGAGGGCGGGGCAGATGGATCACGAGGTCAGGAGATTGAGACCATTGTGGCTAATATGGTGAAACCCCTTCTCTACTAAAAATACAAAAAATTAGCCAGGCGTGGTGGCAGGCACCTGTAATCCCAGCTACTCGGGAGGCTGAGGCAGGGGAATCACTTGAACCTGGGAGGCGGAGGTTGCAGTGAGCCAAGATCACGTCATTGCACTCCAGCCTGGGTGACACAGCGAGACTCCATCTCAGAAAAACAAAAACAAAAACAAAAAAACTGTACAGTCTGATCCAAACTGTTGCTGTATTGATTCCTCCTCTTGCTTACTGCCTGCTGACTTCTGAGATGATAGTTTCCTTCCCCATTCTCAGTACATCCCTAATTCATCCTTCATTGAGCATCTTTTATCATAAAGCTGTATTCTCTTTGTATTAATATCCTTACCGTGTTTCACAGGGCAGAAACAGCTGGGCTTATAAACAGGCATAGTCCTTTTGAAGGATGTGGTTGATCCTACAACAACACACTTTCCTAAGGATGACAACAACTCACCCCACCCCTAGAATGGCTGGTATGAACCGAGTTTCCACATAGTCTAGCTGGCAATGGGGTCAGGAGACGTTTTGCTACTTCACATCTTTTGGTCACTGGTAAATATTAAGGTACTTTGTTTTCTGTTTTGTGAACTCTCTCTCGCTCTCTCTCACGATATGTCTTCTGACCGTTTGTTTCTATTTCTGCATTTACTGGGTCTAAATACTGTACAAAGGTTAAAAACAACACTCCAATGGGCGTTTCCCAGGAGGGTGGGGTTCAGTTTCTGAACTCACTTGTAGGTGTGTATTTCTTTCATATCCAATTTCCCATTTTCCTCTGCCTCTGATACCTGCCTCTCCTTTTCTGCATGCTCACATTCTTTCACGCTTAGTTTCCTCAGATTAGAAGGGAGAGAAATGCACACACATGATCCACCAGCCCGTGTGGGATTCCCTCTGCCCTTCTGGCATCTGAAGGCTGTGATTCAAAGATCCCCCCTGCAACCTTCCCACAAATGAACCAACTGATTCTCACAACCGAAGGGAGAATTGACACCTCCCATTGAGGGACAAAAAAAAGTCACACTCTGGCCTGCTGGCAAGTCACCTGTCATTTCCAGCTCATCTTCATAGTTCCATAGTTAGTCCTATTCTTTAGTAAATATAAAGACTATTAAAAGCTTCTATGAGGTGCACTATGTGTGTCTCTGGGGTCAGTCTTGTGCTTGACACAGCGAAAGCTCATTTTAGTTCAGTGTGAAAAACCAGACCTCACCAATTCATCACAACTAACTCCATCGGAAGCAGAGGATTGCTCCTCATCTGACTCCTCCTGTGTGAGACCTGATTCTCAGTCAGAGGCTGATGCCAGAACTGAGACCATCAGCCATAGAGAGATCCTTCCAGAATAACCCCGCAGTTCACTACTGCACTTTGCCATGATTCAGGACTGGAACTCTTGTCATCGACTTTAAAGATCCTGGTTGAGAGAAAAGGCAATCTGAATGCTGGGCGCATCTATTGAATTAGAAATGATCGGAATGGCTCCTAAGTCAGGGTGTTATGTCCTGAAAATAGGTGACAACGGCAAACCATCCACCCTGGTGTTGACTGACTTTAACAAGGTTCAGTTCACAGAGATTGAGGGCAGAAAAAGGAAACGGCCTAAAAAGGGTAAGTTTGCTGTGTTGCCCTCACACCACTTGATTCATGGTCCTGATCCTAAGGATCTCACCTGATACTTGGTTTTATAGGAAGGATGTGTAAAATTCCCAGAACGCTAGGAAACAGGGGCGAAAACACTTCAAAGAGAAAGTTAATGAACTTGTTTCTGACCACAAGGCATCCTTCAGCACATGCTGTCTGGAGTGGCCTCAAACAAGGAGTGTGTGGTGTGGTGCTGAGAATGCAATGGGAGCAGGGTCCTGTCCCCACGCTAAAGAAGCTCACAGCTTAATGCAAATGAGAAGCCAGTGAGGACATCACTACTCCTGCTGTGCACTTGGGAACTAGAAACACAAAACCTGACTCTGGAGGGAAGCTAAGGAAGCATTCTACTCTTGAGTTGACATAAGTGCATCTGAAGCTTCTGATCTCCGATGAGAACAATGGGGGACACCAAACAGAATATAAAACCCATGATTGAATACATCAAATTGCTAACATGGCAGTAAACAGACATGAGGTGAAGATGGAGAAGAAGGAAACCCAGGACGAAAGTCAGCCTCGCATTTGGAACCCATTTCCCTGAGTTTCATTGCTGAATTCCAGAAGGAACTACTGAGATGCAAAGAAGCACAGCAGCTTTTGCACACATGCGTGGGATTAGATGGAAAACAAGTGGATTGAGGGTCTGCCAATGAAAGCGACCCATACTGAAGTCCACTGGCTCTGGTTGAGACCCAGAAGAGTCATGCATCAGAATAAAGGTGGACAGGAAATACCCTGGCCTTTGTAGGGACTGAGCCTGCACCGACGACCTCAATTGCAGCCTGTATGGAGGACCCCTGACCATCCCCCAGAAGTAGACTCCCATCTCTTCTGCAGCAAGATAACATGCTACTAGGCCTCAATTCATTGCTAAACATTTTTTAACAAGTATCTCACATTTAACAAAAAAAGATCAGTCATATGGCAGCAAAATACAATGTCATATGACCAAAACATGAAAGACTGTGAAAATGAATCTGGAGGTGACCCAAGCATTGAATTCAACAATCCAGGCTGGGTGCGGTGGCTCACACTGGGAGGCTGAGGTAGGCAGATCACCTGAGGTCAGGAGTTCAAGACTAGCCTGGCCAACATGGTGAACCCGTCTCTACTAAAAATACAAAAATTGGGCCGGGCACGGTGGCTCACGCCTGTAATCCCAGCACATTGGGAGGCCGAGGTGTGCGGATCATGATGTCAGGAGTTCTAGACCAGCTTGGCCAATATGGTGAAACCCCGCCTCTACTAAAAATACAAAAATTATCCGGGCATGGTGGCATATGTCTGTAGTCCCAGCTACTCAAGAGGCTGAGAGATAAGAATCGCTTGAACCTGGGAGGTGGAGGTTGCAGTGAGCCAAGATCATGCCACTGCACTCTAGCCTGGGTGACAGAGTGAGACTCTGTCTCAAAAAAAAAAAAAAAAAAAAATTGGTCAAATGTGGTGGCACACAGCTGTAATCCAAGCTACTCGGGAGGCTGAGGCAGAATTGCTTCAAACTGGGAGGCAGAGGTTGCAGTGAGCCAAGACTGCACCATAGCACTCCAGCCTGGGCGACAGAGCGTGACTCTATCTCAAAATTAAAAAAAAAAAAAAAAAAAAAAAAGGCTGGCTGTGGTGGCTCACGCCTCTAATCCCAGCACTTTGGGAGGCTGAGGCAGGTGGATTACCTGAGGTCAGAAGTTCGAGACCAGCCTGGACAACATGGTGAAACCCCATCTCTAGTAAAAATACAAAAATTAGCTGGGCGTGATGGTGGGCACCTGTAATCCCAGCTACTTGGGAGGCTGAGGCAGGAGAATTGCTTGAACCCAAAAGGCAGTGAGCTGAGATTGTGCCATTGCACTACAGCCTGGGCAACAACAGCAAAGCTCCATCTCAGGAAAAAAAAAAAAAAAAAAAAAAAAAAAAAAGAGAAAGGAAAACCAATGCCAGTACTAGCAACTCCTCTTCCCCCGAAAAAATTACAAACAAGAATGTAGGAAGGGAAAGGAATTATACAGCTTAAACTAATGAAGCAGAAAGGACAAACTCAATTTTGAACCTACTGAATTTGCCACAAATATTGTAGAAAATATTCTCAAGGACTTTACAGTTGTCTACTTTGATTGGCACATGGTTCCTACAACAGTATTTGTGTCAAGGCACATCTTACTGTTTTCTGGCGGTCTTCCTCTTTCCATTGATTTTGTCATGACGGTTGATTTTCGTTGTCACCTTCCTCTTACGGATTTTAGCTCTAACTTTTGTTTCCACATGCCTCCGTAGAGTAATGACGTCTTTCAGGCCAATTTTATTTCCTCGAAAGGAAGAAACTCTTTTCTTTGTGTGCATACAAATGGACCTCAGCCCTTGGTGAGAGTGAGGAGAGGAGAAGGTGAGAAACCTGAGGGCAAGAAGCTGTTCTTTCCCTTTCCAGGGCAAACTCATTTCCACACTATGCGGATTCCAACAGAGCCATACCTTCCTGTCTACGGCGGTTGGACCTCCAGGCTCTCTGCTGTACATCCGTGGATCCATCATGTCCATTTCGAGACCAGAAGATAGTCTTCAGGAGAGACACCTAGGAAATAATAATATAAGAATGACGGCTGGGCACGGTGGCTCATGCGTATAATCCCAGTACTTCGGGAAGCTGAGGCAGGTGGATCACGGGGTCAGGAGCAAGACCAGCCTGGCCAAGATGGTGAAACCCCATCTCTACTAAAAATACAAAAATTAGCCGGGCATGGCAGCGGGCGCCTGTAATCCAAGCTACTCGGGAGGCTGAGGCAGAGAACCGTTTGAAGCTGGGAGGCGGAGGTTGCAGTGAGCCGAGATCACACCACTGCACTCCAGCCTGAGCGACAGAATGAGACTCTGTCACATACACACACACACACACAAGAATGACATGAGGCTGGCACAGTGGCTCACTCCTGTAATCCCAGCACTTTGGGAGGCTGAGGCAGGCGGATCACCTGAGGTCGGGAGTTTGAGACCAGCCTCACCAACATGGAGAAACACTGTCTCTGCTAAAAATACAAAATTAGCCAGGCATGGTGGTGCATGCCTGTAATCCCAGCTAGTCGGGAGGTTGAGGCAGGATAATCACTTGAACCCAGCAGGAAAAGGTTGTGGTGAGCTGAGATTGTGCCATTGCACTCCAACCTGGGCAACAAAATTGAAACTGTCTCAAAAAAAAAAAAAAAAAAAAAAATAGGCCACCTGCGGTAGCTCATGCCTGTAATCCCAACACTTTGGGAGGCCGACGCGGGTGAATCACAAGGTCAAGAGATGGAGACCATCCTGGGCAACATGGTGAAACCCCGTCTCTACTAAAAATACAAAAATTAGCTGAGCATGGTGATGCACGCCTGTAGTCCCAGCTACTCGGGAGGCTGAGGCAGGAGAACTGCTTGAACCCAGGAGGCAGAGGTTGCAGTGAGCCAAGATCCCACCACTGCACTCCAGCCTGGTGACAGAGTGAGACTCCGTCTCAAAAAAAAAAAAAAAAATGACATGAATATACTTCACACAACTGAACTGTACACTTCAACACGGTTAGATGGTAATTATCATCTTATAAGTATTTTACCACAGGTTAACATGTTTCACAACTTGAAAAGGAAGTAATTACCTTCAGCTCTCTGAGTTCTAGAATTTGTAACATTTCACCCCCTGCTCCTTCCTGATCTGCACTGGAGCATCTTCCTTCTGTCCCTGCTCTACTCAGAGTTCACTTTCCCTTCCCTCACATCAGCTTCATTGAGGCTGGTTTGAACTTAACGCAAAACATTCTCACTAATGACTGAATTCCCACCAAGATTTCCATATTATCACAGTATGCTTTTAATCTTCTAAGACATTAAATATTTCTTCTCATCATAGCGAAAATGCAATGCAAATCCCATCTCAGATGTCGGTCAGATACCTATGAATCTCCTGAGGTAGTCATTGAAATGACTTTTTTCTTGAGATGGAGTGTCACTCTCAACCATGCTGAAGTGCAGTGGCGCTACCTTGGCTCACGGCAGCCTCCACCTCCCAGATTCAAGCGATTCTTGTGCCTCGGCCTCCCAAGTAGCTGGGATTACAGGTGCCTGCTACCATGCCTGGCTAATTTTTGTCTTTTTAGTAGAGATGGGGTTTCACCATGTTGGCCCATCTGGTCTTGAACTCCTGACCTCAAGTCATCCACCTGCCTCAGCCTCCCAAAGTGCTGGGATTACAGGCATGAGCCACCACACCTGGCCTGAAATAATCTTTCAAATTCTTTGTAGAATTTGTTTTTTCCTGATTTCTGCACATAGGATAAAAAAAAAATCATGTACTAGGATTTCGAGAGAAGCAATGGGTAATCTAAAAAGATGAAAAGAGCAACCACGTCAATCCCACAGCTACTGCTAGATTTCATAGGAAAGGTAGCTGGCCCAGTTTGGAGCTAGGAGAAATGTCAAACACATGAAGAAATGACAAGCAAGGAAATGCCATCATGCATGAATGCTTCATGGCACCCATGATGTCCCTGCTTAGGAGGTAATGGTATAGATGACTAGATGACAAGGACAAAGATGAGAGGTGCGAAGTTGTCCAAGTCCAACAGCTCAACTGAACTTTCCTAAGTGGAATTGTTAAAAAGTGGTAAATTTAAAAACTTCCCCTGGCTCACGTGGTGGCTCACGCTTGTAATCCCAGCACTTTGGGAGGCTGAGGCGGGTGGATCATTTGAGGTCGGGTTTTGAGACTAGCCTGGCCAACATGGTAAAACCCCGACTCTACTAAAAATACAAAAATTTGCTGGGCATGGTGGTGGGCACCTGTAATCCCAGCTACTTGAGAGGCTGAGGCAGGGGAATCGCTTGAAGCCAGGAGGTGGAGGTTGCAGTGAGCCGAGGTCACACCATTATACTCCAGCCTGGGCAACAGAAGGAGACTCGTCTTCGGGGTGAGAAAAGAAAAAAAAAAAAGAAAAAAGCTTCCTCCAATTTATACCGAAAATTCTCTGTTCAGGACTAAGTGGCATAGAGAATGTTAAATGTGCCTAGATATCTTCATAACTCATATATTTTCTGTTTTCTACATATCTTGAAAGGCAGTGCCAAATGACGTGTAATTATCTAGGTGGTAAAACTGAAACATACTTCCTCTTCCCTTGAATATAAAAAAGCATTGTGGTATTAGTACTTTTATCTTGGATCATTGTTCAGAAGGAGGTTCAGCCCCCAGACAACCACATTTTTACTGTCATGAATGGCAAGACAAAATGTAGAGCTCAACTTACCCAAAGGAAAAAAGGCTCAAAAGACAAATTATGGTACAACTTAGCAGCCAAATTCTTACCAAGTACAGACTTTTGACATACTGATCTCTCTCCAGTTCCAAGTCGGAACATGCACTTTGAATGATGTCATTCAAAATTACCCTGCCCAGACACACTTTTCATTGATTCTCTTGGAGGGCAGTTCTAAGAGTCTCTGGGGCTTTCTCTGCATCATGAGACGCAGAGCAGTTCTGCCCTTCACCTTCCGGCAGTTTGTCACCTCGTCCCTATGACCTCAGAGGAACTTTGTCTCAGGCCAATTGTTTGTTCCTTGGCCTCTTTCATTTCCCCTAAAAATCATTTGCTGCCCCTCTAAATGGCCTACATCTCCATCTATCTCCCTCTCCCCTCAGAAGAGGGTGCTCTTTAAGCATCAACCACCCGGCAGTTCTAGCAGTCTCATTTTTCAGCTGGTTCCCATGTTTATGCCTGTTCTATGTTTTTCTTTTCCTGTTAAGCTGTCTGTTGTCAGCTCATTTCTGCAGTGAATCTTCAGAGAGGAGATTGGAAGCTTTCCTTCCACCCATACGATAGAACTATAAAGCAGAAGAGTTTAGAAAGAATTTCCTATTTAAGTGACGAAACCTCATACTCCATTTGTGATAAATAGCACAAAGGTTAAAAAAACTTATTTTTGACCAAAAGCTCTGTTGACATTCTATTAAACAAACAGTGACCTATTTAATTTTCATAACGCAAATGGCAGATATTTTCATAATTCTTATGCTAATAAATCATTTCCCTGATTTTTTGGGTAAAACCACATATTCATAATGAAGTCCAGAAATGTGAATTGTTTTATATAATTTATTCTTATTTGTGATTACAAGTATACCTCTACAGAAAGTTAGTATACTCACCCAAAGGTAAACTATCCAGAGGGTAATGACAACTTTATAACTTGTCGGAAACGCAATAATAATATGTAACCAAGGACTTCCACCAAAGTCAGTCCCACGATGATGATGGTCAGCCAGAGTATTGATAACCTGGAATAATAATAGTTGAAATAATGAAAAGGTCAATGACACTGACAATATTTCACTCAGAAAGAATCATCCTTAGAAACCGTCAACCTCCTCCAAAAGGTAACCACATCCCTCAGATATCACCGTGGGATTCCACTGCTACAAAAAAGAACAGAAGTTAGAAGTCACATGTTTTTCAGATGGCTGGTAGTGTTTTCAGGCACTGCAAATGTGGGGTGTTGTCTTTCTTGGTATAAAGCAGGGATATCCAATCTTTTGACTTCCCTGCCTATATTAAAAGAAGCAAAGTTGTCTTGAGCCACACATAACATACACAAACACTAACAATAGCTGATGATCTAAAAAAAAACCTCTTTTTTTTTTTTTTTTTTGAGACAGAGTTCCGCTCCACTCAGTCGCCCAGGCTGGAGTGAAGTGGTGCAATCTTGGCTCACTACAACCTCCAGCTCCTGGGCTCAAGCCATTCTCCTGCCTCAGCCTCCCGAGTAGCTGAGATTACAGGTCTCTGCCACCATGCCCGACTCATTTTTGTATTTTTAGTAGAGATGAGGTTTCACCATGTTGGCCAGTCTGGCCTTGAACTCCTGACAGGCGATCTGCCTGCCTCAGCCTCCCAAAGTGCTGGGATTACAGGTGTGAGCCACCGTGCCCAGCCATTTTTTTGTTTTTGTTTTTGTTTGTTTTTTTGAGATGGGGTCTCACTCTGTCACCCAGGCTGGAGTGCAGTGGTGTGCTCTCGGCTCACTGCAACCTCTGCCTCTCAGGTTCAAGTGATTCTCCTGCCTCAGCCTCCTGAGTAGCTGGGAGTACAGGTGCCTGACAGTGCACTCAGCAAATTTTTGTATTTTTTGTGGAGATGGGGTTTTGCCATGTTGGTCAGGGTGGTCTCGAACTCCTGACCTCAGGTAATCTGCCCGCCTCAGCCTCCCAAAGTGCTGGGATTACAGGCATGAGCCACTGTACCTGGCCAAAATCTCCTAATGTTTTAAGAAAGTTTACAAATTTGTGTTGAACTGCATTCAAAACTGTCCTGGGCCACATGCAGCCCGTCACTCATGGCTAAGACAAGCTAAGTATAAAGTAATTATCTTTTCTTTTTGTTTGGAGACAAAGTCTTGCTCTGTCACCCAGGCTAGATTGCAGTGGCATGATCTCAGCTCACTGCAACCTCCGCCTCCCGGGTTCAAGCGATTCTCCTGCCTCAGCTACTGAGTAACTGGGATTACAGGCGCCTGCCACCGCACTCGGCTAATTTTTGTATTTTGAGTAGAAACAGGGTTTCACCATCTTGGCCAGGCTGGTCTCCAACTCGTGACCTCTTGATCCACCTGCCTCGGCCTCCCAAAGTGCTGGGAATACAGGTGTGAGCCACTGCACCTGGCCAGTAGTTATCTTTTCTTTAAAGTTATTTACTTGTTTTTTAAATTGATGTATAACATTGGATGCATTTATTATATATCACATGGTAAAAGAATCCCTCTAAATAATACTTCTCTCTTGGATTATATGAATCTTTGTCATTTAAAGCTCAGCATAAGTAAAAAAAAAAAAAAATACAATGAAGAGATTACTTCATTCACAAATAAGTATCAAATTTTAGTGCTTAAAAATTAACAAGGTGGGCCGGGCGTGGTGGCTCACGCCTGCAATCCCAGCACTTTGGGAAGCCGAGGTGGGTGGACCACGAGATCAGGAGATTGAGACCATCCTAGCTAACACGGTGAAACCCATCTCTACTAAAAATACAAAAAATTAGCAGGGCATGGTGGCACGCGCCTATAGTTCCAGCTACTTGGGAGGCTGAGGCAGAAGAATCACTTGAACCCGGGAGGCAGAGGTTGCAGTGAGCCGAGATTGCACCACTGCACTTCAGCCTGGGTGACAGAGCGAGACTCTGTCTCAAAAAAAAAAAAAAAATTACCAAGGTGGAGATCATGAAAATGGCATGAATAGTGTGGGATTTCTCTAAGATTGTTGATATTAATTCCATTAGACTCTTATGTGAGTGAAGACGAAGACTTCCCCTGAGTAAGTTCAGACAGCTTGTGATAACATTTCTACGTCGATTCCTCAGGATTTAACTATATATTCTTGAAAACATCTCAATTTTAAATGTTTCTTTCAAGATGGTGAATTAAACAGAGATAGCCCTTCAACAGGTGGAACTCAGCATATGCTGAGTCTGAAATGGAAATGATGAAGTTAGAGAACCATACAACAATGGTAATGATTTCAGAAACATGGTGTTGAGCAGAACAAAGCAGACACAAAAGAGTACCTATGGCATGGCATGCATCTGTATACGCGAAATTCCAGAATAAGCAAGCTAACCTATGATAAGAAAGAGACTGGCTGGGAAGACTGAGAGTTCACTTTCTGGGGTGACATAATAGTGTAGATCTTGGCTGGGCACGGTGGTTCACGCCTGTAATCCCAACGCTTTGGGAGGCCGAGGCGGGCGGATCACCTGAGGTCAGGAGTTCAAAACCAGCCTGACCAACATGGAGAAACCCTATCTCTACTAAAAATACAAAATTAGCTGGGAGTGGTGGCACATGTCTGTAATCCCAGCCACCCGGGAGGCTGAGGCAGGAGAATCGCTCAAACCTGGGAAGCAGAGGTTGCGGTGAGCTGATATTGCCCCATTGCACTCCAGCCTGGGCAACAAGGGAGAAACTGTCTCAAAAAAATAAATAAATAAATAAAATAATGTAGATCTTGAAAGGGGGTCGGTTTATGCTGGTGTATGTACTTTCCAAAGTTAGTAAACTTACACTTAAGGTTATATATTTTGGCCAGGCGCGGTGGCTCACGCCTGTAATCCCAGCACTGGGAGGCTGAGGCAGGCGGATCACGAGGTCAAGAGATGGAGACTATCCTGGCGAACATGGTGAAACCCCGTCTCTACTAAAAACACAAAAATTAGCCAGGCGTGGTGGTCTACTAAAAATACAAAAATTAGCCAGGCGTTGTAATCTGAGCTACTCAGGAGGCTGAGGCAGGACAATTGCTTGAACCCCGGAAGCGGAGGTTGCAGTGAGCCGAGATCTTGCCACTGCACTCCAGCCTGGGCGACAGAGTGAGACTCTGTCTAAAAAAAAAAAAAAGTCATCAAACCAGATGACACAAATCAAATGACATTTCACTTTGTTTTGGTCCACTTTGTTTGTTAGAGACAAGAGTGCAGCGGGGCCATCTCGGCTCACTGCAACGTCCAGCTCCTGGGCCCAAGCGATCCTCCCACCTCAGCCTCTCCAGTAACTGGGATAACAGGTACGCACCACCAGGCCCGACTAATCTTTTTTGGAATTTTTTGTAGAGATGGGGTTTCGCCATGATGCCCTGGCTAGTCTTCAACGCCTGGACTCAAGTGATCTGCCCACCTCGGCCCCCTAAAGTGCTGGGATTACAGGCCTGAGCTGTGTAATTTCATGCCGCGTGACACAGCCCAGTAAAAAGGAAGAAACCCCGAGGGTCCAGCGTCTACTCACACGGATGCACTGATGGCTGATAAATTCCAGCAGGAGCCCAAAGAGGAGCCAAAAGAGCATCCACCGCCCCCGCATGTCCTGGTCCTTTCAGGGCGCCCTGAGGCGTCCAGGACAGAGGTGGAGGTGGCTTAGGGCAGGGGGGAGGGAAGGGGACGGGGACCGGGCCCGGATCTGAGTTGGGGAGGGGGAGGGGAGGGGGAGGGGGAAGGGAAGGGGAGGGGAAGGGGGGAAGTAAGGGAAGGGAAAGGAGGAGAAGGGGGCTGTTGGGCACCTGGAGGAGGAGAAGAAGAAAGGGGTCTGGGAAAGGATCCGGTTCAAATTAAGTTCTCAAGCGCTGGTGGAAGGTTTAGCTACAGGTCACGGAGAAGATCAGGGAAGCAACAGGACACGCGGGGCAAGGGAGCGTGAGGCTTAGGAGCAATTAGAGGGAGACAAAAAGGTTCTGCTATCCGCCAAACCTTCTTCGGTCTGGGCCCTCCCTTAGCAAACCTGGGGCTTTATACTCCCTCTCCACCAATCCCTGATGACCCCGGTGGTGCCTCACAATGGACAATGCCAAGTAGCGCCCGCATCATTCCAATGACCCCTCCCCCATCTCAGTCTCCCACACTCCTCGCAAGGACAGGTCCTCTCTGGAACCTTCACAAACCTGATTTCTGGTCCTCCCCAACCAGCTCCCTGTCCCTGCTTCTGGGCGCTCCTTCCTTCCTGAGCTCCCAGGGTTCCTCAAGGTCACTTTTGGCGACAAAACATAAAAAACAAATGATGGCAGGATGGCAGGAAGAACCTCATACCCAAGCAGAGTGCCAGGTTTTACAGCCTCCGCTCAGCCATTCATATCCTAAGCAACAAAACATCAGCAGGGTGCGGAAGGTCCCGATAGTAAACCATCTCCATCACATCCATGTAGCCATCCGTCCATCAACCTGTATCTCAGGAACAAATGTAGATACATTCATTTTAAGCATGCATGGTACATTTACAAAAATTAACCTGACTTATTTTGTTCCAGCAAATCTCAATATATTTGAGAGCAATCAAATCACACAGCATGTTTCTGATCATGTAACTGTGCTAGAAGTCAATGATTAAAAGCTAATTCAAAATTATTATTTGCTTGGAAATTCAAAGTGCCCTTATAAGACATAAACATAAGAAAGAATCCAAAATGAAACAAGATTGCCTTTCAACTCAATGATAAGATCATAACATGGCAATAAAATGTCTCCCTCTGGCCTGGGAATTCCTCTTTGTGGCACAAGGTTGTGTGATCTCAAATCCCCCCTAACCCACCTAGACATTTTAACATCCGAAACCGAGTGATGATGTCCTTATCTATAATCATCTTACTGCCTGTGTGTGTGGACTTTAAATTCTGAACCCAAATGAGGGGGAGAAAACCAAGTTGACCTTCATGATTGACCTCTCAGGGATGTCCAAGGAATCTGTGCATTTCAAGAAACAAAGTTCATCAGCTTCTCTCCTAAGGTATTTGCCCACAATACCCAGAGGGCTTGGCAGCATCATGTGTGATGGGTGGGGAGCTCCAAGCAGGTGGGCAGGACCCAGGGGTCTGGTGACCAGGACAGACCCCCACTGTCCATCACCTTTCCTGGCCCTGTCCTCAGTTAAACTTCCCACAGGGCTTCTGCCCGATCACACAGAGTGTGCCCAAACTCACTCAGGCCTCTGGCAGCTGAAAACCACTGCTTTAAATCCCTTTACCATTTACTATGACATAAGGTTATTGTAAACAGGAAATATTCTATTGATGCTACAAATGGAAAGCCAATGCCTTTACCATAAATAGAAAAACAACCCTAAGAAACAAGCAAAACAAAAACAAAACAGGGGCTGGGTGTGGTGGCTCACGCCTGTAATCCCAGCACTTTGGGAGGCCGAGGTGGGTGGATCACAAGGTCAGGAGTTCCAGACCAGCCTGGCCAATATGGTGAAACCCTGTCTCTAATAAAATACAAAAATTAGCCGGGTGTGGTGGTGGGCGCCTTAGTCCCACCTACTTGGGAGGCTGAGGCAGGAGAATAGTTTGAACCCAGGAGGCAGAGTCTGCAGTGAGCCGAGATTGCACCACTGCACTCCAGCCTAGGAGACAGAGCGAGACTCTGTCTCAAAAACAGCAACAACTACAAACAAACAAAAAACAGGGTTAACAAAACTATGGAATTCAATTCTATTTATATGCTGCAGCCATGTTCCAGCCCTAGATTTGGCTGGGCATGGTGGCTCACGCCTGTAATCCCAGCACTTTGGGAGGCTGAGGCAGGCGCATCACGAGGTTAGGAGTTCGAGACCAGCCTGACCAACATGGTGAAACCCCGTCTCTACTAAAAATACAAAAATTAGCCAGGCACGGTGGCACCCGCCTGTAATCCCAGCTACTCAGGAGACTGAGGCAGGACAATCCCTTGAACCCAGGAGGTGGAGGTTGCAGTGAGCCGAGATCGTGCCATTCCACTCCAGCCTGGGTGACAGAATGGAATGAGACTCTGTCTCAAAAAAAAAGAAGCCCTCGGATTTCGGTTGTGTTGGTTGTAAAAGGAGAGACCAAGTAAGTGGGGGTTGAAGTCAGATTAGACCAAAAGTGAATGGCAGAGAGTACTATAATGTCCATGAAGGGTTGCTAGAGTCACCGTGATCATAGCCCAAGCAGAGACAGGGAAAGGAAGATGTGAGCAGAGTTTGGGGTCTCGAACAATGGAGGTTATTCGTGCAGCCCAGGAAAGGCTCCCCAAAGCCAGGATCAACCTCCCTTGCAGGGGGTCCCTCATGGAGGCATGGCCAGGCACCTTAGATTTGAGACCAGCTATGTTGCTGCTGACCAGCTGTGTGACCCTGGGCTGGTTTCCTTCCATACAATGGGAGTGCCAATGGCTGCATGCATGCAAAGACCGTCTGAGGATAGGAGGAAGCAATCTGTTGAGCACCCGTGTACCTGAGTGTCATCACCTCCCAAGGGCATCTTTCGTTCCAGAGCTGGCACCTTGGAAGGCCCTTGGTCACTGAAGGCAGTGATGATGGTAACAGCAGTAAATCATCATTTACGGCTGATGAGGGAAGGCCAGGGGTAGGGCTCCTAGGTCCTGGATAAGAATGAGGGTCTGGGCACTCCTGGGGACAGCTGAGTGGTAGGACTCCTGGGTCCCCAGGGGGCAGGTCCATCTTCAGTGGCATTGGGCCTAGGCTGGGATGCTGAGTTATCCACTGGAGCATCAGCAGTACAGGCAGGCACAGAGGCAGTGGTTCCATCGGAGGTGGCAGGTGTAGGATCATCTGGTGAGCAAGTAGAGTCACCAAGTCTGGCTGACCACTACCCCCACTACCCCCACTATCCCCACAGACGATTCCCTGTCCCTTGCCTCATGCTCCGGCAGGGTACAGGCTCGCACCTGGGGCCTCATGGAGCATCTCTCTAAGACCTCTGTGTCCTGGTCATTGAATGGGCACTTGAGTCACCCAGGGCCATTGGAACAAAGAGGAAGAATCAGGCCCCACGATGTTTTGGGAGAGTGTTTAGCACAATACATGCACGACACGGGGGCACTGTCAGTGTGGGAGCAATAGTTTACAACCTCCAGCCCTAATCTGAGCACTCTTGAACCTGTGCAATCTGAAAGGAACAGGAGACTTGCAGGAAAAATAGTGCCTGGATTTAACTTAAAGGAACTAAAATGTTGGAATTTTTACTCTTGATATCCTTCCAGATCAACTCTCTCAATGTTCCCATCCTCAAAACTATCATCTGGGGTAACTGAGGCAGTCAGAGATTTACTGACTCAATGTCACTCAGTTGATTCTGAGTTCACTGCTGATTACATCTGACCAAACTGCTTTTTCTGAAGTCTACTCTGTTTCATCATGCTGGTGATGATTTTGTGCAGCTCTGGGACAAACTCCACCTGGCTGAGGATAAAGCAAATCTGCGGTGACTTAGTCCTCCTGTCATTTCCCATCAGTTCCCCACTCTCCTCCTCTGCCCCTCCACAGTCTCCCATGTAGGCTGACACCATATGACAGCCTTAATGGAGTCCACCGAGTATTTCAGGTTCTCTCCTGGGCCACTTGAAAGTGGATGTACCCATGGGATTTGCTTTGACCCAAGAGATGTGAGTGGAAGTGAAGTGTGTCACCTCGAGGCAAGAGTTGGGAGCCATTGAGACTGGCCACCCTCTCCTTCATCTCTTAGAGCAGCTGACAGCTCCCATATGGAGGCTGCTCCTTTATTCTCGTGGCAGGATGAGGGCATGTGGGGCACAGGGCACAGGAGAGCCATGGAGGATGTGCAGCATGGGCAAGAAAAGAGCCTTCAGTGGTGTACATTTCCACCGTTTGGGGCTGTTTCTTACCTACAGTGATACCTAGCCCATCCTAGCAGGCATGCACCATCTACCCCACACTCTGTGATGCAGACTAGCCTGCCGTCAGAACATGAACTGGTGGTCAGACACACGTAGGTTTCAGTTCCAGCTCTGCCTCTTATTGACTGTAACCTCAGGCTTAACTTTCAGTCTCTGGGCCTCAGTTTCAACTCTGTAAAATGAGGTGGCTATACCATCTCAGGTTGCAGAGAGAATTAAATGAAATATAAGTGCATGTAGAGCATTGAACCCAGGGCCTGGCACACACAGTGAGTACTCAATGTTAGCCATGTAGCTTCATAATGCATACTGATTGTCAATATTCAGACAATCCAGTAAAGTATTACCAAAAATAAAAGTAAACTTATTTGCATATGTATTCTTTCAATCTTTATTTTTAAACAGGGTAAAACTATGCATATTCTTTCATAGCCAGTGTTTTTCTCTTCATAGTATATTGTTAAAATAATTTTATCTTGGACCGGGTGCAGTGGCTCACACCTATAGTCCCAGCACTTTGGGAGGCCACGGTGGGCAGATTACGAGGTCAGGAGTTGACACGAGCCTGGCCAATATGGTGAAACCCCATCTCTACTAAGAATACAAAAATTAGCTGGGCATGATGGTGCACACACCTGTAGTCCCAGCTACTCAGAGGCTGAGGCAGAGGAATTGCTTGAACCCGGGAGACGGAGGTTGCAGTGAGCCAAGATTGTGCCACTGCACTCCAGCCTGGGCGACAGAGTGAAACTCTGTCTCTCTCTCTCTCTCTCTCTCTCTCTGTGTGTGTGTGTGTGTGTGTGTGTGTGTGTGTGTGTGTGTATCTCTATATAAATCTCAAAAATAAAAGATCATTTTTGAGATTATCATTTTAAAAGACAAGATAATGTTCAACTTAATGACTAATTTAATTATTACTATTGGACTTTTTGTAGACTAAACAGAGCATTCAAAACAAATGAAGGAGAATAAAAAATATGTATTACATGTTGTAAAATAAATGTGATGTGGTTAATTCTTTTATTCAAAATTATAGAACATATATATGTACTATAGAATGTATTTATTATGAGTCATGTTAAAAAGTAGTTTAGAAGCTGTTGATTTGAATTTCCTTTTCAAATTTTGCAGGATAATTTTTTTTTTTTTTTTTTGACAGAGTCTCGCTCTGTCGCACAGTCTGGAGTGCAATGGCGTGATCTCGGCCCACTAAAACCTCCACCTCCTGAATCTAAGCAATTCTCCTGTCTCAGCCTCCTGAGTAGCTGGGACTACAGGCTCACACCACCATGCCCGGCTAATTTTTGTATTTTTAGTAGGGACGAGGTTTTGCCATATTGGTCAGGCTGGTCTTGAAGTCCTGGCCTCAGGTGATCCACCAGCCTCAGCCTCCCAAAATGCTGGGATTACAGGCATGAGTCACCATGCCCAGCCTAAACTTGGCAAGATAATAAATAACCTTTTTAAGTGTCGTTGGGCACTTGTCTGGTTGTTTTTCTTTAGGTTACCATGCCAGCAATGATTCCTTTTGAGTTTCTGACAGAAGATAGTGGTTTTCATCCAAATAAGTCAACTACTCTACCCCATCCCTAAGCCACTTGTATGGAAAGAAAAAGAGGAAGAAGCCAGTACTGTGACTGCGTAAGCTTCCCCCAGCATCACCCGCTATGAGATGTGTGGCAGCTGAGACCCGGGAACTGCTCAAGGGCACCAGGCCCCATCTGTCTGCACTCACTCACCTTCCTCAGGTACTCGCATGGGCATGTCACTGACTTTACGTGCTGCTGCAGCTCCTTGGTGAGCTGGCCCTGGTCATGGGACAGGAACTGTGGGGTCAGGACAATAGAGAGCTTCACCATTTGCAGAATGAGAACAGGGGCTCATGATGAGTGCCAACCTATTAGATAATTTAAAAAAAAAGTGTTGAATGAGTGGAAAAACAAGGTGATGTTTGAGTCTATAGTGGTCAAGGGCTTCAGAAAAGGACAGAACCAAGTTCAAATTCCTGTACTTTGAATTTCTACTTCATGCCATGCAAAATTACTTTACCCCTTTTAACCTCAGTTTTCTTCTGTGTGAAACAGGAACAATAGTTTCATTCGTCATTCAGTTTCTCTCAAGGTTTCACGAGATCATACCTATAAAACATCCAAGTCATTTAAATGTATCATCATTTCTGTCATAATTAGTGGGATCCATTTCACTATTATTGGATATACAGTTCTGTGCCTGAAACCTACAAAAAAAGAAAATGTTAAGTCTAAAAAGCATTAGTGATTTCTCATTTTTATATTACTAATTATAACCCTATTTAATCACACAAGGCCTTGTCCGTGGCAGGTGCTCAATAAACACTTGTCGAATCAATGCATGTGGGCTCCGGAGCCACACTGTTTAGATTCTATTCTGCCTCCACCACTTATCAGCTGTGTGATCTGGGTAAGATAATTCACCTCTTTATGTCTGCACTTCCCTCTCCATAAACTATATATAATGAGAATCCTTAGCTCATTCGGTTGTGGTGAGGGGTGAATGATTTGGCACACAGGAGGGGCTTGTTAAACATTAGCTGTGATGATCTCCTTCCAAATCTTCATTTTCAGAGCCACAGATGAGGCCACAGTGCAACCAGGTGACCTTAGAGTGTAAGTACACATGATCGCCAGCTATGCTCTGTCTCCACCATAGGTCCAAGACTGGGTAGTTCCGGCCTGGAGGTTTCTGCTGCATCTGCCTTCTCAGTGCTCACCTAAGGGCTTTTGTATTTTCCTCCTCGCATCCCCACAGATGGGGTTCAGGCTGCCGGACACAGCTGGGTGATGCCAGGGCAGTGGTCACCTGTGCCAGCCCTGTGAGGTAGCTGGAGGATCATTGTTCCTTCCTTCTCGGGCTCTGGGCAGATGCCAGGGCTGGGGTGACCCATGCCCTCAAGTTTCTTGCTTTGGTGGGCCACATTTTCCCTTGGCAAAGAGGGTAAAGGTCACAGGATGCCAGAGAGCTGTGACTTCTCTGTGCCCTGGGCCCAAACTATGAAGACCTGACACACTATGCTAAAAGTCCAAGGCTGGGTGCTCCCCAGAGCTTCTTGCCTCACCGCTTCTGCTGAGGGAGGAATGAATACTATGTCCTCCCAGAGCTTTGGGAGCTTGTAGCAAGCAGCCTCCCCAGCACAAAATCTCTTGGAAACCTCTAACTGTGTCTGAAACATTAGTGCAAATGTTGCATCATATTTCCCATATGTCCGCATGTTTTAGGAAAAAACCCTCAATTTCCTAAATATGCAAGAAAAATCGATATTGTAGGACAATGTGACTTTTTAAAAAATGTTATTTAAAAATCTTCCCCACCTCCTTTTCTGCCCTCCAAGACTGCCAAATACTTGTTGAACAAATATTATTAAAAGCCTACTACGTGCCAGCCATGATTCATGGTCTTGGGGACACAGCAGAGAACAAACTGACAGGATTCCTCTCTTATGCAACTCACATTCTTATACGATAATGATAAGGGTTAACATTAATTAAGCCGTCACCACGTGTTAGTCACGGTGCAGTCATTCCCACACATTATTACACTTAAACCTGCTAGCAAGCTTGCAAGGTAGTTAGTTGTTTTTCCTTTAAAAACTGAGTCTCGGAATGATGAAGCACTCTGTCCAATGTCACACGGCTAGTAAGTGTGGAGACCTTGCATCCAATCAATGCCCGTCTCATTCTAAAGGCCATGTTATGTGTTCTCCAGCCCATGGAGAATAATTTTAACACAGTCAATGAAATTTCTACACAACAATGTTCTTGTTTCAAGTCCAAGAATGCCTCCTACACCTCCTATAATACTGGCTTTCTGGTGAGTAAAGATGGCATTCTCATGTGTAATCAGGTGGCAAATGGAGATATGACCAAAGTAACCATCTGCCTACACTCATAACCCTGTACACACTCTTCCTGTGTCGATTCAATTCAAGTACCCCTTTTGATCACTTAGCAAATCTGACCTTTAAAAGGGTTAAGGTTTTTATATCCATGTAAGTTTCTGTATTGCTTTGGAAGTCTCTGGTTAAATTAATACTCTTTTAATAGTGACCTGTGATTCTGTTTTGATCAAGTGTTTTCAAACTTGACGTCTTTGATGGGTTTCTCCAGTGTCAAAATCCTAAATCAAGTCTTTTTGGCTTAAAACTAACTTTGGGATTTTTTCAGCTGCATCCCTTGGGGAGTCTAAAGAATGTATCTCTCATCTTGTAGAGGTATTAAGTGATTCGATTTATTTGGTAGATTAAATGGGCAGGCATTGTCAAATGTGGCGATACTGCATGGGAGGGCACTGTCAAGTGAGGTGACATTAGATCTCATCTCAGTTATATTTATGGGTATGTTGTTGATATACGTGTTCCAAAAATTGCATACATTTATACAAATTTAATATGATTTGTAATTTTGATAGTTATGCTAAATGTTTGCTAAAGTTATATTTGTATAAACACGTCATGAATGGCTGGGCACCGTCACTCATGCCTGTAATCCCAGCACTTTGGGAGACAAAGGCAGGTGGATCACCTGAGGTCGGGAGTTCCAGACCAGCCTAATAGAGTGAAACCCTGTCTCCACTAAAAATACAAAAATTAGCCATGCCTGGTGGCACATGCCTGTAGTCTCAGCTACTCGGGAGGCTGAGACAGGAGAATTGCTTGAACCCAGGAGGCGGAGGTTGCAGTGAGCCGAGATCATGCCACTGCACTCCCGCCTGGGTGACAGAGGTAGAATCTAACTAAAAAAAAAAAAAAAAGTTATTAATTATTTCTGAAGATTGTATGAAATTTATAAAAGTCTGGTGGCCCTGATATGATGCTGCCAGTCATGATTCTGATTACTGTCTTAAAATGCTGCACGTAAGTAATTAAATTTCCTTGTGAACTGGGAAGTTTCATCAGACTTCTATCATAACTATTGTTTCCATCATCCACAGTTACTATTTTGAATTCTTCTCTAAAAATATTTGTAATTGGCAATAGTCCAAATTTTCTTTTGTTTTCTTTCCTGTTTTTGAGACACAGTCTGGCTCTGTTGCCTAAGCTGGAGTGCAGTGGTGGGATCTCGGCTCACTGCAAGCTCCGCCTCCCGGGTTCACACCATTCTCCTGCCTCAGCCTCCCAAGTAGCTGGGACTACAGGTGCCTGCCACCACGTCCAGCCAATTTTTTGTATTTTTAGTAGAGACAGGGTTTCACTGTGTTAGCCAGGATGGTCTCAATCTCCTGATCTCGTGATCTCTGCGCCTCGGCCTCCCAAAGTGCTGGGATTACAGGTGTGAGCCACCGTGCCCAGCCTAATTTTTGCATTTTTAGTAGAGAGGAGGTTTCACCATGTTGGCCAGGATTGTCTCCATCTCCTGACCTTGTAATCCACCTGCCTCGGCCTCCCAAAGTGCTGGGATTACAGGCGTGAGCCACTGCAACTGACTTTTTTTCTTTTCCTTTTTTTTTTGTTTTTTGAGACAGAGACTCACTCTGTCACCCAGGCTGGAGTGCAGTGGCATGATTTCGGCTCATTGCAACCTCCACCTCCTGAGTTCAAACAATTATCCTGCCTCATCCTTCAGAGTACCTGGGATTACAGGTGTGTGCCACCGTGCCCGGCTCATTTTTGTATTCTTAGTAGAGACGGCATTTCGCCATGTTGGCCAGGCTGGTCTCAAACTCCTGGCCTCAACTGATCCACTCTCATTGGCCTTCCAAGGTGCTGGGATTATAGGCGTGAGCCACTACAACTGGCTCAGTAAATACATTTTTTATTATCAAAAAAGAGCAGTGTATGGTTGGCATATTCTGTGTAGAATGTATTTTATTGATGTCTCCTATTTTTATAATTTGCGAGTTAAGTACTTTTTAATTAATGCTTTTTAGTTTTGGGCAGATTCAGTTGACTAAAGCACCTCATTTCCCCGATACATGAAATAAAATATTTGGCTTCTTTTCCAATTTCACACTGATGTTATTTTGTGAAAATCAGTGCTTTAAGATAAATCTTTATACGTTAAGGTAAACATGAGAAACTTGATCTAATATTTAATATTTATTCAGTTCTACACTTTATTAACTTGTACACCAGCAGATTTAAACATTATGTAACTATCTCAAGAAGTTTCACTTGGATGTAATGCTTCACGCTTGTAATCCCAGCACTTTAGGAGGCTGAGGTGGGAGGACTGCTTAAGGCAAGGAGTCTGAGACCAGTCTGGGCAATACAGCAAGATCCCATCTCTATTTTAAAGAAAAGTTTCACTTTGGGAGGCCAAGGCGGGTGGATCACAAGGTCAGGAGATCGAGACCATCCTGGCTAACATAGTAAAACCCCATCTCTACTAAAAATATAAAAAATTAGCCAGGCGTGGTGGTGGGCGCCTGTAGTCCCAACTACTCGGGAGGCTGAGGCAGAAGAATGGCGTGAACCCAGGAGGCAGAGCTTGCAGTGAGCTGAGATTGCGCCACTGCACTCCAGCCTGGGCGACAGAGTGACACTCCGTCTCAAAAAAAAAAAAAAAAAAGTTTCAGCAAATTCCATCTAAGAATTCCACCACAGTTCTGTTGTCTCCAATGTCATCTTCCACAGATTTCAAGTTGTGAAGCCCTGAACTGTTAATTTATCTTGAGAATGTATATTTAAGCTTAATTTAAGACTATATACCTAAAAATTGAGCATATAATTTCTATAATTTATTTATGTAAGTTTCTGTAAGTCATAAGTATGTGGTTTCCAAGGGTATAATTTATCTGAATGTAATAGGCATTAATATATTTTACATTATTGGGACCATAGTACAGAAATTTCTAAATGGTTTGTAAAATAACTTGTTATTTGTGTTGTTGTAAAAGCAGTTAATACAATGGAAAAACTTGTAAGAAGAAGATACAGTTTAACATCAAAAAGTTTACCCAAGGTAATTATGAGTACTACACCTGGCAAAACTTCACAGAAGCTGTGGTATCACTTTTACGATGGAAGAATAGTGTTTGCATTTTGTGTAAAAGTACTTGCGGCTGGGCGTGGTGGCTCATGTCCCAGTGCTTTGGGAGGCGAAGGCCGGTGGATCATCTGAGCCCAGGAGTTTGAGACCAGCCTAGGCAATGTGGCAAGAGCCTGTCTCTCCAAAACCTACAACAATTAGCCAAGCATGGTGGTGTGAGCCTGTAGTCCCAGCTACTTGGGAGACTCACGCTGGAGGATCTCTCGAGCCCAGGAGGCAGAAGATGAATAAATAAATGGATGCAACTGAATGGGATGAGGTCTCTCTTGAAGGAGAGAGCAAAAGAGATTTAAATAGTAACAATTATAATAAGGCTGGGCGCGGTAGCTCACGCTTGTAATCCCAGAACTTTGGGAGGCCAAGGCAGGTGGATCGGTTGAGGTCAGGAGTTCAAGACCAGCATGGCCAACACGGTGAAACCCTGTCTCTATTAAAAATACAAAATTAGCCGGACATGGTAGTGCGTGCCTGTGGTCTCGGCTACTCAGGTGGCTGAGACAGGAGAATCGCTTGAACCTGGGAGGCACAGGTTGTAGTGAGCCGATAAATATAAAAAGTATTAGAGTACTAACAGAGGAAAGTTTCCACTGATCACCTTTTAGCTTTAAATAATACAGAAGCATTTGCCCAGTTTACCTGTAATTAAAAATCATGCATCATTCACGATTTATATCTTTTTTGTTTGTACAAAAATGAATACAAGTTATTCTCTTTTATCTGTATTGTGATTGGTTTGGTGAGAGGGAATTAGGCCACTTGAGAGTTTGTGTGTGTTTAAAATTTTCTGGCCAGGCGCGGTGGCTCATGCCTGTAATCCCAGCACTTTGGGAGGCCAAGGCAGGCGGATCACTTGAGCTCAGGAGTTCGAGACCAAATTGGGCAACATGGTGAAACCCTATCTCTACAAAAAATACAAGAATTAGCTGAGTGCCATGGCTTGCGCCTGTCCTCCCAGTTCCTTGGGGGGCTGAGGCAGTAGGATCGCTCAAGCCCAGGAGGTGGAGGTTGCAGTGAGCCGAGATCATGCCACTGCACTCCAGGAAGGGCAACAGAGCAAGACTCTGTCTAAAAAAAAAAAAAAAGAAAGAAAAGAAAATTAACTTTGGTATTTCAGGTTGTATTTAAATGGGGACTTAACATGAACTATGTTCATAACAGTTGACCAAATTAAGTGTAGATCGTCTCTTTAATAAAGAGATCATCTGGAACTGCAATTTCTAACTCATACATCATTGCTAGAAACCTTATTTGTTTACTGTTTCTCTTCCAAGGACCATCAGTCATCCTTTAAAATTCATTTGAAGCTCTGAAAAGATATTTTTTGTTACATGGGCAATTTACTTTTAGTACAGTAAAATGTTATGTGAATTTCTACAGCATGTTTGCCAAAATGAATTGTATCTAGAATACGCTTAATATATTCTGGAGGCAGCTTTCATTTGAAATTAGGTTCATCTTCTGAGAGTATGAAAAAGTTAATGGGTTTTTGTGCCTGAAGATTTTGATGTTGCATTTGGCTACATTTAATCCACTTTCACCCATAAGTTTTAGCATCTAAAAAAATGAAATCACTGCTAATGCAATTAAAATGCATTATGAAATGCATTTCTGTCCAGGCTGGAGTGCAGTGGCACAATCTCGGCTCACTGCAAGCTCCGCCTCCCTGGTTCACACCATTCTCCTGCCTCAGCCTCCCTAGTAGCTGAGACTACATGTGCCCGCCACCACGCCCGGCTAATTTTTTTTTTTTTTTTTAATGAGGCGGAGTCTCGCTCTGTTGACCAGGCTGGAGTGCAATGGCATGATCCTGGCTCACTGCAACCTCTGCTTCCTGGGTTCAAGTGATTCTCCTGCCTTGCTGGGATGACAGACGTGCACCACAATGTCCGGCTAATTTTGTATGTTTAGTAGAGACATGGCTTCACCATACTGGCCAGGCTGGTCTTGAACTTCTGACCTCAGGTGATCCCACCTTGGCCTCCCAAAGTGCTGGGATTACAGGCATGAGCCACTGTGCCCAGCTTAAGATCTCTGTTTTAATGTTAATGCTGGTCAGTTGTGTCTGGATTCCAGAGGGAGGAAGGTAGAATGAGGCATGTTGACACCTCCCCTTCCCATCATGACCTAAGCTGGTCTTTTCAGTTTACTTTTGAATGTCCTTGCTCAACAGGAAGGGTCCATTCAGTCGGATTGGGTGGCTTAGAATTTTATTTTTGGTTTACATCTCAACTGTCACAGCAGCCGGGCGCGGTGGCTTCACACCTGTAATCCCAGCACATTGGGAGGCTGAGGCAGGGGTATCACCTGAGGTCAGGAGTTCTAGACCAGCCTGACCAACATGGAGAAACCCCCGTCTCTACTAAAAATACAAAATTACCCGGGCGTGGTGGTACATGCCTGTAATCCCAGCTACTCGGGAGGCTGAGGCAGGAGAATCGCTTGAACCTCGGAGGTGGAGGTTGTGGTGAGCTGAGATCGTGCCACTGCACTCCAGCCTGGGCAACAAGAGCGAAAATCTGTCTCAAATAAATAAATAAATAAATAAACTATCACAGCATAAAGTAGGAGGAATATTTCGTTACTGTCTATTTAAACTGGTTAATGCAGAAAGGAAGTCTGGAAATTCCAGTTTTAAAGTAAAATTTTGGACATTGTAGGATTGATTATTTGGCATAGTTGTGATGTTTGTTCCTGCATTATGGTTTTGTTGGCAGGGCAGCCTTTAAGGACCTGTATATTTTCTTCTAGACTCTATATATTCCCTGTGAGTATTAGTTGTATGGTCAAACTGGCAAATTTTACCATAGGTATAAATAATAGAGAATGTGGAAGAATAGTGAATAGTGTCAGAGATAGTTAAAAGTCCATACAATAGTAGAGAAGGTAATAAGTAATAGTGGCTTGGACTAAATATTTGTTGAATAAATGTTTTAAAAAACAGGCTACCTACAATTTGTGTTGAAGATATGAATGAATGAAGTTTCCACACCCTTATGTGGAGTCCTGATAAGTAAGCAACAATAAGGAAGGGTCCCCAGGTTGGGGAGAGCCCCAAGTTGAGAACAATAATGAACAATTACTGTATGAACAATTGTTAGAGACAGCTAATCACAAACAACCTGCGGGCACAATGACCTCATTCCACACGTAGCACCCTTCAGCAGGACCCTATAAAACTTTCCTCCAGCCCCTGCCTCTTTGCAGGTAGCCCCTTCTCTGCTGAGCTGCCCACTGCAACATATTTTCATAATTTCTCTAATAAATCTGCCCTTCTTTACCTACAACTATCTTGGTAAATGGCTTTACCACCTGCAAAACTGACCCTAGGTTGTTGCTACCCGATATGGTTTGGCTGCGTCCCCACCCAAATTTCATCTTGAATTGTAGTTCCCATAATCCCCATGTGTCGTGGGAGGGACCTGGTAGGAGGTAATCAAATCATGGGAGCAGGTTTTTCCCATACTGTTCTCGTGATAGTGAATACATCTCACTAAATCTGATGGTTTTATAAAGGGCAGTTTCCCTGCACGTGCTCTCTTGCCTGCTGCCATGGAAGACATACCTTTTTGCTCCTTCTTTGCCTTCCACCATGATTCTGAGGCCTCTCCAGCCTTGTGGAACTGTGAGTACATTAAACCTCTTTTTCTTTATAAATTACCCAGTTTCGAGTATTTCTTCATAGCAGTATGAAAAGTAACTAATACACTACCCGAGACACCTTAGGAGATTTGTAATAGCTGTAATGCCAGGTCCACCATATTTTTAGCATAAAGCAAATGTTCATGCATGATATGACTGCACAGGCTTTCTTTCAGCTGGAGCCATAGCAACTCAAGTAGTAACCCTATCTTAGTCTGATTAAAAGTAAATATTAGTCTGGGCATGGTGGGACATGCCTGTAATCCCAGTACTTTGGGAGGCTGAGACAGAAGGATTGCTTGAGCCCAGGAGTTTGAGACCAGCCTGGGCAACATGGAAAAACACCGTCTCTACAAAAAATACAAAAATTAGCTGAGCGTGGTGGCACACACCTGTAGTCCCAGCACCTTGGGAGGGTGAGGCAGGAGGATCTCTTGAACCCAGGAGGTGGAAGCCGCAGTGGGCAGTGATCATGTCAGAGGTGTGTGAACCAGAGCAACTCCATCTTAAATAGGAGCCGGGAAAAGTGAGGCTGAAACTACTGGGCTGCATTCCCTGATGGTTAAGGCATTCTAAGTCACAGGATGACATAGAAGGTCAGCACAAAATACCAGTCATAAAGACCTTGCTGATAAAACAGGTTGCAGTGAAGGAGCTGGCCAAAACCCACCAAAACCAAAATGGAGACAAGACTGACCTCCCATCATCCTCCCTGCTACACTCCTACCAGCACCATGACAGTTTACAAATGCCACGGCAACATCAAGAAGTTACCCTATATGGTCTAAAAAGAGGAGGCATGAAAAATCCACTCCTTGTTTAGCATATCATCAAGAAATAACCATAAAAATGGGCAACCAGCAGCCCTCACGGCTGCTCTGTCTATGGGGTAGCCATTCTTTTATTCCTTTACTTTCTCTCTTTTTTTTTTGAGATGGAGTCTCCCTCTGTCACCCAGGCTGGAGTGCAGTGGGGCGATCTCGGCTTACTGCAAGCTTCGCCTCCCGGGTTCATCCCATTCTCCTGCCTCAGCCTCCAGAGTAGGTGGGACTACAGGCGCCCGCCACCACACTTGGCTAATTTTTTTGTATTTTTAGTAGAGATGAGGTTTCACCGTGTTAACCAGGATGGTCTTGATCTCCTGACCTCGTGATCCACCTGTCTCAGCCTCCCAAAGTGCTGGGATTACAGGAGTGAGCCACCGTGCCCCTCCTCCTTTACTTTATTAATAAACTTGCTTTCACTTCACACTGTGGCATCACCCTAAATTCTTTCTTGCACAAGATCCAAGAACCCTCTCTTGGGGTCTAGATTGGGACCCCTTTCCTGTAACTATCATGCTACTGCACTCCAGCCTGGGCAACAGAGCAAGGCCCTGTCTCAAAAAAAAAAAAAAAAAAAAAAAAAGGAACATGACTTAATACATTCATTTTGGAGGGTAAGTCTCTCAAAATAGGCCTTTCACTGGGGGAAAATGGTAAAAATACTCCCTGGTAATTCAAGAATTGGAGACTCCTGAGATGCTGCTCATATTAGCTGAACACTTATCAATACTTCACTTTTTTCCATATATACTCAAGGAACAAGTGCTATTTAAAGTGTTTCACTCCACTGTGCTAGGTGCAAGACTATAAAGAGGTGAGGATCAACACTTTTATGAAAACCAGTGTCATTCTGGATATAGTTTCAGATGCTAGTGCAAAGGAAGCTCTTGGTATACGGAAAAAGTATTCAACAATAAATTAGGCATGGTTGCTTCCATTTTCTGCCTCACATACTTTTTTTTTCGTGGTTAAAGTGATATAATGTCTATGATATTTTAGATTGGCAGTTGCAAACTAGTGGTCCTCAGCGTGCTTTTTATGACACCTACAAGGTTTGAAGACTTTGATTTCATATTAAAAATCTGGGTTTCAGGCTGGGTGTGGTGTTGCATGCCTGTAATCCCAGCACTTTGGGAGGCTGAGGCAGGAGAATCGCTTGAACCAGGGAGGTGGAGGTTGCAGTGAGCCAAGATCGGGCCACTGCACTCAAGCTTAGGCAATAGAGCAAGACTCCATCTCAAAAAATGAATAAATAAGTAAATAAAATCTGGGTTTCAGGCCAGGTGTGGTGGTGCATTCCTGCAATCCCAGCACTTTGGGAGGCTGAGATGGGCAGACAGCTTGACCTCAGGAATTCCAGACTAGCCTGGGCAACATGGCGAAACCCCATGTCTACAAATAATACAAAAAAATTAGCTGGGTGTAGTGGAGTGTGCCTGTAATCCCAGCAACGTGGGAGGCTGAAGTGAGAGGATTGCTTGAGCCTGGGAGGTTGATGTTACAGTGAGCTGAGATCGCCCTCCTACACTCCAACCTGGGCAACAGAGCCAGACCTTGTCTTAAAAAAAAAAAAAAAAAAAAAATTCTGGGTTTCTGGCATCTCAAAAAAAAAAAAAAAAAAGGAAAGGTCAGGGCACATGGCTGCTACAGTCCTCTATTAGCAATGTGCCACAGCAGGGGTCCCTGACCCCTGGGCCATGGACATGTACTGGTCTGTGGCCTGTTAGGAACTGGGCCACAGAGCAGGAGGTGAATGGTGGGTAACAATTGAAGCTTCGTCTGTATTTCTGGCTGCTCCCCATTGCTTGCATTGCTGCCTGAGCTCTGCCTCCTGTCAGATCAGCAGCATCATTAGATTCTTACAGGAGCATGAACCCTGTTGTGAATTGCACACACGAGGGATCCAGGTTGCATATTCCTTATGAGAATCTAATTCCTGATGATTTGTGGTGGAACAGTTTCATCCCAAGACCATTACCATCCTGCGCCCCATCCCTTGCCGCCTGTGGAAAAATTGTCTTCCACAAAGCCGGTCCCTGGTGCCAAAAATGTTGGGGACTGCTGTGCTTTAGAATCTGCCATGAATCTGCAGCCTCTATTATATAGCTCCCTATAGACTTTGCTTCCTACCGTCTTACGTTCTGCCTTATAGGCATTTGAGTTTGCAGCCCTTGTTTTTGTTAGTATGTTATGCTGGTGACATTGACCAAATTGACCACACATTAATGATAAGCTTAGTTGGTGATGACCTCAACGGAATAACGTGACATAAGTATTGTGACAATACTTCTTGCATGTATCTGCAGGTGGAATTGTAAACCTGGTGGTCCGAGATGGTCTAATTCCATCTTCCTATGTATCTCCTTATATTAATAGTGGTAACATTTGTGATGGTGATTCAGCATTTCAATGCCTCTTCTCATGGCAACAACAAACGTTTTCCTTCTGAATCAACATTAACCTAGATGTTACTGTGGATCAAAATTAGACTCTACATTTTCAACCACAGAAATACTGGGCAGTAAAAATTTTTCTTAATATTGATTGTCTACATAGGTTGTGTAATTAGCATGTGTTTACAGTTCTATGATTTCTGCGTGGCTGCTACAGAGCTGGAGGGGGTAAAGCAACAGTGTTTTCTCAGTTGTGCGAGCAGCATTACATTATAATAAATAGGTAATATTAAACTGGGCTGATGAGAGTTGCAAAAGACTACTTTAATGTTCATATGGAACCAAAAAAGAGCCCACATTGCCAAGACAATCCTAAGCCCAATGAACAAAGCTGGAGGCATCATGCTACCTGACTTCAAACTATACTACAAGGCTACAGTAACCAAAACAGCCTGGTACTGCTACCGAAACAGACATATAGACCAATGGAACAGAACAGAGCCCTCAGAAATAATACCACACATCTACAACCATCTGATCTTTGACAAACCTGACAAAAACAAGAAATGCAGAAAGGATTCCCTACTTAATAAATAGTGCTGGGAAAACTGGCTAGCCCTATGTAGAAAGCTGAAACTGGATCCCTTCCTTACACCTTATACAAAAATTAATTCAAGATGGATTAAAGACTTAAATGTTAGACCTAAAGCCGTAAAAACCCTAGAAGAAAACCTAGGCAATACTATTCAGGACATAGGGATGGGCAAGGACTTCATGTCTAAAACACCAAAAGCAATGGCAACAGAAGCCAAAACTGACAAATGGGTTCTAATTAAACTAAAGAGCTTCTGCACAGCAAAAGAAACTAGGATCAGTGTGAACAGGCAACCTACAGAATGGGAGAAAATTTTTGCCATCTACTTGTCTGACAAAAGGCTAATATCCAGAATCTACAAAGACCACCAACAAATTTACAAGAAAAAAAACAAACCCCATCAAAAAGTGGGCAAAGCATATGAACAGACACTTCTCAAAAGAAGACATTTATGCAGCCAACAGACACATGAAAAAATGCTCATCATCACTGGCCATCAGAGAAATGCAAATCAAAACCACAATGAGATATCATCTCACACCAGTTAGAATGGCGATCATTAAAAAGTCAGGAAACAACAGGTGCTGGAGAGGATGTGGAGAAATAGGAACACTTTTACACGGTTGGTGGGACTGTAAACTGGTTCAACCATTGTGGAAAACAGTGTGGCGATTCCTCAGGGATCTAGAACTAGAAATACCATTTGACCCAGCCATCCCATTACTGGATACATACCCAAAGCATTATAAATCATGCTGCTATAAAGACACATGCACACATATGTTTATCGCGGCAATATTCACGATAGCGAAGACTTGGAACCAACACAAATGTCCATCAATGATAGACTGGATTAAGAAAATGTGGCACAGATACACCATGGAGTACTATGCAGCCATAAAAAAGGATGAGTTCATGTCCTTTGTAGAGACATGGATGAAGCTGGAAACGATCACTCTCAGCAAACTATCACAAGGACAAAAAACCAAACACCGCATGTTCTCACTCACAGATGGGAACTGAACAATGAGAACACTTGGACACAGGAAGGGGAACATCACACACTGGGGCCTCTTGTGTGGTGGGGGAGGGGGAAGGGATAGCAGTAGGAGATACACCTAATGTAAATGACGAGTTAATGGGTGCAGTACACCAACATGGCACATGTATACATATGTAACAAACCTGCACATTGTGTACATGTACCCTATAACTTAAAGTATAATTTTAAAAAATAAGTAAATAAATAAATAAAAAAAGAAACAATTGCTGGCTTTGCAATTCTCTTTCCTCCAAAATCGCCAAGGCCTCAATTTACTCATTGCTGAAAAAGGACGACTCTGTATATTTTTAAATGAAGAGTGTTGTTTTTACCTAAATCACTCTGGCCTGGTATATGACAACATAAAAAAACTCAAGGATAGAGTCCAAAAACTTGCCAACCAAGCAAATAATTATGCTGAACCCCCTTGGGCACTCTCTTAATTGGATGTCCTGGGTCCTCCCAATTCTTAGTCCTTTAATACCTGTTTTTCTCCTTCTCTTATTCGGACCGTGTGTCTTCTGTTTAGTTTCTCAATTCATACAAAACCGTATCCAGGCCATCACCAATAATTCTATATGACAAATGCTCCTTCTAACAACCCCACAGTATCAGCCCTTACCCCAAAATCTTTCTTCAGTTGAATCTCTCCCACTGTAGGTTCCCAGGCCGCCCCTAATCCCGCTCGAAGCAGCCCTGAGAAACATCGCCCATTATCTCTCCACATCACCCCCAAAAATTTTCGCCACCCCAACACTTTACCACTATTTTGTTTTATTTTTCTTATTAACATAAGAAGACAGGAATGTCAGGCCTCTGAGTCCAAGCTAAGCCATCATATCCCAGTGACCTGCACGTATACATCCAGATGGCCTGAAGCAACTGAAGATCCACAGAAGTGAAAACAGCCTTAACTGAAGACATTCCACCATTGTCATTTGTTTCTGCCCCACCCTAACTGATCAATGTACTTTGTAATCTGCCCCACTCTTAAGAAGGTTCTTTATCATCTCCCCCACCCTTAAGAAGTTTCTTTGCAATTCTCCTCACCCTTGACAATGTACTTTATGAGATCCACCTCCTGCCCCCAAAACACTGCTCTTAACTCCACCGCCTATCCCAAAACCTATAAGAACCAGTGATAATCACACCACCCTTTGCTGACTCCTTTTTTGGACTCAGCCCGCCTGTACCCAGGTGAAATAAACAGCCATGTTGCTCACACAAAGCATGTTTGGTGGTCTCTTCACACAGACACGTGAGACGGGAGTTCGAGACCGGCCTGGCCAATCTGGTGAAACTCTATGTCTCTACTAAAAATACAAAAATTAGCTGGGCATGGTGGCGGGCACCTGTAATCCCAGCTACTCGGGAAGCTGAGGCACAAAAATTGCTTGAACCCAGGAGGCAGAGTTTGCAGTGAGCCAAGATCACACTGTCAGGCCTCTGAGCCCAAGCCAAGCCATTGCATCCCCTGTGACTTGCACGTATACATCCAGATGGCCTGAAGTAACTGAAGATCCACACAAGAAGTAAAAATAGCCTTAACTGATGACATTCCACCATTGTGATTTGTTTCTGCCCCACCCTAACTCTTCAATGTACTTTGTAATCTCCCCCACCCTTAAGAAGGTACTTTGTAATCTCCCCAACCCTTAAGAAGGTTCTTTGTAATTCTCCCCACCCTTGAGAATGTACTTTGTGAGATCCACCCCTGCCTGCAAACATGGCTCTTCACCCCCTATCCCAAAACCTGTAAGAACTAATGATAATCCACCACCCTTTGCTGACTCTCTTTTCGGACTCAGCCCGCCTGCACCCAGGTGAAATAAACAGCCATGTTGCTCACACAAAGCCTATTTGGTGGTCTCTTCACACGGACGCGCATGAAACACACGACTGCACTTCAGGCTGGGCGACAGAGCTAGATTCCATCTCAAAAAAAATAAAATAAAAAGGAGTCACCTCCCCCGAGAGGCCTCTGGACCACCCCATCTGAGCAGGCCACTCTTCCTTCTCTATCTTACCATCTTGTTTCTGTCCCAGTAGTTAGGGCTACCTCCAGTAATCCTATTTGTCCCTTTACTGTTTAGTGTGTCTCGCTTGACTAGAAGCTCCATGAAAGCAGAGACCCTACCTGCCTCCTTCGCCACTAGACCCCCAGGGCCTGGTATGTGGTGATCGCTCAGGGCCCATTTTCTTCCTTTCCTCCTCCTCCAAGGGTGGGGAAAGAGCATCAGAAGGTCTAGGTGGCCCCAGGCCCAAACAATGCTCCTTTAAAAGGAAACCAGATTGTTACAAAGGTCAGAGGCTGAAAAGTTATTTCCGCCTTTTATCCCTCTAAATTCTTCACTTCCTGAAAAAACAAACAAACAAAAAAAGCCACTGAGGGCCCTTGGACTAAATCCAGGCCTGAGTTGCTGGGCAGAGGTCAGTCTTGTCCAGACATGGGAAAAAAATAACTCGAGTCAGACAGGTGGGTCACCACAGAACGAATCCAGCCTGCAAATGGCCTGTGCAATCTTCAGCTCTGTCCAGACCTGCCTCCCTCTGGGGATGCCTTTAAAGGTGATGAATGATCTGGATGAATGGGCTTAGAGGATAAGAGGGAAAAACAAATATCACAGGTCAAATCGTTATTTGTCTTCAAGTTTAACACCGTCTACTGGACTAAAAGATGTCCAAAGAATAGTTGTTCAACTATGTAAATTCCTTTTTTTTTTTTTTTTTTTTTTGAGACAGAGTCTCGCTCTGTTGCCCAGGCTGGAGTGCAATGGTATGATCTTGGCTCACTGTAAGCAACCTCTGCTCCTGGGCTCAAACCATTCTCCTGCCTCAGCTTCCCAAGTAGCTGGGACTACAGGCATGTGCCTCCACGCTCAGCTAATTTTAGTATTGTTAGGAGAGACAGGGTTTCACCATGTTGACCAGGCTGGTCTCGAACTCCTCACCTCAGGTGATCCACCTGCCTCAGCATCCCAGAGTGCTGGGATTACAGGCATGAGCCACAGTGCCCGGCCAACTACATAAATTCCTAACAACGTATCTCCAGAAAGTATAGGCACAACAGCACATGCAGTCATTCCTGTAATTAAGTGCTCCGGGAGGCCAAGGCAAGAAGATCCCTTGAGCCCAGGAGTTTGAGACCAGCCTGGACAACATAGCAAGACTGTGTCTCTACAAAATATACAAAAATTGGGCTGGGGATGATGGCTCACGCCTGTAGGCCCAGCACTTTGGGAGACCAAGGCAGGAAGATCGATTGAACTCAGGAGCTCGGGACCAGCCTGGACAACGTAACGAGACCCAGTCTCTACTAAAACTCAAGAAAATTAGCCAGACGTGGTTGCATGTGCCTGTAGTCCCAGCACTTTGGGAGGCCAAGGTGGGTGGATCACCTGAGGTCAGGAGGTCGAGACCAGCCTGGCCAACATGATGAAGTCTCGTCCCTACTAAAAATACAAAAATTAGCCAGGAACGGTGGCACACACCTGTAGTCCCAGCTACTTGGGAGGCTGAGGCAGGAGAATGGATTGAACCCAGGAGGCAGAGGTTGCAGTGAGCCGAGATGGCACCATTGCACTCCAGCCTGGGCAACAGAACAAGACTCCATCAAAAAAAAAAAAAAAGAAAAGAAAGAAAGAAGAAAATTAGCCAGGTGTGGTTGCATGCACCTGTAGTCCCAGCACTTTGGGAGGCCAAGGCAGGAGGATCAATCAAGGCTAGGAGTTTGAGACTGCAGAAGGAAACCCTGTCTCTAAAAACAAGGTCCAGCTAAAATCAGGGTCCAGCTCCACCACAAGCGCAGCTCCAGGGGCTGTTGAGTTTTGCCTCTACCATTCCAAGTAGTCTCTGCTCCAGACCAAGTCCCACCATCTGGCAGTCATGTCAGTCCAACCACAGTCATATCAGGGCACTTCCAGGTTCTTTCATTGAGTGCCCCTTGAGGAGGCTGGAGGAGAGGCCAATGACATTTGCACTTGAGACTCCAGAGTCTAGATTTATAACCACTATGTTACGGCTGCCAGAGTGGCTGCAAGGACACTTCTTTCATTCATTCATTTACAATACATGTAGCATCTGCTGTGTGCCAGATGCCATTCTAGGTTCTAGGGAAACAAGGCAGAGCCCCTGTTTTCCAGGGCATCCACATTCTAGGAAAGACTGCTACCAGCCTGGCGTGGTGGCTCATGCCTGTAATCCCAGTACTTTGGGAGGCCGAGGTGGGCGGATCACTTGATGTCAGGAGTTCAAGACCAGCCAACATAGTGAAACCCCGTTTCTACTAAAAGTACAAAAATCAGCTGGGCATGGTGGCACGTGCCTGTAGTCCCAGCTACTCAGGAAGCTAAGGCAGGAGAATCGCTTGAACCTGGGAGGCAGAGGTTGTGGTGAGCCGAGATCATGCTACTGCACTCCAGCCTGGGCAACAGAGTGAGACTACATCAAAAAAAAAAAATAGTAATAAAATAAAGACTGCTACTAAACAATAAAATAACCAAACCAGATAGATGACTTCAGGTGGTGGTAAGAGCTTTGAAAGAATAAGCAAGGTAACTAACTGGTCAGAGGAAGGGAGATGGGTGCATTCCCTCAGATAGACCGCCCCAGAGGTCTGCCTCTCTGACATGACATTTGAGCAGAGACCCAACAGGAAAAGGAAGAGACTGCTCTATGGCCAGGCACGGTGGCTCACACCTGTAATCCCAGCACTTTGGGAGGCCCAGGCGGGCGGATCACGAGGTCAGGAGATCGAGACCATCCTGGCTAAGACGGTGAAACCCTGTCTCTACTAAAAATACAAAAAAATTAGCCGGGCTTGGTGGATGCCTGTAGTCCCAGCTACTCGGGAGGCTG
Source organism: Homo sapiens (assembly GCF_000001405.40). Taxonomy (NCBI): domain Eukaryota; kingdom Metazoa; phylum Chordata; class Mammalia; order Primates; family Hominidae; genus Homo; species Homo sapiens. The sequence goes on from NC_000016.10 coordinate 29,422,316, forward strand.
AGGCAGGAGAATGGCGTGAACCTAGGAGACGGAGCTTGCAGTGAGCCGAGATCACGCCACTGCACTTCAGCCTGGGCGACAGAGTGAGACTCCATCTCAAAGAAAAAAAAAAAAAAAGAACAAAGAGGAGTCCAGGCGAAGAGAACAGCAGATGCAAAGGCCCTGAGGCAGAAACAATCTTGGTATGCTGGAGGAATAGGAAGGCAGCCAGTGCAGCTGGAGCAGGATAGGTTAAGAGAGGATCAAAGTGATGAGGGCCTGGAAAGAGGGGCTGGGGTCGAATCAACAGATCCTGTTGGTTGCAATGGAAGAGCCTGGAGTTTATTCTCAGAGCAGTGAGAAGCCACTGGAAAGTTGTTTTTTGTTTTTCTGTTTTTGAGACAGAGTCTAGCTCTGTCACCCAGGCAGACTGCAGTGGTGCAATCTCGGCTCACTGTAACCTCTGCCTCCCAGGTTCAAGCGATTCTCCTGCCTCAGGCTCCCCAGTAGCTGGGATTACGGGCACATGCCACCACACCCATCTAATTTTTTTTTTTTTTTTTTTTTTTGAGACAGAGTCTCTGTCACCCAGGCTGGAGTGCAGTGGCGCAATCTCAGCTCACTGCAACCTCCACCTCCCTGGTTCAAGCAATTCTCCTGCCTCAGCCTCCCGAGTAGCTGGGACTACAGGTGCATGCCATCATACCTGGCTAATTTTTTGTGTTTTTAGTAGAGACAGGATTTCACCACGTTAGCCAGGATGGTCTCGATTTCCTGACCTTGTGATCTGCCCACCACGGCCTCCCAAAGTGCTGGGATTACAGGCGTGAGCCACCGTGCCTGGCCAGCCACCGGAAAGTTTTATGTAAGCAGGGGAGTGATCTGTTTTATCATTTAGAAGGATACACACCTCTTCTTCTTTTTTTAGAGACAGGGTCTAGTTCTGTCACCCAGGCTGGAGCCCAGTGGCACAATCATAGCTTACTGTAACCTCAAACTCCTGGGCTCAAGTGATCCTCCTGCCTCAGCATCCCAAACTGCTGGATTACAGGCATGAGTCAAACACGCCTGGTCACACTTCTCATCCAGACCTCATTTGTCCACCTCCCCCATCCCCCGCCCCACCCCACGGTCTGTCCTATAACGCCCACACAACAGGTCACTGTTTAGAAAGTGCTACAAAGTTACAAACACAGTCCCTTCTGAGCCTCCCACCAATGTTGGTGGGTACAAGGTCAAAAAAAAAAAATCTCATTTATGTAAGGGGCATAGGAGACTTTTTAGTTAGAGGGCCCAATTATAGTCCTCCTGAAAAGATGCCAAAAGTCCCCTTAAACACTTAGCAGCTAAGATTCAAGAAAGATGAATCTCACATTCTTTGTATGGGAAATGAGGAACTTGACATCTTCAATATAATGGATTCCACTAAAATAAGATGATGATCAATAGGAACCAACTAAAAAAATACTTGACTAGCTGTTATTGAAAGGCTGAAATTCAGCTGACATAAGCAGTAATATTGAGCTAGAAAATAATTCGCGTTGAATTCAGCCCAACTTTTGTTTTCTGATTTGGGTCTCTTCTAAATTTTTTTTTTCTTCTGGACATTGGGAACAATCCAATTTGAAGGCCTCAATGCCCAAATCTACACTCTTGTTTTATTCTATATCCTTGGTTTCTTTTTTTTTTTTGAGATGGAGTCTCACTCTGTCACCCAGGCTGGAGTGCAGTGGCGTGATCTTGGCTCAATGCAAGATCCGCCTCCCGGGTTCATGCCATTCTCCTGCTGCAGCCTCCCGAGTAGTTGGGACTACAGATGCCCGCCCCCATGCCCAGCTAATTTTTTTGTATTTTTAGTAGAGACGGGGTTTCTCCGTGTTATCCAGGATGGTCTTGATCTCCTGACCTCGTGATCCACCCGCCTCAGCATCTCAAAGTGCTGGGATTACAGGCGTTAGCCACCGTGCCCGGCCCACACCTAGGTGATTTTTAAAATTCTTCTAGTAGAGACAGGGTCTCACTATGTCGGGTCGCCGTGTTTGATGTCAGTTTTCCCTGCCAGAATCTACAATCTCCTTGATCACCATTATATCCCAACGTAGAGCTCAGTACCTGGTACAAAGCACATTTGATCAATACTTGCTGAATAAAGAAATAAAAATGAAGAGGCACTCCAGCCTGGGCAACAGAGTGAGATGGTCTCAAAAAAAAAAAAAAAAACGACTGGAAAGGAGATGAGGGTACTTGTGAAGCCATATTATATGACACGCTCTGTGCTAGGACTTTTATATACCTTGTCTCATCTCTTCATCTCATATAATCCTTACAAGTATCTCAAAAGTGGGGAAATCCCCATATAACTGAAGACGAAGGCAGTTCAGAAGTTCACTGATTTGCCCTAAGGTTCCTCAATTTGCAAACGTCAGGCCAATGATCCAACCCCAGGTATGTTTGGCAGTGAAGGACCAGTTGAGTCATAGCTGCAAGTAACCACCCTGCAGTGGTCCCTATCTTGGCCGTTAGCTTACATTGACATTTAACACTCAAATTTACTCAGTAACACCAGCTATCATGTTTTCCACTAAAACTCCACAGCATTCTGGCAACTTTTCTATTTTAGAGCAATAAAGTAAATTGTTAGCATCCCTTTGACATATAAATATTTCTACAAATAGTAATTCTCTAGCCATTCATTTGGAGTATTTAAAACTCAACATTCATAGCACATTTTATGTGACAAAGAACTTATGTTCAGAACACAAAAATAAGTCTTATGTCTTCATTAAAAACGGGTGAAGAATTTGAACATTTGCAAACTAAAATACAAATGGAATACACTCAACATCATTAATCATCAAGAAAATAAAATTATGAGATAATCATTAATAATCACTACATATGCACCACAGTGATTAAAATTTTTTTAAGTTAAGCCACGTGACCCAACAAGGTGCATTCACTCAAGAGAAACGCAAATATATGTCCACTCAAAGACTTGCACATGAATGTTGAGAGCAGGTTTATACTGAATAGTGCAATGTGAAAAAACCCCAAAATCTAGCAAAGGATGAAGGGAGAAATAAACTGTGGTATATATACATACAATAGAACACTACTCAATAATAAAAAGGATTGTATTCTTGATACATGCAATATGGGTGAACCTTAAAAATATCATGCTGAGCAAGAGAAGCCAAACACAAGAGAACATGTTGTTATGATTTCACGTACATGAAACTTTAGTAAAAACAAGTCTAATCCATAGTGACAGAAAGCAAATCAATAACTGCTGACAGGGGCAAATGAGATGATCCCAAGGGAACCTTCTGGGGTAAGACGCTGTTCTGTATCTTGATCGTATTGGTGGTCACACAAGTGAAGACATGTTAGAACTCATCAAACCATACACTTAGAATGTGTAATATAAACCTCAATAAAGCAAAATTAAAAAAAAAAAAACCACCTTTAATTTTCTCTTACAAAAAAGAAAGGAAAACCACTTAACTTTAATTTTCTCCAACAACTGATTCTGGTACACAGTATACCTTAATGCCTGCATCCATGGCCTCACGTCATGCTGTTTACATGAACATAAAGCTTCACCGAAGAGTGGAATAAGACAGTCCTGCCAGAGAAAAACCAAAATTACTCAACGTAAAACAGGCTGTTGATATGTTTGCAGATATATAGCAAGTCTTAAGTCCAAGACTGCAATATAGTTTGGCTACTTCAGATTGATTGCAATAGTTTTATCTATTACACTATACCCTTACATCATTTATCTTCTACTCACAAGAGGCAAGCACACAGTAAGAGAAAGCCTTTTGTTTTGAAGGGAAATCTTCTTCAGAATATTAAGTCTAATTTATCAATACATTAATAAAGCACATTACAAAAAAAAAGTCACAGCACATTTACTATAAAGCAGACTGCAGAAAAACATTACAACTAATGCTTTATTATGAAGTTCTCGAAGATCATCATTCATTCAGAAGCCCCCATCTCTGGTTGAACTTTACCCCATTTAGGATGAAGAAGAGAGATCTTTGTTTGCAGCAAATCTAAAATTTACGTAATCCGCCTAAAGGAACTGTCTTTACATACACCACCTCCCACCCCAAAAATAGAAGAAAAAACAGAGCAATTTGCCATCCTTGCGATTATCTCAGGTTCTTCCATCTGCCCCATGTACTTCCCAAATGAAAGACTGCCTGAAAACAGCATGTTAGATTTCTGGATTTACCAGCTTGCCCAACTACAAATCCTATTTCAAAAAACTCAAAAAATAAGGTCTTTGTTCTACAGTAATGACCATTAATAGTCATAAGAATGTGCTTGTAAAAATATACAGACCTCTGTTGAAAGTCTGTTAGAAACTGTGTTCTCCAAAGCAGATGAGCAATACAGCTGCAAGGTACTTAGAACTGGCAAAGACTGTGAAACTGTTAAAGTAGAAAGTCTCAGAGGTCCAACAGCGATGCGGGATGTTTGCTTCAAGTACTTTACCACATTTCTGAAACAAAATATTTACTGTCAATTAATAAAAATTACAATTCATAACCACTCAAAGAATAAAGCAATTGATAAGATGCTGTCAAACTGACATCCAAAGTTAGGGGGCAGTAAGAGGAGCAGCCTGCTCTATAATAAAATGATATTAGCAAGTCAAGACATTTGCTTTTGGGGATTTTTACATTTTATTTCATTTCAACCTCAGTTTTTGTTGGCAAACAGCATTCATATATCATATGACTTCTACAACTAAAATGAAGCTATTAGCACTAGTATTTAGTAATCTAGTAACTCTCCTTCCAGCCCTCTTCACCCCATGTATGTTTATCACATGATATACACAATGTACATTTACCTCCGTAAGAGTAAACTTACTCAGTTACAGACTGCCACTTCTGATCTTGTTCTATCGGGTTTAAAGCAGTTGCCAAACAAACAGAACTTCTTAACAATTGAACTTCAATGGATTTCTGAGGTTCCCTTGGATCTGGACTTAACATGTTACGAAGCAGTTTTTTCATGTCTACAGAAGTTAAATGAAATGTCATTAAGTTAATGTGCTTTTATTATAAATTTTGATTTATGTTTGGCATTATTAAAAACTAATCACCAATGAACAGCTCCTTTAATATTTAAGGCAGTTAAACACTATAAGCATTACTGAGAGCTATATAAAAATCATACTTCATACAAAATTACTGTACCTCAGACCCCTAAAAAGCAGTTGCCTTCAAAGGCTCAAAAATCAGTAAGTCGAGGCCAGGCGTGGTGGCTCACGCCTGTAATCCCAGCACTTTGGGAGGCCAAGGTGGGTGGATCACAAAGTCAGGAGTTCAAGACCAGCCTGGCCAAGATGATGAAACCCCGTCTCTACTAAAAATACTAAAAATTAGCTGGGCACGGTGACAGACACCTGTAATCCCAGCTACTCAGGAGGCTGAGGCAGGAGAATCGCTTGAACTCAGAGGGCGGAGGTTGCAGTGAGCCGAAATCGCGCCACTGCACTCCAGCCTGGGCAACAGAGTGAGACTGTCTCAACAAAAAAGAAAGTCGGTAAGTCAATCTACTATTTAAGGGGACAAATCTAGACCTGCATTAGCAAATCTTGCTCAATCCAGAATACTCATTAAACTTTTTAATAACATTTTATAAAGTGTTCCATTTGTGACAAAGAACTTAATTAATGAGCCACATCGATGAAAATCAAGAAAAATATTTAGCTGAAACACTACTTTGTCCTTTATCAAACAAAATGGCTAGATAAATCTCAAAGTATTAAAGTGGCCATTTTTTTTATTTGACTTAATTTTAAGTGCTTTTCATTTCCCAAATCAAACATAAATAGGGCAGCCCTAAATTTGTTGCTTCACATGGGATTCTGCCCCCCCAAAAATGTAAAATAACTTCCAGATTTTCCAGTAAAATATACTAAGCCAAACATTTTGAGCAACTTGTCCACTAAAATAACTTTAAAACTATTTTCTCAAATACCTACCTATTTTTTCTTTTGATCCTCCAGCAAGTAGACTGATATTTTCTCCTGGTAACAATTCTAATTGCTCGGTACATTCAACAAATTTTCCAGACTCAAAGCTGCTTAATGATCTGTAATTAAAATATTGGTTAGCTTGTATTCCTACGCAGCCTGTGGAACCATTAAAAAAAAACAAACAAACAAAAACAGAACAAATCCTAGGAAGACAGCAAAGTACACAGCATTTTTCTGACAAAATTCCTTCCACGAGGATGCCATTATTTTGGTTTTTATGTTGAAGATGTGACTACCACTTAATTAGTACTCAAATTGGAGTGGCAAACCAGAAAGTCACAGCTACAGACTTTCAGTGGAGCTGACTCGCCTGTGTCTCCTTCCTGTTTTCATGTGTTGCAGCCTGTTCTCTTCAGAGCCTAACACACTGACAGTAGACCTCTGCAGGACAACTTTGACACCCAGTTCTCTCCAAGCTGCCAGTGAGCTCCCTGTGCAGCCTCACTCCTCACCTACAGCATGAGCCCTTGCAGCTCTCCCAGCATCACAATCTTGTATCTCAGTCCTGGCTTCTTTCACTGCTGGCGTCCCTCCGTCTCTCCCTTTTTCACCTACTTTTCTTTTTTCAAAGAATTCTTCTCTTTCATCTGCTTATATGAAAAATAATGACACCTCTGAAATTCTTTCCTGTAGTCCTGCAGCATCAATGCCAGGAAGACAGACCTCATCCTCCCAGCTTCTATGCTGCTCCTTTCAGATCCCTTACCCTGTCCCCATTTTCATGACACGGGCTCTCCAGCCAGGAAGAAGACACTGTTTCTCACTCTCTCTCTTTTCCATCTTTGCCTGTCCCTCTCGCTGTGTAACTTCCCTTATAACTCAGCCTGAGGCCAGTGCTAGAAAGGCACATCACCTGACTTATTCTGTGCCTGATTCTACCTAGATCAGTGCAACCACTGGCTTCTCAGGGGGACCCTTGAGTACTGGGCACTGATGAACTGCTGCCAACACATTCATCATTTCTGCCATTAAAAGGTCCTAAGTCCTCTCCAGTGGCAGGTTCCTCAAGTCCCCACTATGCTCTATAATGCCCTATGCTTTCAGCTAATGACTCAGTCCTCAGAAAAACAAACAAACAAAAAAAAACAGGCTTTAATTTCCTCTACCCCTACCCCCGATCCACCATACACTGCTGAAATTCTGTCTATACCAACTTTGACTGCTTTCCTTGGGGCAGAGAAAAGGTGAGGGCCAGTTAATCTATCAATGTTCTTTCTCCTGTTCCTTCAACCTCTGCTTTCTAGTGGCTCCTTCCCCTTGGCCAAAAGAACATAATCTCTCCAACATTTAAAATAAACATCTCATATTTCCCTCCAGCAACAGCTTCCTATCCTCGACTTCAAGAAAAACTCACTGACCAAATAACTTACCTCAAGCTTTTCATTTTCAAATGTCTCTACCACTCAATAGTATTCAATTTAGCTTCTTCTGTCTCTCTACAAAACTCTTTTTCCTTATAATCCCTAGAGCATCTGACAAGGCTGACTACTCTCATCTGGATGTCCTAATCTAGGACACTTCCCTTCTCAATGTCCCTGTATTTTTTTGAATGGCTTCCTCTTCTATCCTTTCACAAAAATGCTAAACTAGGATTCTGACCCAGGCCTTCCTTCCTCTTCACTCAATATTCTCCAGAGGCTTCTCTCTGGTTTGGTTGCTTACAAAGGCTCTAGAGTATAGACACTGAAAAGGAAAGAGGGTCTTTTCTGTGTACTAATGATCTGCAAATCTCTCAAGCTTAGACTTTCTCCTTAGTTCAAAATCCAATTCTTAACAGCTTACCCAACAATCTCGTCTGCACATTTCATTAGAAATCTTAAAACATGGCTTGTTCTCTGTGTGCTCCTACTCCAGTTAATAGCATTGTTTCTCTTCCCTCTACCATTGCCCCCACAAATTAATGGTCTCCATGCTTCCATACTTGCCCCCCACCTCCAGTCTCTTCACCATAGCAGAATGAACCACCAAGTCAGATCACAACACATCTCTGTTCAAATCCCACCTGAAATTTTCAGTCTTACTAGAATAACAGCCAAAGTTCTTTTCTCAGTTCCCAGCTACTTCTCTGCCCTTATATCCTACTGTTTAAGGCGCTCCTAAACACACAGGCCTCCCAGCTATTTCCAGAACACTCCAAGCCCATCATTCTCACATCAGGTCTAGGCCCAAAGGGCATCCTGATGGGCATGCCTTGACCTTGTGTCTTCCCTCCAAAGAAGGTCAGCTTTACCTAACTGCTTTCCTTATGGCACAGAAAAGGTGAGTGAGGTCCAATTAATCCTTCTATCAATAATCTTTATCTAATCTTTGCTTTAAAAGGTTGGAATTTGTGTCTGTTTTATGTGCTGCCTGGGTCATAGCACATGCTCAGTGAAGCAATTACACATTAACCCATTTAGCAGTAGAAGTATCAGACAAAGTCTAATGACCTTTATCTTCCCAGCCAAGTGTCTGCAACAGAGTGAGTGCTCAGTTTTGAATTACAGAATTAATAAAAGCACAGAGGAATGAGAAGAAAGTTTAATTTACAGATGTTCACAAACTCTGTCCTCATTAGAATAAATGTTTTTGATATATTCAGACCTCATTTAGAAACAAAGCCATCAAATGTGATTCTTTCTAAAGCAGTACAAATTTTTCTTTATATTCACTCTGGCATAATCTTCAAACTGTATTAAGGTTTTAGAACAACAGGTTCTGAAAATTAATACCAAATGACTATCTCAGCAGTGTTTTCCCATTATACAAATACCTTCCCTCATCTCTGATGTCAGTTTCCTGTTGTCATTTTCATAATGGCAGTAAGTTAGAAATATAACCATTTTGTATTACTACATATGACCAATTTTAATATTTTTTTGCCATAGGAAAAACATCGTAGTTATTGGAAATTTGTTTTATAACTGGAAACAGAAAGCCTTACTTTATATAGTTGAAGTCAGCTTTCAGGTTGAGGGAAGTGCTACTGGTACTCTTTTTCAAGTCATGGATAGCGTTCTGCCATTCCTGCACAGCAGCCCAATCGGCAATTGAGATGTAGCACTCACATGCTTTATTTCCTAAATAATTTATAACCTCAGGGGAAGAGTCAGTCGGTTTGGACAGCACAGTTTTTCTGGATTCACCTGAAAGTATTTTATAAAATAAGAAGAGAGAGATTCAGATCAATTAGAAATATTTCAAAGAGCACAGAAACCTAAAAACATGATAAGATCATCAGTACGAAATATATTACTATAACTTTTGCTTTATTTAAAAATACTGAACGCTCACCATTCAGACAATGTTTCGGGCTGGCACTGTTACACCCAGCATTGGCTAAGGTGAGCACCGATTTGTCAAAGCTGGAGATGCAGCAATGAACACCTATCATGGCACACAGGTGTTCCTGGTACTCCACAGAGGCCTTTTCAAACCTGAAAAGCAAATTGAAGCAGTCTTATTTCTTTATTTATCTACTTACTTACTTTTTTTTTTTTTTTGAGATGAAGTTTTGCTCTTCTTGCCCAGGCTGGAGTGCAATGGCACTGTCTCAGCTCAATGCAACCTCTGCCTCCTGGGTACAAGCGATTCTCCTGCCTCAGCCTCCTGAGTAGCTGGGATTACAGGCGCTCGCCACCATGCCCGGCTAATTTTCTTGTATTTTTAGTAGAGACGGGGTTTCACCATGTTGGCCAGGCTGGTCTTGAACTCCTGACCTCAGGTGATCCGCCTGCCTCGGCCTCCCGAAGTGCTGGGATTACAGGCATGAG